>NC_000008.11:35314648-35617678 GCF_000001405.40 Homo sapiens
TTCGAACCTTCAAACATAAATAATTTTGTTTTGGAGAGTCAACTCTTGTTGGTTCTATGGGGTTGACTACAGCACTGTAATAAAGAGTTGCTGAAAATAAAACAGCTTCTAATACCCAATAGTGACATAGCTTCTAACCCTCAGGAGCTTGTAAAATGGTGTAGGTGGCAAATCTATAGATAATAACAGTACAACATGGAAACACTACAGTGGGGTAAGCATGGAACTCTTGAGAATTCACAGAAGGGATATTAAACACCACGTAATGCTGTAAGGAAATGATCCACAAAAGAAGGTATAGTTAAGCTAAGAGAATTAGGAGTTTATCAGGTCGGTGAGAGTAAGGACAGCAGTATTCCAGGTTGGTAAACTTTAGAAAGGCCTGGAGATGTCAGCACATACTAGGTTCTAGGATTATAAGTACCAGTGGTCTCAGTAAGAACAGCATGTTTCAGAGGCAACTGAGTTATAATTATAACAGCTTATATTCATATATATGCCTCATACTTTTAAAAATGATTTACATATATTAACTCATTCAATTGTATTATATCTGTTGGCTTTTTCTGCATTAAAAAAAATCCAACCCCATAACTTAGTAACTTAAGACAATCATTTACTATTGCTCTTGAGTCTAGGAATCTGCAGGGTGATTGTTCCCCTATGGGGCAGGCTTGGGTCATCTTGGCTGGATTTGCTCCTTCATCTGCGCTCAGCTGTTCATCTGGGATGGCCTCATTCACATGTTTGGCAATTGTTTTTCTTTTGGCTGGGGCAGTGCAGATGGCTGGGGCAGTGGAGATGACTGGGCCACGTGTCTCTGGTCATTGAGTGAAGAAGCCCAGGCTGGTTCACATGACAGCCAGGGGCTCTAAAATCAGCAAGAGGACACATCTCAGTTCTCAATCACATTCCAAGTCTCTGCTAACTCCTCTTTAGCCAGATCAAGTCACTTAGTTAACCCAGATTGAAGTATGTGAGAAATGACTTCCATTTTAAGGGGAGCGAAAGCATGTGCGGCCAATTTTGTAGTTTATTGCAACTTAAAACATCTCAATGAGGCACATGTTATTGTTGTCAACCCCAGTTACCTCGGATGTATGGAGAGATTTGTGAACTTGTTCAAAGTCACATAGCCAGTAAGTGGCAGGACTGGCATTTTGCAACCAGGCAATGTGACTCTAGAGGCAGATTCTTACCCATTGTGCTCTGTGGGCTTTTTATGGAAGAGGTCAAATAGATACAGACCATGAACAACATCGTATGCTATTGTAAGAAGTTGGGATTTTATCCTGAGGGCATTGGAGAGCCATTGAAAAATGATTATCAGAAGGCTGACATGATCAGCTTTATAGCTTAAAGAGATCGGTCGAGCTACATGATGGAGAATGTATTATAGGGAGGCACGATTGGAAATAGGCTGACCAACCGACTAGGCAGTACATTAATCGAATAGTATATTGAAGGAAGACTGATCTAAGGTAGTGGCAGTTGAATAGCTGTATTGTTTTATTTAAATTAAGGAAATACGTGGAAAAGCATTCGTATTAATGTGACAGTATTGACTGGGTGTGAGTTGCTTGGAAAAATTAAAATAGTGTGGATATATAAATAACACATTTAGGAAAGCACAATCACCTCATTACTTGTTAGTCAATAATGAATAATGAAGGGAGAAGATTTTAGTTGGTATAAATAAATGATTGGAGTTGACAATGGAGATGAGAAAGGGGCTTACTGAATATATTTGCTAATTGATCCTGTAAAGATGCTAATCCTCATTCTGTCTCTATGAGCTAAATGTATAGATGGTATTTATTCAGTGAACACAAAACTCCTTTGTGATTGTCCATCTGCCAAACTAACTTGCAAGGTGTGAACATATATTTTTACAGAAGACTGACTTATGCAGCATCTTAGAAAAATCACATACATTGGCCTAACTATTCAGAAATGGAAGGGGGATTTTGTTATCTTACTTGACTTAGCAATCCCTGGCCTTTTGATTTTTGGGATGTTTCACGTGAGCCTGAATGAAAATGATTACAGATTAAATCGGGAGTATAATTATTTAGGCAAAATTTTTATTGAGACTGCATTTCTCTGTGATGAGTAATTAAAGTCACAGATAATTTAGAGACTGTGGAGTTCAGTTTTCTTCATTGCTTATATTACTTTGCATTTTCAGGAAATATGCTGTCCGATGGGTTAGCAATATTAGGGACCACTAGAGGACATTTATTTAATCGTCGAAAGCAACCATGACAGTAGCAAGCCAATATATGAAAGAAATGAAGTCATTTCAGCACAAAATAAATGTTCTGACTTTTAGAAGATAAGCTAACATCTCAACTTAAAATGAGTGAATGCTAGCATTTTGGAAGAAACGTAGACAGCAGATATTTCAATTTCTCCACTTTATAGATAAAGATATTGAGGATCAAAACAGTTAAATGATTTTTCCAAGGTCCCATAGCTAATTAGCAGTGGAGTTTAGAAATAACTTTCTAGTTCCTGTCCAGTGAATCTTCCATCGACATTTTCTATTTCAATGTCCCATAACCATTGTGATTAATTTTTTCCAAATATTATATGTAATAAATAGATTGGTACACCTGTTCCTGCTAAAATAAAGAAGTCTGTTTGCTGATAGATAACACCTCTTCTCAAAGAGTTAAATTGGTTCTGTAAATGTTTGAAAGAAGGTAGTTTGGGTCATCTGGTCACCAGCTTATAACTGGCTGACTTCACTGGCCACAATGGCTATTACGAAAACATCTTAGTAAGTTTGTTATTGTCAAAGGTATAATTTTTAGCTGACCAGCCCCCAAATTTAATTATAACAGTTTATCAGGATGTGCTCAACTAAGGATGGTGAATCACATTAACTAAACTTGAAAGAGACTAACAGAAAGCAGAACGCCCATCAATTTTACAATGAGACGTGATAATCAGTCAAAGTAAACATTCCTATCGATCTGCGGTGTACACTCTCTCTTGCCTCCATGGACCTGGGAAGCCAGATTGTTTAGCGAACTCAGAGTAAGACTAAGGGTAGGTATGGAGAATTGTCACATATTTTACGTGACGTAAATTATATGTGTATATAATTAACATTATATAATTATATAATTATCATATTCCAGGCTAATATTGCCTTTTATGCCATTTTCACTGTAGGACTACCTTGTGCTTAGACAAGATAACTTAGTTGCCTTCTACTTAGACAAGACAACTTAGTTCTTGGTTGTGTCTTTTGGTCGGTATGAGGACAGGCACTGCCAACCCTTGTTCTAGTGACTATCTTTTCTTTAGTTCTGACTGTCCTTTCTTCTGATGGATAATTCACTCCCACCCCATGTGTTAATTCTTTTTCAAGTCTTATTGCATAAGAGATACTCTGTCTCTGAAAGGGAACTTTACATGTTTTTACTATTTAACTCTCAGGAGGCAACCTGATTGCCTTTATTTCCCAGTTCTTGGAAGATACTGTATCACTTTCCTGTCATTTTCATGCGCTGCCTCCAACTCTCCCTAGGTTGGACTTCAAATTCTACATAAATGTAAAAAATATTATACTTTGTCAGGGATTTAGATGGACTGATATATAAGGGCAGTTGTCTTCCTGGTGCTCTGTTAAACTCCACAATACTAGTTCTCATTCACCCACCATTAATAATAATGAAGCTGACATATTATGTCTCTTGTAAGCAGCAAAAAAAAGTGAGAACATGATAAATACATGAATTCCTAAGACACATACAATGAGGATCATCTTGGAAGTCAGACACAGCTGGGTTTGAAGCAGGCCTCACTTTTTACTAACTATGTGACCTGGGGCAGATATATTTGCATCTGATTCTGTTTTATCATCCATAACATTTTAATGATACATATTTTTTAGGGTTGTTTTAGGAATAAAAGCAGTTCTATCTATTTATTAACTATTTATTGTCAATGTGAGTACCACATAATAGGTCTTTAATAATCATGTCTTTTCTGCTGAGAACTATAGATAGATGACATTTAAAGATGGATAAAGTAACTTCCCATTATATTACACTTTCTTTATTATCCTAAGCACAGTTAAAACAGCCTGAACACAACTAAGGCTGTGTTTCACTGAGCATATGGCATATGCTCAGTAAGAATACAGATTTTGACCAGAGACCTTTGATAATGAGGCAAAAAATATGTGGTTTCTAGAATTAGCTGTAACCTATCCATTACGAGTGTCTTTAAGTGTATATCCTAAAAATACAAAAAAATTAATACTAACTTAGGAGTTTCAAATAACAGAAAATCTGTCTGAATGCATAAAATCTTAGAGAAGGACCTCACCCATGTTCCACAAACAGTTATCCCTTCTTCCCTCAGTCTTTAGAAAAAAGAAAGGATTCCATGATTCCTGCGCAGTAACATTCATACCCATATGTTGTCTGTGTGAAGTGCATGGAGCTGACAAGGCATCTTTGAACTCAGCTATGTAAGTATGGCAATGAAGTCTGGATTTTCCCCCTTTGTATGAGTTATAAAACTACATTCTAATTTCCTAGTAAAATATACCCTTCAGGCAAACTTAATCTCATTTACAGAAGCCTGAGCCTATCTTCCTTCTGCCCCCCACAGGCTCCACACTATTGGTTTGCTACAGTTTTCAGACCGCATTTTAAATGTATGCCTCTACTTGTTAGAAATAGACCACATTTTGCTTTTACTGTTGCATGAAGAACAGCCAAGATTCTTTAAGGGCTGTGCAGAAGGCTGTCTGAATCCTTGATCTGATGTGCATTTGGGTAAAGGTCAGATTAATTTGTATTCCTTAATAAGATGGTCTCTTTCCTATGATATAATACGTTCTTGTCTCCCTGGATGTGTGTTTCAGTTAGAACTTCTCCATCACTTACTTTCCATGAACTTCTGCCTTTCTCTCTTTTAAATTGGTGGTTAGCAAAGAGAATCACTAGACTGAGATAAATTGATTTCAGCTTACATATTGAGGAATCCAGAAAGGAATAAGACTGTACTTTGGCCATTAGCTTCTGATGTGGTTGAAACTTTGAAAAGTTATCAAATACAATATGGTCCTCCAGAGTTGTCATGTTCTTTTGGGAACTATCAGTAGTATTCAGGGACCACAGGGAGGTAGAAATGGAGAAAAAAAAAAAGCAAGCTTTTATTTGAGAATGTGAGCCCCTTTAAATTATTATCAGGCCCAGAGAGACATTTAAAATGTAACAGTCATGTTTCACTCCCCCTTGAGCCAAAGAATCACCTCTTGAAGCCTCTTGCCATGTAGTCTCTAGACTCACTGACCGTAAGTAGCAGCAAAGTGTTGACAAAAAGAGTCAAATTCTGTAAAATATTTGAAAAGATTTATTCTAAGACAAATATGAGTGACCGGTGGCCCATGAAACAGCCCCAAGAGATCCTGAGAACATGTGCCCAAGGTGGTTGGGGTAGAGCTTTGTTTTACACACTTTAGGGAGACATAAGACATCAATCAGTATATGTAAGATGTATATTGGTTTGGTCCTGAAAGGCAGGACAATTCGAAGTGGGGGTGGGGGGCAGTTCCAGGTTATAGGTGGTTCAAAGATTTTTGGATGGGCATTTGGTTGAAAGAGTTAAGTTATTATCTTAAGACTCGGAATCAGTAGAAGGGAGTGTCTGGGTTAAGATATGGAGTTGTGGAGATCAAGGTTTTAATCATGCAGATGAAGGCTTCAGGTTCTTCCAAGGAGCCTCCAGAGGCTTCCAAGCTCTTATCAGACATAAAAAGATGCCACACTCTTAGTTAATTTTCTCCTGGATCAGGGAAAAGACCTGGGAAAGGAAGGGGATCTCTACAGAATGTGGATTTTCTCCACAAGAAACAGGTTTGCGTGGCCATTTCAAAATATGTCAAAGAAATATATTTTGGGCTAAAATACTTTCATTTCCTTCAGGGCCTGCTGTTATGTGATGCTGTACTAGTGTCAGGCTGGAATTTGGTGCCTTATTGCTACAAAGACTCTGTTTTGTCAGCCTTAAGATCTGTGTTTGATTATTAATGCTGGTCAGCTGTGCCTGGACATCCAAAGGGAGGAGGGTATAATGAGGCATGTCTGACACCCACTTCCAATCATGGCCTGAATTAGGTTTTCCTGTTAACTTTGTAATGCCCTTGGCTGAGGGGAAGGGTCCATTCAGTTGATTGGGGGGCTTGGAGTTTTATTTTTGACTTACAAATGTATAGCCAGTGACTAACCAATGGTATTTCTGTAAACCAATGAGAATTCTTGATGAACAAGTTTTGTAATCACTTTCTCTCCTGATTTGTCCTTTTTTTCTTCAAAAACTTGGGTATCTCCTTTGTTCTCTGGAGCATTCCATAAGGCAGCTTAGAAGTGTGTTCTTGTAGCAATCCTCAACCTTGGCTCCAATAACCTCTCTATATTAATTTTGCATCAGCTTTATTGTTCTAGGTTGATAGGACTTTATAACCCTTGGACCACAATTTGCTTTTTGGTCACAGTTTATAATGACAGTAGGTTTTACACACACACATTTGTCAGCAAACAGACAAAAACTATCATACAGCTTGTTCTGTAAGCTCATTTAGGACCTGATTCTGTCCTTGATATTGTTTGGCTATGTCCCCACCAAAAATCTTACCTTGAATTGTAATCCCCATAATACCCATGTATCAAGGGAGAGACCAGGTGGAGGTAATTGAATCATGGAGGCTGGTTTCCCCACTGCTGTTCTCGTGGTAGTGAGTGAGTCTCACGAGATCTGATGGTTTTATAAATGTTTGGTAGTTCCTCCTGTGTTTATTCCTTCTGCTGCCTTGTGGAGGAGGTGTCTTGCTTCCCCTTTGCCTTCCACACCGATTGTAAGTTTCATGAGGCCTTCACCAGCCATGTGGAACTGTGAGTCTATTAAACCTCTTTCCTTTCTAAATCACCCAGTCATGGGCATTTCTTTATAGCAGGTGAGAATGTACAAATACAGTCCTCTTGAGTGCAACCAGCAATGGGCATGGCAGATAACTGGAGAAGATACAATGACATGCTGAAAACAGGACAAACAAACTATATAGGCAGATTAGGGGTCAGTCTTCCTTGAAGTTGGAGGTTCCTGGATCACTACGGTTTCATGTTGCAAGCACTGCCTGTGAGGTATTAGGAGGCCCCTGACTTTCTTTCTCTGTCTCCATCACTTCTTACTTCACCTTCCCCTATGCTAATTAACAAACCATGTGGTGCAGATTTTAAGGTCTTTTGAACTGTTAAGTGGATATCCTCATTCCTATTTTGTAGGCAGAAACTAAAACCCACAGTACCCATTTCATGGTTTGTTGTGAGAAATGCGTTATGAATTTGTATGTAAAATGCTCAGCCCAGTGACTTGAACATAGTAGATGTTCGCTTTTATTATTGCCTACATAATCAAGAGTTGGTCATTAGAAGGAAAAGTGTTATGAGTGTTGTGAAAGAAGTCCACATTATCATTATGTAAGCAGATTCTAGTGTTAAGAGGTAGTCTTATTGAAAGGGATATTTATTTCCTTGGCCATGGATTTCTCTTTTCAAAGGTGCACATATTTATTGCCTGCATCTCTCAGGCATTCTCAATTCCAAACATTTCATGGTTCTTATTCCTTCCTTCTATAAATAATTGAAAATAATGTTTTTTTCTCCCCCCTTTTTTTTTTCTTTTTGGTTCCCTTTTGAAAGTAGTGTTTACTAGAGTATCTCCTAAGTTGAAAAACACAAAACACTTGTAAGTCTTCATTTTACAAACTCACCTTTTTAGCTTCATTGGGATTAGCATGTGCTTTGAGTCCATCTCTTCTACCTACAGTCTCATGTTCCTTGTGTCAATCTGTTGTTTTCATGTAATACATTTTTTGCTTCCCCTAGGGGACTGAATGAAGCAGTGTGCTTTCAGCCCTGCTCTGACCCTGTCTTCTCAAGAGGATTTAATAATGATGTGAATAGAAGATATGTGTACGTGAAATTTCCTTATTTGCAATGCATGTTGTGTCTGCCTCTTTAAAGAAAGTAAAGGTTAATATGTTGATTTCCTATTTATAGGTAACTTAATGCTTCTCATTTTTCCTAATCATGGCACAAGGTTTTGGCTCAGTACGTACGATTTCTTAAGCGATCTTTCTAAATCATTATAATGATTTGATGAGTTTACTACTCTCCGAAGAGGTTGGATTGACAGGTTTAAAGAGACAAATCATACAGTACTTTTTTGCCACATAATATCTAGTTAGAGCAGCAAGCCCTTCCATTTGCACGCTATATTTCTTGATAATATATCTTACAGGCTTCTTTATTTTAGCCCAGGCATTTCTGCCTCTGCAATCCAGTCTTAGCAGTAGGACTAATATGACCTTCACATATATCAGAATTGAGTCAGGCAATATTTAGGTGAAAAGGTAAACTAGTACACCTACCAGAAAAGATAAATATTAATTTATTGCATCTCTGACATGAGAAAAAAAGCCTTTATGTTTTACTGTTTTTTTCTAATTTTTCTTTTTCTTTTTTTTTTTTTTTTTTTCACATGAATGGAACTCGAAAAAGGCCTTTATTCAGCCATTGTGATACCTGGGACCATATAAAAGTAATCAGGATTAAGCTTTTGGAGAAAATGTGTTCTCTAAAAAGGAGTGGCTACCTAATTGGTGTCTTTATGTTTTAGATGTTTTTGTGGAGTCTAATTGACATAACCTTTACTCTGAGTCACTTGGCTTCTAAGGAAATGCAACGTACCATTTTTAATGAGTTGCAAACTGCCTGGCTGCCCCAACCCCCTTTAGTCTGCCCTTCACCATTTTGAAGTAATTCTAGAGAATATAAACTATGAAAAATATACATTTCTTTCAAGTAGCTGCTATTTGCACCAAGCATTGTGATAGGCAATAGAAATATTGCTACTCCTAATTCCAAAAACATATGTCATTTATAGTGTGTGAATTAATATTTTTACATACTTTAATCCAGTTTTCCTTAAAACAACCATATGGGGCAGGCACTCTTCTTGTCTCCATTTTAGCGATAAAATAAAGCACAGAAAGTTAATTGCTCAAGGTGCTACTAAGTGGTGGAGCTGAATCTGCACCCAGGCAGCATTACTCCATAATCTATGGAGTGATTAAACTATTATAATTAGTAGCAAAGTCATTGTCCTTGTTGGGCTTGCAGGTTGGTTATTCATTTTCGTTAGGAAAATCCCTGGTCGGTGCTCTTAAGAGCGTGTCCTGTGTATATAGCTTCGGGACAAACATAAGAATGATGTTTGACTGGGTATGTTGGCTCATTCCTGTAATCCCAGCACTTTGGGAAGCCAAGGCAGGAAGACGGTTTGTGCCCAGGAATTTGAAACCAGCCTGGACAACATAGCGAGACCCCATCTATACCAAAAAGTTAAAAATTAGCCAGGCGTGGTGGCATCCACCTATAAGTCCCAGTACGTACTATAGAGGTGATGCAGGAGTATCACTGGAGCCCAGGAGGTTAAGGCTGCAGTGAGCAATGATCACACCACCGTACACCAGCCTAGGCAACAGAGCAAGACCCTGTCTCCAAAAAAAAAAAAAAAAAAAAAGTGATGAGTCATTGATGAGTCATCCTATTATCTATTCATAATTTATTAAGTGGGCATTTATTGAGTGCTTCCTATGTGCCAAGTATCATGCAAGACATTTGGAGACAAAAGGAGAAGTAATAAAAATCCTTTCCCATTTTCTTTCCAGTTTGTTGTTCATTATGTCATTTCCATCTTTTGTTTTTGTGCTTTTTGAGTATTTAAAATAGGTATTGTAGGTATTAAAAGCATTTCATAAATTGCAAAATGTGGTGCAAATGTAGATTTTACATTTTTTATTGTTTTATTGAACAACTCTTATGTGCATTTCTCATAGGTAACTGCAGCCATTTGTTAATTCCATCTTAATGATTAAACTTGGTGTTTGCGGTTCCTGAATAAAAGACATATAGTCAAGTAAAATCTCAAAACTAATATTCAGCATGAGATGACCATGTTGCTAAATAAAAATGAATATTATATGATGAAGAGAAGCTGCAAATTTACTTGGATTTTTTGATCAAATTAGTAACTTGCTTGTTACAGAAAATGAATGCTAATTAGTTCTCTGTGCTGAAAAAGGCAGCCTGCACCTGTCCTAGGACAGGATTTTGTGAGGCAGGCTTATTTCTCTAAGGTCTATTCTTGGCCCCCTTTTTCTGGCATTGACATGGAAAAAGGCGTGAGGAGAGACTGGCAACATTGGTGTGTGCCAGGAATGGTGCTGAATGATATCACTCAGCACAACAGAATCTGGGATAGTCATATTTCTCAAAGTAGAAGCAACCTTGTAAAGACTGAAAGTCCCAAATAAAATGGGTTGCTCTCAGCCAACAAAAAACTGAAATTGGAAATGGCCTCAGAAATGGGAGACCCTTGGAATCAGGGCTAAACAGATAAGCAGAATTCAGAGGGAAATGACAAAGCATTCTATATCTATCAATAAAGAATTTGGGGCTTTGGGGTTAATGGTTAACCAGCTAACTTTTAAACGTGATTTTTAAAGCACATAAGACACTAGGCATTAGGGATGAATAAAACATGCTAGTAATTATTTTTAAAAAGACTTAACTTGATAATGCTTAAGTGCTTCTAGGTTGACAATCTCAAGACCACCAGTAAAAACTTAAGCTCATCAATGGTTTTGTAACAAAGGAAGATAGATCTCAGTGCATAGACAAGGCAGGCAGAAAAGTAAGATTGAAAAACCTAAGAATGACATGGCAGTGAGGTGGAGGTAAAAGGAGGGTTTGGCAGAAGGCTGTGTTAATGATCAGCTGTTGGCAGTGTGAGTCAAAGAGGGGAACTTGGAGTGCATTATTATACCTATAGTACTTAGTAGCAAAGGAATTGATAGTTCTGCTATACACTCACCTGAACACACATACAATGCGTTCTATTCTTGGTACCATGTTAAAAATATCAACTAGAACATGCTCAATGGCGAGTTGCCAGTTGCTTTAAGGAATTTGAAATCAAAAGACTTCAAGGAAGGCATGATAAACCCTCACACATCTGAGACTTGTTCTCAGGTGGAGGAAGGGGGAATGGAAAAGGATGGAACATTTACTTAATGTCCGTTGTGCTAGGTACTAAAATACCACAATTAATGGTCACCAAAACATCATCCTATCATCGTCCTCAGTATAAAGTTGGGAAAATGAGGATGATTGAGGCTGGGTATTATGCACAAGTTTACACAGCAAATACCAAGGTGTTACCATCATCCTAACTGGCATCTTTCGGTCCTCAAGGTCCATATTCTTTAAATTCTTTATTTTGTTCTGTCCTAAGAGATTAAAAATGGGACCAGTGAGTAGAAACTTCAGTGATGATTTAGACTCCATATAATGAATACTTTTCTACCAAATTCTCTTAATATAGATTAGCTTTTTGTATGGGGAAGGGAGTTTCTCATTATGGAGTTATTCAGGCCTAAGCGGGCTGTCCCCTTGACTGGAATGTTCAGGGCCAGGTGCAGCAGATGTTCAAGTTCCCTCCAACTCTGGAAGTGTTACCTGATCCTGTGAATAAGACTGTAGCGAGCACCATGGTGCAGTAGCGTCAGAAGCTGCACAGGGAAATTGAAAACAGGCAGAGAAGGGATAGGTCAAAGCACGTGGTTGGAAACCAAGACACATTTTAGAAAGGAAGGAAGGGGAAGGCCCAGCTGGCAGTAAAGAAGCCGAAAATTCACCAGAATCCCAAGAGTAGGTTTTCAAGTGAAAAAGAAATAATAGGCTGGGCACAGTGGCTCATGCCTGTCATCGCAGCGCTTTGGGAGGCTGAGGTAGGAAAACTGCTTGAGGCCAGGAGTTAGAGACTAGCCTGGGCAGCATAGCAAGACAAGGTCTGTACCAAAATAAAAATAAAAGCCAAGCTTGGAGGCACAAGCCTGTAGTGCCATCTACTTGGGAAGCTGAGGCAGGAGCTCACTCACATGAGCCTAGGAGTCAGGGGCTGCGGTGAGCTGTGATTGTGCCATGCACTCCAACCTGGGTGACGGAGCAAGACTCTTTCTCTAAATAAAAAGTGAAGGAAAAAAAAAAAGGCTCATATAAGGCATCAGCACCATGAGAAAACTGATACAAAGGAAAGTCCTGCAGGAATCACCACTAGGGGAGGCACTGCACTGGTGCGTTCAGGGCCTCTGGATGTTGGCAAATACATATGTGTATTGGATACAAAAAGAAGGAAGGGTCAATCCCTGAGGTAACATCATATTTAATTTGTTTTAAGGTTTAGCGGTGGGGAGTTGTTATGAACATTGCCCCCACTGGATTGACCTGTTGGAGGGAAATTTGTCTGAATTAGTGGAAATGGTCAGATATATATTTCTATGAAATGCAAAGCACCGAGGGTACATTGCCTTAGTGCCTTGGCGGAAAGATGAACAGCAGGAATCTCCTGTTAAAATTAGATGCCCACTGAGTTCTGCAACATATAGCTGTAATGATATTTTCTAAGACATGTTTCCCAAAGGATATTTCAGTGATGAGCATACAGCTCACTCGCTTGCAACTATGTAAATTATATCAGTTAATTTTTACATGGACTAAATGGCCTTTCCAAATGATTATAAAGATGCCATTTGCTCTGGAATGCATTTTCTGCATGCCTGCTTCCCACATTGCATGTTTGTTGACCCATCTCATGCCGATGACCCGTGCATACCACTGGTGTCAATTTACTTCGACATTTCAAGGTTTAAGAGAATTCTCAACTTACGGAAAATATCACATAGTCCATATTTGGCAGGAAGACCATTTCCCAGAGCCCAGATTTCTGTGAGTGCACAAGGTGCCTGGGTGGGCTCCTCTGCCAGGGGCATATTTGACCTCTCTCTTCTGCATTTATTTTACAAATGTCCCCTTTCAACAAGATACTTATCTGTTGTGGGGGGGGGATCTGGAAAGTTGATCCCTAAACTGCTTAACTGACTGCAACTGCTCTTTCCGACCCTGGCACGGTCTGCAGTTGTAGAGCTGTGACTCTCTTCCAATCCAGGATGATGGATTGAAGGTGACAGCCTGAGTTAAAGTTCCAAGCTCCCAGCTGGTCAGTTGATTTCACAAGTACAATGTTGCAAGAGTCATTTATCAGAAGCGTGAACCCAGAGATTCGGATGTTTGAGGTGGCAGCTGTTAGATACACTACTCAGAGAAATAAGTCACAGAAGATTCGGATAAGAGCATCTTTGATAGATGACAGTCAGTGGGTTCATTTGTTAATTTTTGGCCCATGTGATTGGGAAAGTTGTGGTAAGGAAAGGTTTTCGTGGACATTTCCACTATTTAAATGCTAGGATGTGTTTTTTGTTTGTTTGTTTGTTTTGGCTGGAGTAACACTGGCAAAGATGTGGGTGACCCCTCCACCTCCAAAACTCAGTTGATGCAACCCTTATATAATGTATATGTGTATTTGTTCCAAAAAATAAGAAAAGCTTGAATAAAAGATACCCTAGAAATGCTTTTAACAAAGATTTACTTTATTTTATTTATTTATTTATTTTGCCTAATGCTGTATTAGAGCTGTTTAATAATCCCTTCAAAAACTCACAGTTGGTATTGCTAAAATCTTTTCAATCACAGACTGTAAAGCCAGTGACAGTTTCTTTCCTCCATGGGAAGTAAAGTCAAATCATTATTTCTGGTGCTATTTGTATTTTTTTTGTTTTCTAGTCTAAAGATTGGCTTTGAGAAGACTTTGGACATTCACTTCCTGGAAAGGACTTAGGTTCAGTTTTTCCTTTATGAACTAATAGTTCCCATCACGGCATAGGCTAAAACTCTTTTTGTCTTCTAACTGTAATAATTATCCAACTTGTGCTTCAAACATGTGTCTGTGGATCTCCTTTCTTATAAACTTTTGTTGGTATTGGGTCTCCTGAGGTAACATAGCAGTCTCTAAGGCAGACAAGGCTTGAATTTGAGAGAAAATTTTAATACACCAGCTCAGACATCACATATAAACTTAATAAAGTTAGATTGGCCCAAGGTGTAAGCTTCTTCCAAGGCAGTCAGTCCGCGTCAGGAGCTGCATTTACTCTTGGAGGCCACAGGAGTATCGTTCCACATATTAGCGTTGAGATGAACTGTTTCTTTCATGATGCGTTTTGGAAGTATTCTATTTTTGTTTCTTCCCCAGTCACACACATATATTCATTACTCTTGTGATGTGTCTTTTTCTCCTTCTCACATCTCTTTGCCCCAATTCCCTGCTTTAAAACACACACTCCTGCATCAATCTCTACTCACAGTTGTATTTTCTGAGATACTGATGAATGAGTTTGTAGAGTTCCTTCACTCATAAAGTCATGTTTTTCTCCAATTTAAAACAATGTTTTTAGCCACTGTATCTCTTATATATCTAACTTCCTCTAATCATCACTGACACTCATAAAATAGATGTTATTACTTCTCTCTTGTACAGGAAATTGTGCTCAGAGAGGTTAAATAACATGCTCAAAGTCAACCAAAATTTGATTTTGGAATTGTCCACTTCCCAAGTCCTATTTTTTACTGCCATACTATCGTCTCCAGAGTTTCGGCTCTATTTTTGTCCTCTAGGAAGATTACATATTTCTGATTTAAAAAAAGATAGCTTTCAGCATATAAAACTAATGTAGGTAGAGAATATTCCCAATTTTCTGTTTTTTATTGGGTTGATATATATATATATATATATATATATATGGGGAAAAAAAAGGATAGAAAAAGTAGACATCAATCTTGAAAGCAACACATTAGACTGGGGTTCTAATGAGACCGGAGAATAGACAAGCACCAGGAAAATGCCGAGTGCTGTTAATTAGCTTGTGTTCCTATCTGAAGTCTCACTCATCATTTTGTTTATATATTTCCTCCTCTGACTCCTTTCCATGTATTAGGCCATGATCGGGTATGCTATAGAGCTAAACCAGTTTAAAAAAAATTAAGAAAAAATGATTTTAAAAAGTCTGTAACTGGGGCCTAGTGCAATTGCCCCAGGAGGCCCTCAACCTAACCAGAGTTTATGGCTTCACCCCCTTCCTTGCCCTTACCTCTATACATGAGGCTCTTATTGTACTGAACTAATTCTATTATTATTTGTTGTTTCTCTGCTTGTCTCTGAACTTGGATCTTCTAGCACTTGAGCAAGTATGGGCAATGCTTTATTCAACTTGTAATAATAATAATGGCTAACATTGAATGAACCCCTGATAAATCCCAGGCACCCTGCTGAGTGCTTCAGTGGCAGTGCCTTATTTAATCCTCACAATGACCCTGTGAGGTAGGTGTGCTGATTGTTCACACTTACAAAGGAGAAAACTAAATAATAATTGGAAAGGCAGTAACTTTTCTGATATTTCACAGCAGCTAAGTAATTTGTTCAAAGGCACAGAGATACTGAGTAGTAAAGCTGGATTCACACTCTTAATTTCTCTGACTCCAGATTCTAGGTCCTTAACCTTAGTACATATTATAGTTTCCTTGTCTAATGCAATATTTGTCACATATTAACTGCTCAATAAATGCCTCTTAGGTGGAAAAAAGACTGTATTTATTGAAACAGGCTTGTAATTGGAAGATAAAGATTTGGCTTACATTTATGCCTCTTTTAGCTCTTGCTACCTTTTGTTCATATCACCTTTCCAGACTCCATTTTCTTCATCTGTAAAATAAAGGGGAAAGGGTTCAATGAAGTCTAAGGTCTCTTTTAATCACTGGCTAATAAAACCAGAAGTGGTGACTAGAAAAATAGTTCAAAACTGCTAGCTGATGCGCTACAGTTATGGGGCAAATAGCTATTGCATTATTCCAGCTGATCTTCAGTTCAGCCATCGTGGTATAATTCCATTTAGATCCAATCTAGATACGTTTTTGCAGGGCCTCTATCATTTTTCAGAATGTTTGAAAAACAAAATACATTTAGGCTTCTAACCTTGAGTTTGGAAATCTGAAATATACATAAGATGATATGAACGAGCCTGACTTTGATTACCATAGAGTGGCATAGCTGGGGGCTGCAATGAAAAAACCTATAAAATTTAACTCGAGATGAACCATGACAGGCCTCCTTAATGCGCGGATGCTTTGGCTTTCGAGTGTATTCTTTCACTGTATTATACAAAATGTGGATAAAGTGATAAGTGGGTTTAAAAATGATTGTATAAGTGAAGTGCACCATCTCACTGTAAAGTATTTGGCCCCAGGGAGACCACAAATGTGATGCAGCCTCATTTCCTTTCTTTTAAGTGCTTCCTGGGGCTGCTCAGGGTTGCTTTGGATGGGTTGGTTGGTTTGTTGTTTGCTAAGCTAAGATCATATTAAGTCTTGATTTGTTTTTTTTGGAAAACTGTTATCCAAAGGGGAATTTTGGAGAAGCAGAAATAAAGGCAGAGAGATTAAGAGACAGGAAAAAGAGGAAGATGAGTGAGAGATGAGAGATTAATTCACGACCCTGTATAGATTATTCGAAACAGTTTAAAAGAACAGGAGAGTTATATTGGGGGGCCATTGGGCTTGCTTGAAGTCCAGTGGTTCGATAAAAATTAAAACACATGAGTTCATGAGTATGGTAGCCGCCTTCTCTCATAGTTATAGACCCCTGAGCACTGATGTCATTTCTCTCCTGGGCTTAGTGAAATTAATATGTGATACAGGTTTCTTTGCTCCCTGAATATGGTGGATTGCTCAAACCCAGCACACAGCAGTAACCACGGAGCTTCAAGAGCACCCTCTGAAAACCAAAGGAGGAGGCCAGAGTTGTGTCTAGTCATCTTAGCCTCCTCGCCTGTATCACTTGCCCTGCTTGTCCACTGGCTTAGTGGTTAGCCAGTGAGAAAACAACTTCAGCCTGCGTCAGCAGTCAGTCTTGCTAGTCTTTGAATATGGACCATCCTTGGAGGGGGTGCTCTGACTCACACAGAAATCTTTTTAATGTTTCTTTTTCATCATGAATCAGTTCTCATGAAGAAGATTTGAAGGAGAATTGAACAGAATCACATCAAACCTCCTGACAGCGTAAAATAAGAATGGCCTTCGGAGTCAGCCTTGCATCCTGCCTCTATCACTACTGACTATAGGACATCTGCCAAGTGCTTCTGCTTCTCTCTATGCTGCATCTGAAGATGGGAAAACACATTTTCTTTGCCCAGATCTTGGTAGAGGTGGCAACAATACATATAAAGTATAGTTCCAGGCAGATAGCACATGTTCAATATTTGGTAGGCATCATTATGATTTTGATTTGCAGTTGTTTTCTCTTGCTGGAAGGTAGTAAACTCATCTTCTAATATAAGGATGCCTTACATTGAATCTTCACATGTCAGAATCTTCTAATATAAAGATGCCTTACATTGACATCTTCACATGTCAGAATGACTCAGCAAGGGCATTTTCTTGAGGGATATGACCATAAACTTTCTGATTCAGGCATAAACATGCTAAAATCAGGGTTAACATGATGCTAGGAGTATACATACCTAGCAGGTTTTTAAAATTCATGTTTGATATAGGTTGAGCTTTCAATGTGTTCAGTCTGCAAATATTTTGGAGGCTTTTACTATTGTACTGTGATGTAGCAGAATGGGTTTATTAAAAGCTCACTTTCAAAGTTCTTGGTCTAATATTCTCAAATAGAAATATTCCAGGCTCCACTGAGGATAGTGACAATAATAGCAGAGGCAGCAACAACAACAAGAAGCAAATATCTTTTCCTTATTCTGCAGTAATGTCTTGTGAATATTGTTGAAAATGAAAAGATTTCATGTGAACTCTTGTTGGATTTATGCAGCTCTTTTGCTTTAGTTGCTACAGTTAAATATGTTGAGTTCTGATGGTCAGACCATGATAGTTTCATGTGGTTTTTAAAACATAAAACATAGGTAATTGAGCAATTTAATTGTATGCAACCAACTATCAATTTTATAGGGGCAGACCAGTTACACTTATGACAGAGCAAAGTTCTAGGCACTTCCTTTCTGGGCCAAGAAATTTGGTAATTGAGCCACAGCTGATTAGTGCTAAATGCGTGCCGGTCCCCACTCTTACATGAACTTCAATGGGCTTGGAAAGAGAAGATGGAGGCCTACTTTGAGGTATGGTAAACTGAGTGCTGGGGACAAAGAAGATAAAGTCTTGATCTCCACTCCAGCTTTAACTGTGCAAACATAGCTGCCTCTAGGAACTCTAAATCTTGATTGCTCTTCTGAGTGGGGTGAACATACAGTTCTAATCAAGTACTTACATAATTTTGGGGAAGAACATGTCTCAGATCTCTGCCCTTATGAATAAGCTGCTCCAAAATCACAGGTGGGTTTTGCACATAGCTAAAGATATTTAAGCTTTAGGCCAGGTGTGGTGGTTCATGCCTGCAGTCCCAGCCCTTTGGAAGTATGAGGTGAGAGGACTGCCTGAGGCCAGCCTGAGCAACATAGCAAGACCCCATCTCTACAAAAAATTTTTTAAAAAATTAGCTGGCTGTGTCTCAGCTACTCAGCAGGTTGAGGCAGGAGGATTGCTTGAGTCCAAGAGTTGGAGGCTGCAGTGAGCTCTGATCGTGCCACTGCATGCCACCCTGGTTGACAGAGTGAGACCCTGTCTCTGAAAAATAAAGGAAAAGAAATTATATATAAGCTTTAGCCCTTTAAATCCCTTAATTAGATAGGCCCCTTCCAAATCCTGATTTAATTTTGCATTTGTTATTTTTTAGTCTTTTCCTTAAAGTGACCCCTTCAAATTGTACAATCCTTAGGTTTCTCGGAAGTAGGAGAATTATGTTTGTTTTTGAGAGGGAGTTTCGCCCCAGGCTGGAGTGCAGTGGCGCAATCTTGGCTCACTGCAACCTCCGCCTCCTGGGTTCAAGTGATTCTCCTGCCTCAGCCTCCCAAGTAGCTAGGATTATAGGCACTTTCCCCCACGCCCGGCTAATTTTTGTATTTTTAGTAGAGGCGGGGATTCTCCATGTTGGCCAGGCTGGTCTCGAACTCCTGACCTCAGGTGATCCACTAGCCTCTGCCTCCCAAAGTGCTGGGATTACAGGCGTGAGCCACTGCACCAGGCCAGTGTTTGTTTTAATCATGATTTGAGGGTAAATCTGTTACTACAAGTTTAGAATACAGGGTACTTTACTACAGTATTTTAAGATGTTAATATTGTAGCTTGTATAGTAAATTACCTATATTACTCAGTGTTCAAATTTTAGAAACTTTGGGAGAGCTTCAGATTCAGCTGTAAGTACTCTAAGTGAATAAACTATCAACATCAATAAAAATGACTCCAACAGAGCATTTTACTCTGTAGGAAATGTGGCAGAAAACCTCCTTCCACACAGAACCTTTTTGATAGTTTTTTAACTTTATATGCAGTGTATGCTCATTTTAATATAACTTCACAACCCAAGGGATTGAAACACAGTGAAGAAAGCAGATTAAAAGAATAGATGAGAAACAGACCCACCTAGACAAGGAAAAACTAACTGCAGTGATCAGAGACAGCTGCGAAAAGGCAGAAGTAGCGTCAGTGAAAACATTGAGTAGGGACAAAATGATCAAAACTAAAATTGTCCCTAAAGATTTTACTAGCAAGAAGGTAACAAAATCACCAATTAGAACAACATCAATTGGCCCTTTATATCTTGGAGAGTAAAATAAGTGAGATGGAATTAAAGTCAATATAGTTTCTTTTCTAAGTAGGACTTTTATCTGAGGCCATAGACTCTGGTGGTTAAGGGCATAAATTTTGGAGTTAGACTACTTAGATTTTTTTTTTGGTATAATTAACATACAATAAACTTTTATTTATTTTTTTTTTTGAGATGGAGTTTTGCTCTTGTTGCCCAGGCTGGGGTGCAATGGCACCATCTCGGCTCACTGCAACCTCCGTCTCCCAGATTCAAGCAATTCTCCTGCCTCATCCTCCCGAGTAGCTGGGATTACAAGTACATGCCACCATGCCCGGCTAATTTTTTGTATTTTTAGTAGAGACGGGGTTTCACCATGTTGGCAAGGATGGTCTCGAACTCCTGACCTCAGATGATGCACCCACCTCGGCCTCCCAAAGTGCTGGGATTACAGGCATGAGCCACCACACCTGGCCTAAACTGTACATTTTTAAAACTGCCTGGTTTGATGAATTTTGACTGATATTGTCAGGTGTGAAACTATCACCATAATTAAGATAATGAACATACGCCTCACCCCAGAACTTTCCTCAAACCCCTGAGTTCCATCCCTAGTCTTTACTTCTTCCTGACAATCGTTGATCTGCTTTGTATTGCTATAGATTAGTTTGCATTTTCTAGAAATTCATGTAAATAGAATAATAATATATGTGCTCTTCTTTTTGTCAAAATTTTTTCACTTTGTTTGAGGTTCTTCTATGCTGTGTGTGTATCAGTAGTTTGTTGCTTTTTCTTGCTGAATAGTATATATTGTATATGTATGCAACAATGTTTATCCATTTCCCATTGATGGGCGCTGGGATTGTTTCCACCTTTCTGACTATTACAAATAAAACTATGATTCTTCATGTGCAAACCTTTGTGTGGTAATACTTTCAATCTCTTGGCTAAATAACCAGAAATAGAATGGCTGGGTCATGTGCTAGATGCTTGTTGACTGCCTGGCTTTAAATTTCTGTTCTATCTACTAGCTTATGACATTGTATTAGTCCTTTAACCTCTTAGATAATGCCTAAAAGCACACATTTTTTAGAAGGATTAAATTATATGACTCATGTTAAGCACTTAGCACTCTGTCTAGCTTATAGTTAGGTTTTAAAATCTTAACTATGTTTTTGTTAAGTTTAACAATTTGAAAACTTTAGAAAATTTTAGTGTTAAAATTTTTAAGCTTATATCTCAGGAAAATGTGTTCATTTGATAAATGATTGTTTCAAGGCACTGCATGATAGGATCTAATAAATACTCTGTTTAAAGATATATTTACTTGTAACATGAGATGTGAATAATCGCTAATGAAATACATAGAATGTTAAGCAGACAACCTTTGAAAGGATAGAATGAAATGAGAGATTGCAATTTTTTTTTTTTTTTTTTTTTTTTTGAGACGGAGTGTCGCTCTGTCGCCCAGGCTGGAGTGCAGTGGCACGATCTCGACTCACTGCAAGCTCCGCCTCCCGGGTTCATGCCATTCTCCTGCCTCAGCCTCCCGAGTAGCTGGGACTACAGGTGCCCACCACCACGCCCGGATAATTTTTTGTATTTTTAGTAGAGACGGGGTTTCACCGTGTTAGCCAGGATGGTGTCGATCTCCTGACCTCGTGATCCGCCTGCATTAGCCTCCCAAAGTGTTGGGATTGCAGGCGTGAACCACCGCGCCCGGCCGAGAGATTTCAATTCTAAAAGACTCTATTCACATATTAAAATGCACAGGATGTGTAATCAGTTTAATAAGAGTTAGTAAATATCTATGTATATACGGAGAGTCAGTGACAGAAGAGGTAATATAAAGAAAATGCAATTTTGAAGCTGCTTCTTTGGTTGGTGCATTGTAATCTCTAGATTGAAAGCTAAAACCAGTTTCTTTATTAGCTGTGTTGCTTTGGGGACATCATTTAACCTCTCTACCACTAAGACAATTGGCCTCTGGCTCAAAAGTTTTATGATTTTTGTGACAGATTACATGATGAGATGCTTCCTTAACCATTCTGGCACTCCCTACAACCGAAACATTGGGTGGAAATCATTGTTAATTATGCCCATGGAGAATTTTATCATTGCTCAAGGAGAGGTGTGATTTTTTAAAAGTGCGTTTGTGCTTTGTGCAGAAGTCTTCAGCGTGTGACTGGATTCAATGCTGCTACTCTTTTGGTCTGAATACTGAACCAGCCAGGCATCACAGGAGACACAGCTGAGCTCCCAGGCCATCATGGGTGACAGGGTCAGAGCTGAGCTGCTCCCTCCCTCCAAGTCTGCTTGAAAGTAGCCTGCCTAAGGATAGTATGCAGACATATACATTTTTTTCCTTTCAAATGTGGAATAATACTTAAAGAATCCTCCCTGGAGGAGATGATTTTTCAAACACAAAGCCCAGATAGACCAAAGGAAATAGTGTTTTTTTTTTTTCTTTATTTTTAGTTTACTGTTTTGGATTTTCTTTTCTGCTCAGCACCTTCTTATATGAAATTAACCATAATGTGGCACTTGTCACCTGCTTTCAGTCTTTTCCACTAACAGCTGGATGCTGGATGAACAGATGCCAGCGAGCAGTTGCTATCTTATAACCCTGAAATAATTTTGTCAGGACTATCATTTGTATTTTTCATATTTATTTATTTATACATATAGCTTCTTTTCCCTGAGTAATATTCAAAATGCTGACCCCATCATAGGAGACTAATGATTTAGAAATCTTGCAGTGGTTATAAATTCTGATATAATACATCACAGACTTCAACTACTGAAATATCTTAATTTTGTCTTTTTCAAATATATGCTTGAGAAGACATGGACGTCTTCGATATATTTGTGTCCCTCCCCCTCACCTCCTTCCCAATATCACTCCCTACTAGTATGCAAGACCTTATTTTTTGATAAGAGTTTCCAAGATTGTTGCAAATATCTTTTCAATTAAAAATTGGTTATTTTCTTTGAGGATTCTTAGAGACAGAGGAAACTTACTTGGCAGTGTCTTACTTAGATCTTGCTTTTAAACAAAGTGGGTTTATTCTTTTTCCATTCTGACATAAAAAAGTAATGTTGGATCCCTAGTAACATTTTACTTACGCATTGATGCTATTCAGTGGATCTGTCCAGGTGGTGCATATGTTGACTTCAGCTTGCAGTCATCAAGAAAGCAGTCAGCTTTTCCTATCGAGTTAAGGGAATATGCCCCGATTTGTGGGCAGTTCTTCTTAGCATTCTACTGTGGTATGAAGCACACATTGAATTTTGCTCTTTTCAGTAAGTAGCTGGAATGTTTTCTCTCAAGCAAACTCAACTTCTCATTATCTATGTTAGAAAAACCATAAAAGCCTCTTTCTATGCAACTATAGACTGACTCTATTTCTTTCTTTTTTCAAGAAAAAAAAAAACAGATAGCCAAGGAAGTCAATTGTTGGTTTAATTTCAACATTTCTAAAGTGGTAATCATATTTTTAGTTATTACCATCAAAGTTATAAATTATTAAAGGTTTGTGTTTGAGACATTATTTCACTTCTGCATTATCCAAATTGATTGGCATACAGTAAAAATTTAATTTGCCTTTTGCTTTCTCATTGCTTTAAAATGTTTGCAGAATGCAAATGATTATATTAAAATTATTGTACAGTATTCATAATCAGAGTACTACTTCAAGGTTTGAAAAAGGAACTCAAAATGAAGCCTTGCAACTTTCATTCCTTGGTTGTCTATAACGTCTGTGGTTTCTTGCAACTTTCATTCCTTGGTTGTCTTTAATGTCTGTGGTTTTTTTCAACCTAATTTCTGGAGAAGTAAGTGACCATTTAGGATGTAGAAATTGCACCAGAAATTCTTACAGCATAAGCTGTCAAATGCCAGTCTCTCTACAGGGAAGTTTGTTGAAATCGTCAAATTTGCTATTCTTCAGGGTTTTTTTTCTTTTATGTTGAACAACTAATAACAATCGAGAAATGTGACTATGTGCTTAAAACTCAGTGATATTTTCAGCAATGTTCATTTAAGCCAGTTTTGGTTTTTCTGGGGTGTGTGTGTGTGTAAAACAAGAGAAGCCAGAGAGTATGTTTGCCATAATGCTTGATTCATTTGATTCACTGAGATAGATTTGAGAACCAGCTCATCTGAGCCAAGGAGAAGTAGGTGTATACTTATACTGAGATTTTTCAGTGACCATGGAGATTTTCTGTTAGAGACCAGAGTACTGAATGCCCATTGCAGGACTGGCATCTGGCCAGTAGCACAGAGGAGGGTTTGTAGAGGGGAAGAGATTCTGCTCCCATCTCTGACTTCACTGTGCTTTTCTTCCTGGCTCACTTTTAGACACATTCCAGTTTGCTCACAGCTTTCACCCCTGCCAGTTTCCTTCTTCCTCGCCTTCTGCCTTCTGCCTCAGTCTATGTTTTCCATGCACAAGCCCTGATTTGCCTTGTTAAATGCACCCTGACCGACTTCTGCCCTGAATTCTATTCCTCACCTTCACAGGATCAGGCCCTTGAAAGCTACTAGATATTTAATTCCACTCTAGGTTCCCTTGATGTAAGCCTGTATGTACCTTGGGGCTGCTGTTTTCACTCATTTAGGGCATTGTAGTGAATATCACTTCATAGGAGATACCTGAATCTACCTTCTATAACATACTTTTATGCCTAAAATGGCTTTCTGATAACTTAGTTGGAAAAGAAAAGAAAGAGAACTTAGAGAACAGACCCATGTAATAGTTTGATGTAGTCCAAAGTATATTGGCATTGGGACCTAACTCTACCTTTGAATACAAAGTACAGTGCAAATACATAAAGGAATCTATCCATTCCTCCTTCCTTCCCTATTGAGAGCTAATTGAGTGGTTAATGGTATATAAGATCCAGGAATAAAAAGAAAACATTTATTTTCCCCATAGCAACCAATCCTACTTGTTAATAAAATGATGGAAAAGATAGAGAAATAAGCAAATAAGTCCTATATGATGGGATTAATTTTAATACTTTGAGGTCGTGAACATGGTGGCATATCCAGTAAAATGTAAAATGTAGTGGGACTCATTTATTTCCTTTCCATCTGTCTATTTATGCTCAAAGTGAAGTCTACAGAGAAAAAGATGTATGATTTAGGATTGGAAGGAAGGCTAGTTCTCCAGGGCATCAAAAGGTGCAAGGGAATTTCAGGAATTAAAAATAGAATATACAGAGGCGTGGAAACACGGATGTGTGTTGAGCATTTAGGAGACCTGAATTCCTTGTGTGCTGCTGCTGCATGGATAGTGTGTCGGAGTAGAACATGTCTAGATTGGAAGACGGGGACTGTAACTGAATCCAGGTTCCAATGCTCAGCTCTCAAAAGCAAGAACTCCAGAGACAGAGTTGTTTGGAGGAAAAGCAGGTTTATCTGGGGAGCCAGCACACTGAGAAGATGGTGGACTATTGTTCTAAAGCACCATCTTGAGTCAGTATAATTTTAGGCTCTTTTTATGTTAAGGGCAGTAGGAAGAGGAAGGGGTTGAGATCAAAAAGTAACTGGGTGCCAGTGAGGGTCCCAGGAGCCTGGGAACTTTTGTCCTTGGTCAGGTCACAGTGCCTCTACAAATCTTTCACAAAACATTGTTGGTTTACACACGTCTCCTTTAATTCAGAGCTAGTTTTAAAAACTACATGATTGCTATTTTTGCATATTATCTCACTGCTCTAAAATTATCCTAGTCTATGTTCAGGAATGGGTAAAGGCCTCTTAAACAAAAATGGAGTTAGTTATGTTCTTTTCCTGCTTCACTGTTACAGGACCAGATGATGGGAAGAGGATTTTCTCATGAACCCTTGCCTGCCTCCATTCCCATGAAAATACACAAAATCACTTGGTCACAATAGTCTAGAAAACTTCTGTCTCTGATAGCAGGAATACACGACTGTAAACAGACATATTCCTGGGAATGCCTTGATGCTGGACATCCAGTACGGACTCAGGGAGGAACACTGTAAGCTGTTGAGGGCCAGATCCAGCAACATAGCACATGGCTCTATGTGGACCAGAGTTATTACTCTATAGGTTTCTATTTGGGAACTAACTGCCTTACTTGGAATATGGTCACTAGTTTGGTGTGCTTGAGGGTTCACAGGGAAGTTATAGAGTATGGATGAAAACATTGGAGAAAGTATCTCTGGTTAAAGGGAAGGTTTGGAATCTTCCATTTGCAACTTACAGAAAAATCATCTCTCCTTTGTCTCTGGTACCCAGGTCCAGAATTCATTGTTCACCTCTTTGCAATTTATTTGGTCATTTGGGATATATGACTGGGAGAAGAAACTGAACATGTACCCACTGTGTGCAAAGCATGGTGAACAACAGGCACTCTTACTTGAGGACCTTAAAGTTGAGATTTTCATAATAGCCACAGAAACAAGGATATAAGGATTTGTTGGTTTATTTCCAGCCTTGAAGCTCAGGGGCCCAAACTTTCAAATCTAATGTTATATGGGTGAAACATATTTTGGTCAAAAATCTATTCTTCTGACATTCACTTACCTGAGAGTAAAATATATTTTCAGAAATCTAATCTGAATTTAATCTTTCATACTTTAAAAGCAGTTAATTTTAAGGAATCTAAACTGAATGTAATCTTCCCTACTTTAAAAGTGGTTAATTTTAAGAACTAGGAACATACCCTGCCCTGTGACTATTGTGATAGTAGTTATCTATGATATTTACCTGCTCCAATAGCTGATGTTGACACAGCTAAATCACAAAGATATCATTCAATTTTGGTGAGATATAATACTCAGAGCAAAATCTCTGAACTCTTCTATTCATACTGGAATAATTTAGAATTTTTTCCATTATAATCTAGAAATTTTTATAAATCCTCGAAACTAATTATATGCAATTTAGGACACTTGTCACTCATTTTTGATATCTATGGGGAAAAAAAGGCATGACCTACTTAAACAGAAATTCTTCTCAAGTTCCATGTAACATGGATTTTAATTCTTGGCTGACCTATCACTTGGATATCCTTTCACATTTACGGTAGTGATCAGAAAAGCCGAAACCAGAATGAGCGTAAGAAGGAGCTTGTTTTTTTTTTTTCTGTTTTTTTTTGTTTTTTGTTTTTCCAGTAGTGACAAATTTAAAATTGATTGAACTGATCATTGGATATACTCGCAGTGATAGAATCTTCTCCCTGTTCTCTTTCGCCATTTTAAAATACTTTTTAGTCTGTCGTCTTGATATAACCTTTATGCAAGTACTTAGAAGAAAGTGGAGATGCTTAATAATCATGTAAATTAGGCAGAAAAGATACATCTTTGATAGGAGAAATAACTACTAGCAAAACATCTTAATAACAAGTGACCAGAGATGTGGCACATATTTTATGCCAATGGAATTAATAGTGAAACATGCAGCAACCAGCTAATTTTTTAAAAAATGAGATGATCATAGTTAATTCTGTTTCATAAGACACACTAAGGAAAAAGATGTTGTATAGGTGGTTTATGCAATAACCATGCGGTTCTTTTTGCAACATTTTTATATTTGGGAAGAATAGGGCAAAATGTCAAATACTCAATTTCACAGTAGTCTAAATGGCATGCTTCACAGTATCAACACCAGTACTGTAGAATATAGGTCTTCTCTTTTTTTTCCCCGTTGTTTAAGTTTCCTTGGTAACAATCTTATAACATCTGAAAAATATTTACCGTGGATGCATTTAAGTAATTTCTCCCCCTGGTTATTTGCTATCTGAGCAAAGCCCTTTGTAGAATTCGTAGGGCCCAGTGTACCTCACATGCGGGATCTTGTAAATAATATAAAACTCAGTGATCCAGGTCGAGGATTTTGGACCTTTTCCGTGACCCCAGAATCCCAGGTAGATCAGAATTTGTCTTGGGGACAGACCAAAAGAGAGAAGAATGCTTTCCTGCCTCCAGTGCTCATTCCTATTCGTCATATGGGATTTGATCCTCTACTGAGTGATCACATAATGTTATAGAATTGCTTGTCATGTTACCTTCTGATTTAAAAGATGTTGGGCATGGTCTTCTGTAATATGTGTGGGAAAACAGGGATTCATCAGGTAACTTGTTGGGAATCCACCATCGGCAGATAATGGGAGTACAGATAGAACCACCCACAGATTTGGTCTGTCAGATCTTAGAAGTTGCTTGTACATTTTGGGACAGATGTCTGCTAGGCCACATCATCATTTACTAAGAAATACTCAAGACCTCTAGAGTGGTGTTTCTTAAATAACATTTGGTAAAGTGGTGTGAACCACACCAGCCTAAAGGAAACGTGGGATACTTGATAAAAACCCAGAGTCTTGGGCACAAACCTATCCTGCTCACAGATTCCTGGGTACAGACCTACTACCTTACTAGCTCAGGGGA
The DNA here is from genome assembly GCF_000001405.40 of Homo sapiens. NCBI lineage: Eukaryota > Metazoa > Chordata > Mammalia > Primates > Hominidae > Homo > Homo sapiens. The sequence continues at coordinate 35,342,753 of NC_000008.11, forward strand.
GACACTGTGCTCGATCACCTCCATTTAGATTCTATGCTAGTTAACAATTTGGCGAACATTCCCATCTCTACATATATCTAACATAGAGGGAGATATTGTGCTATTTCAAAGTGTGCTGCAGCCATTATGACATTGCGTCTCTTAACTGCTAGAGTGCAGAGCATTTTAAACAAATACCTCTGCTACATTTTATACAAGCTGTAGTCTTCTAAGCAGTGGTTTCTTAAGTTTAGTGTACATCAGAATCACGGGGAGGTCTTATTAGAGGACAAATTCTGGTCCTACTCCTAGAGTTTCTGATTCAGTAGTTCTGGGATGAGCCCTAAGGATCTGTGGTTCTGACAAGTTCCTAGGTGATACTGACACTGCTGGTCTGGGGACTTTACTTGGAGAATCAATGTTGTAGGGTATTAAGATACAAATTGTTTTTGGTGAGGATTCAAAAACTGTTTCTCCTCTGATCTGTCGAGCTCTCCTCTTTTTCTTTCCTGTCTCAGATTTGTATAATAGAATGAAAAGAATCATACTTTAAATTGTACCACCTGTGTATTTTTAGGTCTTGTTCTTGTTGCTTGAGAAAAACGTTAGAGGTCATCATTCTATTTTAATCTTTGCTAACCTGATGGGCAAATAATAAATATCTTGTAAAAACATCTGATTTCATCGATCACTCAATATTGAATACTTTCATTGTATGATACACAGTCCTCTTTTAATTTGGTTTATTGTTTATAGCTTATCTTTTTTATTGAGGTTTTAGTTTTTTTCTTGATGTTTTGTAAGAGGGCTTAATAGGTAAAATAAGTCATCCATTTATCTGGGAAATGTTTCCCCATTTGGCATTTTCTTTGTAACCCATTCAGCTTTTACATTTGCTACTTGAAGAAATCTAGCTTTAATGAAGAAACTAAAAATCTTCTTTGCTAAGTGATTCCCTTTCACTATGTGGCTGCTTACAGGCTTCTGTTTCTTCCAGCCACAGGGCTTGTGGTATCCTCTCTTCTATGTTAGCCATCATTTGGTTTTCAGAGCCTCAGAAACAAAAGGATACTTTATGCAATTCTGCAGCCTTGCTGTTTTGAACATAAATGAATTTGTTTTAAAATTCTATTTAAGGACTGCTTTTATCATTCTTGCAGCTTAAAGTTATTAACCTATACGAGAATGTCTTTAAAGAGTCATCTGAAGGTTACATAAGACTACCTATCAAAATTGATGTGTCCTGTACTGATCAATGCTAGAGAATTTCAGAGACTGCTGTGACTAGTGTCACCTGGAGCAGCTGTTGCTTGTGGGAGGTAGTGGCTTGAAATGGTTCTGTTGGGATTTGAATGTACAGAAAGATAGGAAAAGACAATTCTGGGTTGGTTTCTGTTTTCTTGTAAGCAAGAGAGGCCTCTTGTAACAGAAAGTATATAAAGAAAAATAAATGGCAATGCTGGAATGTGGGCCCACCTGCTCATCTGAAATTGATTTGCCGGGTAGTAAGATGCGACTGTACACATCAGACCCGGCTGACCTTCTGGGCTACTTTCCACACACAAAGGAATATAATGTCCTTAGTCCTGGATCAAATTTGGCAGTACAATTCCATGATCTCCATGATTCTGCTGGGAGAGAATTTAGCCCTCCTCTATATCTTTATTTCATGTTCACCTGCATTGGCTCAGGTGATCCTACTGTGTAACTACAGAAGACTGTAAATGATATCCTTAGATATGCTGAATGGCTGTGCAGGAGTATAAATGATATTTATGAGGAAGTTGGGAGTGCTTTAAATATTGTGAAAATGCTGACTTTGACACATCCAGGATAATGATGCAGAAACAGTAGGCTCTTTGTAAACTGTTTAATGGCAACAATTTTCTAAATCAAAGCAATCTACACTTCCCCATTTACAATTTCATCTCCAACTACTACAGTCTCGTAAAGAGGTTTACTACACTGAATCTTTTGCCTTTTTGAATGATTATCTTAGTACCCTGATGCTTCAGATCCTTTACATTTTATCTTTCAAAAGCATAGAAATGTTACATGGGGGATGAGGTGAACATCATTTTTGCCAAAACATAGTATTACTGATAGATACAAAATTCCTTTAAGAAGCACACGTTTATAAAATCGTGAGATGACTTTCTTGTCATAATAGTGTTTAATACCCTAGATAAGTACTAATACTTAAGTGGGTTTGTGCGCTTGTATATAGAAAAAATATATTAGTAATCTAAACATGTGTCTAGCCTGTAGGTTAATGGGTTTGCTGTAGTAAATGCCAAAAGGATTATACAGTGCAACTCCATTACATTTAATGTTTCAAATGTGGCAAAGTTTGATCTATATATTAACTTTTGTGTTTGCTAACTCATAGGCATTTACCTAAAAATACACTTTTCTCCATGTGTGAGCTGAAAAGAACGCTTGTAATCTAATTATATTTGACTGTAGCCAGTGCTGTTTACATTTTATAAAGCCTACATTTATTCCTGACCTGCTGTGTCTTCATTTAATGATTTTCTTCTAGAATTTTCCATGACCCCTTTTGCTTGCATCGGCAGAGAAAATAACACAAAATAGCAGAAATGTGGAAAAAAAAGTGCCTGCTAGAAAATACTTGAGCCTTTCCAAGGGAACCTGGAAAGAAAAAAGTATCCTACTGTGTGGTTTGGTTTTGTCATATGGGGCATTTCTAGAAATAAAAATCCTGCTATACTCTGCTTCAAATACATTTGAATAACACATTTCTGTTAGTAAATTTTCTGATCTAATTTTCATTGTAATTTAAAAAGAGGGATTTCTTTTATTCACTAAAGTGATTTTCATCTTTGACTGTGTTGGGCATGGGAAGAAGAGTAAACGTAGCTGTGTGCTCAGAAACACAATATGCCAACTTTATATCTCTGGGACTTTGCTATAAACTTTTATTTTAAATGTTCTGTGTGCTCACAAAAATTTAGAGGATATGAAACACATATTAGACTTTTTTTTAACCTCAAACACTGAATAAAAACTCATGCATGAAAGTGCCTAATAAAATGGAAAGTGCCCAAAGTGAGGAACAGAGATTTTATGATTCCAATACAGACCTGACAGAAAAAAAATTAAGGTAAAGCAGAGTCATCTCTTTGTAAAGAGCATCACCAACTGAAAGAAAGAAGATTTGCACACTTTATTATGGTGGCCTTTTTTGTCTGTGGATAGTCTATCCTGACCTCTCAGGTCATGGCGTGTGTTTTCTTTGGAGAAATCTCAAGTCATTTTTAACATGCTGAAATTCTTAAAAGAGAGAAAAGAATTCTCTGAGTTCAAAAATGCTTTGCTTTACCGTTGATGTGTTTCCAGTCTGTATATTCCCTGGGGTAAAAGGAAAATGAACTCTAGCTTTTGGGACAGCATAGGCAAGAACTGTGAGTGGAAGCCATGGTATCATGATTATTTAAACAGTAGGATTGGACTGAGGAAGTCTGTGGAAACAATCGATTTTCTTTGTGTGGGAATGCATGTCTGATTAGACTGTTTACATGATAATGACTAGTATATATTTATGTAGAAAGTATTTAAAACTGATTAAGATTCTAAAGGTTTTTTCCTTGAATATGTTTGAAGAGTCAATGTAAAAACGTTGGTGATACATGGAACTTCAGAGTCTATTTTCATCTTTAGATATATGGGCTGTTTTCTTCCTTGTTTCAATACATGGTTGCACAGTCCGTATGTGAACTATAGTTGGAACAGGGTTAATTGTCAAAAGAAAATGGAGGGGTAATATAGAAGACAGGAATTTTCTTTGAACATTTTACTTTTTCAGAAATATCATGAAATTATATTTATGCATTGTTAATACATGTTATGTGTATTAAATATTGTATTACATCTCCATATAACCAAAATTTTTATGTTCAGCTATGTAATATTTGGTATAATCAAAGGTCAGAAAAATTGGTACCATGGCCTTGAGTATGCAATGGAATGAGTTGCTTATTTTGACTGTAGATAGTAGTGTGTCACTATTACAAATATTAATCTCATTGTTAGAATTATTACTGTGATCATTCTGATAAGGCAGTAAGTGTTCACTGCTCCTTAATATATACATCTTTTTTTTCTTCTAATGATTCTGTATTTCAGATGTTGGCATTCACGTAATGATTTTCCCTTTTTGTTTGGGTTTGTTTCTGAGAAGCCACATTGGACCTCTTCAGAGCAACACAATACATCAATGCAGACAAGAGAGTTTATACATTAAAGCACAATAACCATTATTCTTTAGTATAGGTTAATTGAAGCTTGGCAGAAGTTGAACTAAAATATAAGGGAGGGGTGCTCACCACCATTGAAAGGATAGCAAAGAACAGCTTAATGTTTTGGAAAATGGCCTTTGAGTCTTGTAATGTGAATGTGGTCGACAGAACACATTGATTGACGAGTTAGAATAATTGGTAGGTTTGGAGCAGAATTAGATTCTTTTTGGCAGTGTGCTGGAACAGACTCTGGCTCCATGAGCCAATAATCTACCCAAGTGGTCAGTGGGCTTTGTAGGGTGTGTATTTAGTCATTCATGTTTAGAGGCTTTATAGCCCAACCAAACTTTCTTTGTCATATTTTGAGGATTTTGCTTACATGTGTGATGAACACATGGCATTCACCCTTCATCTTTAGTCTATACTCAATCTGAAAAATGTGTGTCGTTATTTTCATTGCAGCCAGCATGGATTCTTTGGGATGAGATGAGAGTTCCCCTCGGAATATCAATATAAAGATTTTGTTAAAATAGCCATAATTGCAAAACCATAATTGTCTCCCCCAGTATACATTGAACTGATTCTTGGTGATATGATTCCTTTAGGATTTGGTTGGAAGGTATTTGAGTGTCATCATACCTTACTGCTCAAACTCCAACACTTCTCTCCTTGCTAAGTTCACTTCTGTGAACCATAATCTAATCAGAGGCAGCAAAGAGAGAAAGAGGCCAGGCCTCAAGATCGGTGCTCTTTGTACTTCATGAGTGTATTCCTCATTTGTGATTTTTGTATGAGAATTTTAACTCTGTTGAACTCTATAATTCAGTTGAAATATCACTTGAAATTTATGCTGCATAGCCCAAGAGGTCACCTGAAGAAAGACCAGGGAAGTTTACAAAACACGAATGAAGATCTAACAGAAACACAGCTGAGAATAACCTGTGATTGGGAACTAAATGCAAAGGAGAAATATTCAGTTTTATTTCATATTTCTTTAATGGAAATTCTTCAAACTGCAGAAGTAGTACCTCTTTGTTTTGTCAAGTGAAACAAGGCAATACAAAGATGTATAAAGGAAAAGTTGGTTATCTGCCTTTTCTCCTGACATTATCCCCACCTCTCCATCTAATGCAGCTAATATTGGTAGCTTAGTGTCCACTCTTCCACTTTTTCTATTGCCTATAAAAATGTATTAAAGTATATTTAAGTTCTCATGTCATTAGTGGTGTTGTTTTACCAAAAAAAATTATATATATATTAGTCTGTAATTTGCCTTTTCACTTAAATATATGTCATGGAATTAACAAGTTATGAATGCAAGACACAGAAGCAGAGGAGCAAGAGTAAAGGGGTATCTGGAATGTTCTTAGGCACAGTTGGGAAATAAACATTCAATAATTACAAAGTCTGTTGGGGAGTACAGGATAGGTGGATATTCTGAATATTAATGATTAGGTAGAAATTTACTTCTTTATTTCTTGTAATCAAATATGTAGAAATGCTATTTGGAGCTTTAGATTACCCTAGGAAAATCAATGTAGAATACACCAAGTTCTCATCTAGTCATGAGAAAAGGAACTTTAAGACTACAATGAAATATCATTTCTTTGATATTTCAAAGAACGACAATGAGAATGACAAACGTTAAAAATTCTGATAATTCCCAAAATGGAGTGGATACAGGAAAGAGGAATGATTTTTCCTACTATGACAAGTAAATTTGAAAACATGTTTTCATTATCTAATAAAGTTGAAGATGTATATATCCTGGACTTAATGCTTCCATACTAAGAATGTACCTTTGAACCAAGGTTCTCAAATAGTACTATCTCAGGACACCTTTAGAGTCTTAAAAATTATCAAGAACCCTAAAGATTTTTTCTTATGTAAGTTTTCATCTATTAGACATGAAATTTTAGTAAACTTTATTACATTTAGAAACAATAAAACCCATTATATGTTAACACAAACAGTGTATTATCAAAAATAACTTCTTAAAAAATTTAGCAAATTTACATGACGTTATTTAAAATTTTTGAAAATGTCTTTTCAAATGTTTGGCTTCATAGAAAGCTGATTCTCATATTTGGTTCTGCATTTACTGTGTGATATATTGTTTGGTTCCAGTATGTGAAGAAAATCTGGCCCCACAAGTATACTTGACAAAGGAAGGAGTTTTTTAACAGCCCTTTCAGATATTGATGGCATTCTTTTTGATGCTACACTAAAACCTCACAAGTGGTAGTTTTTTGAAGTTAAGTGACAATGTAGGAATCTGAAACCATATTAAAGAATTTTTACACTCTGTTCTATTAGCCTGCATATCTTTACCCATAATTTTGTCACTTCAAACAATGATCAATTAGAAAATGTTGGTTCACTGAGTTATTTATATCTTCTGAATGTTGAGCCATTTCACAATGCAATATCAAAACCATTTTCATTACTATTGCCACTGATTTCATCAGAAAAGCTTTTGTATATTAGAAAGCTATAAAGTTCAGAGTAGCAGTTAAGTTTTCCAAAATTCTAATTTTCAATCAAAAGCACAAATTTTGTCATTGGCAATGAATACTGTCAGTTTCTTAAAACAATTATAGTCTCATTATTTATTTTGGAGAAAATGTCTGCTTAAGTCTGAATAATTATAGCTTTTTCAGACATTCTTTCAAGTAACACATGGCACTCCATGAAATGAAAAGCCAGTTTAGTTTATAACTCAGTCACATGAGAGCTTTTTCTTAAGATTACCACTGTACTTCAATATGCTGCAGGATGGCTTTATGCATAATTTTTGTTATTAAAAGACATATACTCAAGGGTAGAGACCTAATAAAATTAGTGACTTTTAATGTCATCAAGGACTTGAAACTGGCACTTTTTCTGCTGCAAGTAACTGGCAGTAAAGGATACAGTGATTAATAAAGATTGGTGCCACAGTTTCCATTGTGCTAACAGCACCAGCGGTTGTGTCTACATTGAATTGTCCACCATCTGTGCAATATCAGTGTAGTGAAAACAGCACATAATATTCTTGTGTTATTATTAAATTAATAATTTAATTTAATAAATTAATTTATTTTTTTTGCCTGGATCTCCCGAAAGAGTCTTGGGAACCCCCAGAGTTCTGGAAACCATGTTTTGAGAATAATTGCCTTCAAAGCTTGGACATGTGCAACAAATTATGCGTACGAGAATGTTTACAGTACAGTTCCATTTAACAGAAAAATATTTGGAAATAATTTAAGTGTCCATTAACTTAAGCATGGATAAACAAATTGTAGCATAGTCATTTAATGGGGTCCTATCTCAAAAACATAATGTTACCTGAAAAAAATAAGTGCAGGCAATTACAGCAATCTGACTCGCCTACTGAAGTGGGTCTCCCTTAGCGTAGGTGTCTTTGTCTATTTCATTCATGTTGATGTCTTAAGTAAATAAAAGTGCCTAGCATGTAGTAGGCATACAATAAGTATTTGTTTAATGTTTGAATAATTTTCATGAATAAAACTCAAAAACATGTACTATTCAACGATATATTTAGAGAACACTGCAGGAATCAATAATTCCCTCAACCCTCCCCACTTTTGATTTCAAAACCTCTAGCTTTAAAGTGGACTCCAAAAGTGATTTCATACTGGTGGTCCAAATGATTATTTTTGGCATAATAATTTAGAAACAGTTAAATTTCCTATCTTCCATCCTTTTTTTTAAGTCTCAATGGAAGTGATGTTTATAGTTTGTTTAATAAACCGGGGGAATGGGAAACGTTATGTTTAGAAAAATGTGTAAGAACATGCTGTCTTAATGTTTTTGAGTTTGTTTTGATTTCCAATCTGTGCACTCTCTTCTTTCATGGCCATCAAGTGCTTGCAGATTGTTGCCGTTTTTGTTGTTTTCAGCACAATCCCTTAAATTCATTAAGTAGATAATGTTTATATTTCATTTAATGGGAAAGGAAAGATTCCGAAAATATCTAAAAAGTTATTTCAAACAGACTGTATCTTGAGACTGCATGTCATTCTAGTGAGAATATTTCTTTCTGCTGACTTCAAACAGTTGAGTGTGTGTGTGTGAGAGAGAGTTGGTAATTAAACTTTATAAGCAGACAAGCTTAAAACAGTAGCATAAATATACTTAAGCCTGAGGCAGTTGAAAAGTAGCTGCAGGAATCCACGTGTGCAAATACTTTTAACAGAGGCCTCACTTGCACAGCCTTGAGACTCACTTTTTTTTCCCCCAAAATACCATTGAAAATCCTTTTCCTTTCTCCTACCCACATAATCCCCTACATGACTCATAGACCTTTAAAACTATTATGTACCTTAAAAGTCAGAGGTGATCTTATCCAGGGGTTTTTACATCCCTGACAGTAGTATTTAAAGCAACTGAACTCAGAATATAAAATATATCTATACATTTAGATTGTATTTTAGAAAGTCAGGCTGGTAGAACAATGCAGTTTAAATAATTTGAAGTCTCAAGTATTATGGAAAGGCGTACCATCACGGTTGTATCTTCCATGCTTCTGAATTGTATCCAGTGCCACCTTACCAATGGTGTTCTTGAAGAGTATAGACCCAAACAACTGTTCTTCTGTGCATAAAGACTGAGGATTATTGTCCCCTAGGAAGGAAGAAGTGTATAGCATTAAATATTTGCCACCTTAAAAAAGAAATTTTCTAATTTCACTCTCCCTAGCCTTAGGGATCGTCATTAGGCCAACTGCCTACTATGAGAGTGTTTGCTTTAGTAGAATTGTATATGATAAGGGTTTAATTTTATTTTTAAAGTTATTGATAATAAATGCAAGGTAAAATATGAAGGTAATATTTTTCCCCTTTAATATTAACAAAGGGTTAAAAGTTTGAAAATGACTAGTGCTGATATTGGCATGGATATAGAAGGTAGAAACATGCATACATTGGTTAACTGGTGGTACCAGTTTTCTTGGAGGGCAATTTATCAGTAAACAGCAAAATCTCTTGAAAGTGATTCACATATTTCAATTTTTAAAAAACGTTCAAAGAAACAGAAGATAATCATGCAAGTACACATATAAGCATTTACATAAGGACACATTTAAGTGTTTTTTGGTATTTACGAAAATTAAATCAACCTGATATTCCATTAAGAGATAAGAAAAATATATAAGTAAAGAGGCTATTAGATAACTAATCATTAACACAGAGGTATGATTCTATATTTATTGACACATAAGATGGTTATTATGTTAAATAATCAGGTTCAAATTATGATTAAAAGTTACATATACATGTTCACCGAAATTAAACAGGAAAGACATACACATAAATAATAGTTATGATCCTGTATGGAGGAAAATCCAATGATTTTTTTGTTGGTTTGATTGGTCCTTATTCTCTTTACAAGATTTTCATAACAATTATTTATTGCACATGTGATTTTAAGAGTAAAGAAAAAGCTACCAACATAAATTATAAGTAAAATTCTGTTCTTTAGAGAAAAGAAGTTATTTCCCTTTTTATTGCACTATAATTGTATTGATTCAAATGTTGCTAAAAATAAATTATTCATTAATAAGGTCTTAGAAGACATCTTTGTTCTGTAAAGATTTTCTCAATGCTAGTATTTCTTTTTTGTTTGTTTGCTTTTGGTTTCGAGACAGAGTCTCACTCTGTCACCCAGGCTGGAGTACAGTAGCACAATCTCGGCTCATTGCAACCTCTGCCTCCTGGGTTCAAGTGATTCTTCTGCCTCAGCCTCCCGAGTAACTGGGACTACAGGTGCATGCCACCACGCCTGGCTAATTTTTGTATTTTTAGTAGAGACGGGGTTTCACCATGTTGGCCAGTCTGGTCTCAGACTCCTGATATCAAGTGATCCACCCGCCTCGTCCTCCCAAAGTGCTGCAATTACAGGCGTGAGCCACTGAGCCTGGCCAATGCTAGTATTTCTTAATAATGGCACCTGACCGATATACTTTTGCCTTTTGTGGAGAAAAATAGTGGACACCTTAAAACAAAGTAAATGTAAAGTAGCCTTTACAAATATGGCCCTAAATGTAGAAGCCATTGAAGTAAAGTTTGACAAATTCAACTACATAAAAAACATGCTCACAACAAAAGCTACCCTAAGCAAATTCAAAAGACCAACGGAACTTAGGAAAATAATTTTTCAAATTCCTATTACAGCCAAAGGGCTAATATCTTTAAAATAAAGAACTTGTAGAAATCAATAGGGAAAAACCAGCAACTCAATACAGAAATAGCATAAGAATATGAGCCAAGCATTCACAGAGTCATGAATGGCTCCTAAACATAAATGACATTTACAATTGTAACAGTTAGAGTTTGAGAATTACCAAAGAAAACACTCTGAAATGCCAATTTGTCACCCGCCAAATTGGCAAAAGCCCAAACATTTCATAATACTGTTGTCGTGTCGGTGGATAAAATCAACTGTTGTCTTTGGGATTGTAACTTTATAGAATCTCCACGTACATAATATTGACAGTGATTATTTAAACTATGAACCCACATATTCTTTGATTTACAGCTCACATTTTTGAAATGCTAGATATATTGCATACTAGCATACTATGTATGGAAGAGGTAATTCATCACAACATTGTTGGTAAAAAGCAAAGACTACAGGCATCTTAAAGTTCATTGATAGGGTTCCAATTAAATGCAGAGCAGTATGCTATTATTATTCTTAAAAAGAAGAAGATACCTTCATGTGCATTAATATTGAAAAAAATCCAAAAAAGATAGTGGGAAAAAGAAAGTTTAGGACGCTGGATAATGTGTGTGTAGAAAAGGGGACAGTTACACATCTCTGCACATACACGTGTATAAAATTTATAAAATGAGCATATAATTACATAAACATATGGTATTTACATAAGAGCAAAAAATTAATATTTGTTGCTTCCAGGGAAGAGTACTGACTGGCTAGAGACGTTGTAGAGAGGTTGACTTTTCACTGCATACTCTTTACAAAGCTTGGAGCTTGGATAGTTTAAGTAAATCACTTAGCTTGAAAATGAATGAAACATATATTTAAAATATAATATGAATAATATATTAATGTGACTGCCTACAGCAACTTGTTTTAGGTATGTTTAGTAATTTCATGCAAGGGAAATTGTATCAAACACAGGAAAATTTATTGGAATCACAGCATATTGCTATTTTTTTCACTTGTCCCCAAGTGTTAATCTGGGGTTCCAGTACGAATAAGATGAAATAAGCAGGTAATTTCTCTCTATGCCATGTTTATTCTCTTTTCTTTCCCCCCCTCTCTTGCTTTGTTCTTTTGATATATTAAGCAAAGCAGAGACAAATATGAGTGACAGACTGTCATTGAGAAACCTCAGGGGAGAATTTTTATGAGTTTATGACATCTTTGTTAATAAGCACTTAAAATTAACATCTTACAAGATGTTAACAGAGAAATGTTGTGAACTCCAGGGCAACTTGAGCTGTTTCATATGCATGTGTTTTCAAGGTAACTGAGCTTTTCCTTTTCATTATGCATAATTTATTTTGCTTAGTTTATATAGTACCCACCATCATTGATCCGACCTCTTTCTTGTTGTTAATGTACCTTTACTAAGGTGAGGGAGATGTTCTGTTAATACCAGAAAAGCAGGTTGTTACTTAAAACTCTAAAAAAGTGGCCTGGTTTTCTTAGTTTACTTATGATTTTGTCCAATATATCCTTTGCTGCATTAAAAAACTCAAAACCTAGTGGCCTTGAATAACTATTTTATGTAGGTCAGGATTTTCTGCGTCAGGATGTTGGGAAGGGCACAGCTGGATGGTTTGTTTTCCATCCACACCTGGGGCTGGAAGACCCACTTGTAAGATGTCGTCTTCACTCACATGTGCAGCACCTTGATTCTCTGTGACCAGTCCTTCCACATGACATATTATCCTAAATGGTCTTTCCATGTGGCTTGGACTTCTCACAGCACAGTGCTATCAGGGTAGTCATGCTTCTTTTATGGCAGCTGATTTCCAAGAGCCAGTGTTTTAAGAGACAGGAAAATGAGAACTGCCAGTCTCTTTAGGACTTGACTGGCGAATTGGCATGCAGTCCCTTTCTCCATATTCTATTGGTTAGTGCAGTTACAGAGTCTACCCAGATTCGTTGTGGCAGGGCACAGACTTTACCTCTTAATAGGAAGAGTGCCAAAGAATTGATGACCAATTCAATTTTAATTTGCCCAAACTCCCCCTTTTTTTTGAACAACTTGAGCAAGATCCTAAAGACTGTATTGGGAAGTTTTTGAAAGTCATCAATCAGCTCAAACCTCAAAGTGAACCTTCCTTCCTTGTTATCAATTAACCTGTGCTTCTGTGCTAAGCCCAAAACTTAATTTTCTTTACTTTGTTAGGAAATTCCTGCCCAGGAGGGAACTCTCTGAATATCCAATGCAGCTTCTGTTCTTCATTTTCCCCCTAGCAGCCTATTATAATCTAACCATCATTCCCCAAAGTTCTGCTTATCCTTTCTTCCATAGAAGCCTTTTGAAAGTAGCTTACTTAGTCTTCCATCTTGGTGCATGTCAAGCAGAGTGAAGTATCCTCCAAGAACATTGTTATGCAGTGCTACTATTAACGTTGGGTGTTATTTCCAATTCTTTGGCTCTCTTACTGATGTGGTCTGAATGTATCCCCTGAAAATCATATGTTGAAACACAATCGCCAATGTGGTAATATTTACAGGCAGGGCTCTTAGGAAGTGATTAAGTCATAAGGATGGAACCCTCATGAATGAGATTATAAAAGGTCATGAGTGACCTTATAAAAGGGCTGGATGGAACTAGCTAGGCCCCTTTTGCTCTACCATCCCTTCCACCAAGTGAGAAAACAGAGTTTTCTCCTCTTGAGGTTGGCTTACAAGGTGTTGTCTTGAAAGCAGAGATGGGGCCCTCACCAGACACTAAACCTGGGGAGTCTTGATCTTGGACTTCCCAGCCTTCAGGCTAGAGTGCTGTGGCATGACCTTAGCTCACTGCAAACTCCGCCTCTCTGATACAAACAATTCTCCTGCCTCAGACTCTCAAGTAGCTGGGTTTATAGGAGTGTGCTACCACGCCCGGTTATCTTTTCTTTATAAATTACCCAGTCCTGGGTATTTTGTTATAGTGGCACAAATGGACTAAGACACTTATTCTATCAGTATGGGAGAGCATGCTTTACCTCGTTTGCCTATTTTCCCCACAACCAAGCTACTCCAGGAATGTGATTAGTGCTCCATATATTAGCTACGTAATGAATTGTGATAAAATTCTCTTTAAACACTTATGAGCTTACTCACATTTTTTCCTACTCCCTTTACTACTACAGTACTCCCTCCTTATCTTTTGGGGATACATTCTACAATCCCCGTTGGATGCCTCTGGGCATCCAACTGGGTAGTACTGAACCCTGTTGTCACCAGTTGGAACACATTTTTGTTCATGACTTCCACTGACTAATTTAATACCTTTTCTGTCTTAACTGAGCACTTATCATGGTCTGTGGCCAATCATATTTCAGTTTGAGGTATGACAGCAAAAGTAGCATGAATTTCTTTTTCCTTGAAAATTTCATGGATGGAAGATGTATTCTTATCGTAGATCTTACTGTAGCAACATCAACAAAGTTTTTTTTTTTTTTCCTCTCCTTATTCAACTGGGAACTTTAGCCCTTTCACTTAAAGGAAGAACTTAACAGCTTTTCTATGGCCAATCCAAATTGCCTGCATGACTATTTTTGCACTTTCAGGCCATTAAGAAGTAAAGTAAGGGTGACTTGAACACAAGCTCTGTGATAATGTGAGAGTCGGTCTGAGAACTGAGATGGTTCCTAAGTGACTAATGGGTGGGGAGCATCAACAGCATAGATCCACTGGACAAAGAGATGATTAGTGTCCTGGGTGGGACAGACTGGGATGGCATGAGATTTTACCATCTACCCAGAGTACCACACTTCTTTAAAATATAAATTTTTTTATTTCTAGAAGTTTTCATTTAACATTTTCAGACCAAGATTGACCATGAGTAACTGAACTGTGGAAAAAGAAACCACAGATGAGGGGGGCTACTGTGTTTCTCTTTTGGCTGCCATCATCTCTTGTTCATCTACAGTCTCTTAATTGATTTCCCTGTTAACCAGTTTTATCTCCCTCCTCTCTGCACTGCATCTGAAAGGATCATCTTAATGTAAAAATCTAATGATATGATTTCTCAGCTTAAATTCCTTTAATTAATGGCTTTGTTACCACGAGAAAAAAGTCAAATACCTGACAAGCCTCTGAATGACAGCTGCTGCTTTCCTCTGGCTTTATTCTGACCTGTTTCCTTTTCTCACTTGATGTCACAACAGTGTGAATTATATTTGTCCCCCTAACAAGCTTTGCTCATTAACCCCAGACTGCTGGGCAAAATGAACATTGGGTTGCAACACTTTTCACTTTGCTTTGCTTCTCTCTTGCCTCTACCACATCTTAGGTCTCAGATTGGATGATGGGGCCTTCCCTGACCCACCGAAGCAGGTTAATTCTAATTTTGTGCAGTCTCATTTTACCCTCTTATTTCCCCCAGGATAGATGTATTGAATATTACTGTGTTGGCTTTGCTTATTTCCTAGTCTGTATCTCCTGTTAGATTACAAGTTTGAGGGAGTAGAAACTTGAGTTATTTGAATGCTCTATTGCTAAAACCTAGAACGGTGCCTGGTAAATCCAACCCTCCAGCCCCCACCATGAAGAATCAGTTGTGGGAATAAGTAAAGCCAATTGTATATATGCTTTGGCTGATGGTATGATCCTCTGGGTCAAGAAATTATCACTGAAATTTTCATTGAGAACATGCTTTTGCTGACTAGAAGCTATCAAGCTTCCTTCCTTCCATCCTTCCATCCTCCCTTCCTTCATTCCTTTCTTGTTTCTTTGCTTATTACCTTCTTGGTAGTGAAAAAAAAGCAGGTAAGATTCCCATATGAGTGACTTCCACATCAACAGGAAGTTACTGCCATTTCTCACAACATCTTCCCATATTTATATCAAATTTGGAGCACTGGGAAAATTTTCTCCTGCCCCCAGATCTTTGCTTACTATCTAGACTTTTAGAACAAGTTCCCTGTTTCCAGAAATACCATTTGACCCAGCAATCCCATTACTGGGTATATACCCAAAGGAATATAATTCATTCTATTATAAAGATACATACATGCGTATGTTCATTGCAGCACTGTTCACAATAGCAAAGACATGGAATCAACCCAAATGCCCATCAACGATAGACTGGATAAAGAAAATGTGGTACATATACACCATGGGATACTATGCAGCCCTAAAAAGGAATGAGATCGTGTCCTTTGCAGGGACATGGATGAGCTGGAAGCCATTATCCTCAGCAAACTAATGGAAACACAAAACGAAACACCGCATGTTCTCATTTAAAAGTGGGAGCTGAACAATGAGAACACAGGGAGGGGAATAATACATACTGAGGCCTGTTTAGTGGTGAGGGTCAGGGGAAGCAGAACATCAGGAAAAAATATCTAATGTGTGCTGGGCTTCATACCTAGGGTGATGGGTTGATAGGTACAGCAAACCACCATGGCACATGTTTACCTATTTAACAAATCTACATATCCTGCACATGTACCCTAGAACTTAAAAAAGTAGTTCCCCCTTCCTGTCTGCTGTATCATGTATTTAAATCATAGTCCAATATTCATCCCTCCTTCAAGGAGTGTTCCAGTCATTCTATTCCAACTCTTTCCTTATGAGACATTCTTGTATTTCTGAGATACACAATTATGTCCATTGACTGAAATTTATGTTTTGCTATTTATAAAATTATAGAAACTAGTACTGTATTTTTTGGTATTTTTGTGGAGCCAATATCACAGTAAGCTTTTATTGGCACTGGGTTTTTATATGAATGAGTTAAGAATTGGTATATTTAAAAATTATGATTCCCATGAATAGATAAGGTACAGGTAGAAAATGGCCATAGAGACTATAAACCTTGGGCCAGGCCTGGTGGCTCACACCTGTCGTCCCATGTACTCAGGAGGCTGAGGCAGGAGGATCACTTGAGCCCAGTAGTTCGACGCTGCAATCAGCTGTGATTGCACCACTGCACTCTGTCTGGATGGCCAAGCAAGACCCTGTCTTTAAAAAACAGACAAAAACAGATTATAAGACTCTTCAAGAAAAAGGTAGTATATTTGTTTTTGAATGCAAATATTTTTATTTTGCTGTGTGTTCTTGTTTTAACACTTAGCAAAGATCTGGCCAGTGTGACCGTGTGGCTTCTTTTCTTCCTCAAACATGGACTGTGAAGTCTCTCAAAACAAATTATTCACCCATCTACCAGCTTCTATGTGATTGCCAAACCATGGGATGCAATGACTTCATCACCCCTTTAGAATACAAGTCTCTTTGAATGTATCTTTATTCGTGGACCATCACAATGTTATCAAAGTTTCTGTGTGAAGAGATTGTGGGTCTTGTGACAATCTTGTATGTGAACACCAATGTTCTTTGACATGGGACATTCTGATTAACTGAATAGCCTGATTAC
Source organism: Homo sapiens (assembly GCF_000001405.40). NCBI lineage: Eukaryota > Metazoa > Chordata > Mammalia > Primates > Hominidae > Homo > Homo sapiens. The sequence goes on from NC_000008.11 coordinate 35,359,559, forward strand.
TAAAGTTTCCACTTATACCATACATGGATTACTTAGTTTTGCAAAATATAGTGAAATAAGGTTTCTCCTTTCTTTGAATACCTGTATTACGTCTTATATATTCTCTAGCCCCTCAGCAATGAGTACAGTAGTTTATTCAAACTAAATTCTACATCACGTTCATTAAAAAGATGTATTTCTGAAATCCATTTTTTATATGAGGATTCAAAATTTTAGTGTCTAAAATTATGAATACTGATTATCATTATAACATAAAAGCCTGGAAGTTGGGCTTGATTTGCCCTGCCTCCAGATCTTTGCTTACTATCTAGATTTTTAGATAATGAAGACCTGAACTTTAATGCAGTGAGCCAAATTACTGGACCATTCTGACAATGGAAATAATTAGGCTCTCAGGTATAGATGCTTTTTAAATTCTTCATTTTGAATTATTCTCAGACTTACAAAACAGTTGCAAAAACAGAAGAGTTTCAGAGTTTCTTTTTTTTCTGAATTACTTGAAATTATTCTGGTTTGCAAACTCAAATAATAATGCACTAGAAAATTAGTTTCTTCTAGAGGGTTTTTTCATGTCCCTGTGCCATTTAACAGTTCCTTTCCCTGTCCTTGAGAGCTCTGTCTGCAGCTCATTTATCAAGCTCTGATCAGATGCTGTGCATATCTCACCATGTCCCAACATCAGTGTTGTCTCTGATTTCCTTTTACATACAAATGTGAATCACCTTTCCAGAAGATTGTAACATATTGAATTCCTATAATTCATACTAGAAGCTTTCATTTTTGTAGGGAGGGCTTTCATTAGAGAATCTCTCTATCCTAAATTTTGTCAAATCCTTCCTTCCTTTAAAGCAGCTTTTGCGAACTTCATTAAATCAGAGTTATGGAAGATGTGGGCTCTGGTCTTGGGCTTTGCTGAGCTGCTGATTGGCTTGATGCACAGCTCGGCATATTCTCTGGAATGCTGAGTGTGTTCCAGAATTCTATAATCTGTCTTGTTTTAGTGCATCGTCTATAGGTTACCAGTCATTACTTGGAAGGAAAATTGTCTTCTATGTTCTGTGTGTCCACATTTCAACTACAGCTGTGTTGTAAGTCAAGTATGTGCATCTTTGAATTCAATCTATTAATTTCTGCTGTGTGAGTACATATTTTAGGAGTCTGGGAAACTATATGGGCATGGTGGCAGTGGCAAACTGTGGCTATATCCATATGAATGTATGTTCCAAGAACTGATGTGAAATTGGCAATATATATTTTTTAAAACACACATTGCAGCTACTGACAATGTGTAGTTTAAAACTCCTACTGTGTTTTCTGCTTGGTTTCCCCAGATGGGAGAACTGTGATTGGAACACTATTGCAAAATTACTCTTGCTTTAGATAGCTTTATTTTTATTCAAGTTGCTTTTAAAAAGATTTTTTAAAATATATATACTCTCAAACATCAAAAGCACATTTGGGCTCATTTTTGAAGAAGGAAAATAAATTTAATGGATGCCAAAATGTCTGAAAACTAGCATGCTTGCCAGGATTGTGATAATGGTATGTGGATGATGAGGGAGTTTCAGGGTGGTTGCAAATATTAAACAAGGTTCAATCGTCTGCTAATGAAATGGGAAGAGCTTTGGACTGGGAGTTAGAGGACCTGGGTTCTGGTCTGGGCTCTGTTCCAGTTTACCTTATCTACTTTCTTCATGCAAATATTGTCACCTTTCTCTGCTCTGTCAACTCATTTGTAGAAAAAAAGGATGGACTGTATGATGTCTAAGAAGACCTAACTATGGAATCTCATGGCTGTCCTTGATTTTAAAGTGAACAGTAAATAAAATAAATGGAGCAATGTGACCTTATGTTAAGACTGTGTAACCTCCATGAGACAACACACATTCAGGACAAAAGTCGCAAAAAAGGTCATTCGTCTAAGTGTCTTATCTCAGAGACCATCAGGAAGTCAACTCGGAATGCTTAGAAATCCCTCACTAATGGAGTGATTTCTTTTCGGTGGGGTATTGACTGTCATTGACACCAGTAGCAAAGCACTAATGGAAATTCACAGATGCATGAGGAGGTGATTAGCTTGCAGCCAACTGAGTCTGTGGAGGAGGCAATTTGGGTTCTCAGAATCACTTATGCAGCTTCTCTTTCATTCCTCAGAGATGAAATTTTCCAGTCTTGTCCACCATTTTCAATAGTGTGAAGCTTAGCAACAGCTTTAACTGGCCATCTGCTTCAGTTATTAAATTAGACCTCGAATATAATTCTGCCTAGAACAGCCCAAATGAGTAAAAGATGCTTCCAAAAATGCATATTGACCATATATCAATTATGTGCTATATTGCATTTTATTCAAAGGTACACATCTTTTCATTTTAAGTTCTGAATTTGGTTATTTGTCGGTGGCATCTTCCAATTAAAATTGGTAAACCTTACGCAATTAGTGGCAAATAAAATCTTGATACATCTTAACATTCAGTAATATCTTTGATTTGATGGGTTATAGTATTAATCTGTAGTATCAGACATGATCTAAGTTTCTTTTTAGGAAAATATTTATAATAGAGACAGAAAACCTCCATTAATATGGTTGGGATGTTGGATGTGGAGGAATTTTGCTAAAAATAACTCTTTCACAAGTTGCATTTCGCAATTGAATCAACTGTCTCATGCCACTCCTCTGCAGCCCTTGCCTGTTCACTTTACTAGCTAGTAAAAAGTGTTTTATGGAATTAGAACTCTTTAAGTAAATGGATTTTCCTTTTTGCAAATGCACTTCCTTACAAGAAAATAGGTGTAAAGCACTTAGCCCAGAGCCTGACACAGAATAAATGGTAACCATAAAGTGCCTTCTGGGTAGAGCACTTTCTAGCTAAGTGCATAGGTTTTGCATTTCCATATTTAGCTTTCTGTGAGGGTAGCTGTGTCTCACCAGGGGCAATGAAGACCCTAACTTTAATGCAGTGAGCCAAATTACTGGACCATTGTGACAATTGAAATAATTAGGCTCTAAGGTATAGATGATTTTTAAATTCTTCATTTTGAATTATTCTCAGACTTACAAAACAGTTGCAAAAACAGAATTCCTGTAAATCTGTCTCATTCCCCAAACTGACATTTTCAAGAACCACACGCAATTATCAACATCATGAAATTAACATGATATAATACTCTTTTCTAATTCAGAGATTAGTATGCCTTTTCAGTAAAGGGCCAGAGAATAAATATTTTTGGCTTTGTTGGCTGTAAGTTCTTCATCTCATCTCTCATTTCTGTTGTTGTTGTAGCTATGAAAGATACTTATAAGGATAGTAATGGCTGTGTTTCCAAAACCTTAATTATAAAAATAGGTGACCAGCCAGCCTTAGTTTACCAACCCATAAATCCACAAATCGTATTTCTAATTTCACAGTTTTCCTACTAATATCCTTTCTCTGGTCCAGAGTCCAATCCCGGGTCACGTGTTGCAAGTTGTTGTCCTCATCTTAGTCTCCAATTTGGAACAGTTTCTTCATCTGTTTTTATATTTAATGACTTCAAAACTTGGGAAGCATATTAACCTGTTATTTTTTAGGCTGTATTAGTCCATTTCCACGCTGCTGATAAAGACATACCCGAGACTGGGCAATTTAGAAAAGGAAGAGGTTTAATTGGACTTACAGTTCCATGTGTCTTGGGAAGCCTCCAAATCATGGTGGAAGGCAAGGAGGAGCAAGTCACATCTTACATGGATGGCAGCAGACAGAGAATGAAGAGGACGAAAAAGTGGAACCCCCTAATAAAACCATCAGATCTTGTGAGACTTATTCACTACTATGAGAACAATATGGGGAAAACCACCCCCATGATTCAATTATTTCCCACTGGGTCCCTCCCATAACACATGGGAATTATGGGAGTACAATTCAAGATGAGATTTGGATGGGGACACAGCCAAACCATATTATAAGCTATATGTCCACTTGGGCATCTCTGGTATTTCTTCAGGGTTGTATTTAGATTGTGCATTTTCATTATGCATAGCACAGATATGATGTTGTGGCCTTCTCTGCATTGTATTAGGAGGCACAATCTTAATTTGTCCCATTATTGGTGATGCTAAACTAAGTCATTTGGTTAACATGTTATCTGCCAGGTTTCTCCCCTATAAGCTTGTTTTTCTGCTTGTAATTTAGAAGTTACAATTTTCCCTTTGTAATTATCATATGGTTGTGCTTTAAGAACACATAAAATATTGGTTCTCTTTATTCTTTTTCCCATTAATTTTAGCATCTAGTGATGATTCTTTCCTTAAATAGTTAATACTGTGTTTTTTGCCAAATGGTGACATTTAAATTTTATTATTCTAGGCTAGGCATGGTGACTTACAGCTGTAGTCCCAGCACTTTGGGAGGCTGAGGTGGGAGGATCGCTTGATGTCAGGAGTTTGAGACCAGCCTGGCCAACATGGCAACACTCTGCCTCTAATAAAAAACACAAAAATTAGACAGGCGTCTCAGGCCTCCAAGTAGCTAAGCTTGGGAGAACTGCTTGAACCCAGGAGGCAGAGGCTGCACTGAGCTGAGGTCATGCCACTGCACTTCAGCCTGGGTGACAGAGCGAGACTTTGTCTCAAAAATGAACTAATTAGACAAATAAATAAATTTTCATTATTCTTTCTATATTTGTCACTTGGTACTCTATGGTAAAGACATGCTTTCTCTTATACTTTATTTCTTTATATTAGCATGAGCTCATGGATTATTATGCTTTTGGTTCAGTTTTCATTGCTGTCATGTATTTTGTTGGTCAAAATTATCCCATATTTGCCTGCTATGAGGCCCCTGGAATGAGCTGCTGTCTTCTTTTGATGTCCCCATCATTTTCTAAAGCACTTTTCCTATTTTATGATACCACAAGCTATTCCAGGCTCATCTTGTGCTTTGCTTGCTCTGACCCTGGAATTAGGGTGTTTTACCAATGATTCCTGGTTGCTTTTATTACAGAATAGTATTTGGAAACCATGGTTGGGGAGTAAGGCATGTTATTGTTATTGGAGTACCATTGGTTTCAGGCCTTCTCAGTGAACAGGACTAGAAAATGTATGTACATACACATGCACATACATACACATATATACACACATTTGTATACATTTCCATACCTATCAGTATATATACTAAAATCCACAAGTTTATCGCAGTACCTCTAATTTCAATTTGACATAACAAGAACCTACCCCTTCACTATTTCTTTATTTCTAACTCTTTTCCATTGTGGAAGTTGGCTACCATTATAAATGATATGCTTGCTTATTTGTTAATCAAGGAATATAGAAAAGTAGTATTGAAATTTCTAACCCATACCCCTGTGAAAGAAAATCTATCTGTGTGAAGTTCTTTTCATCTTCATAGAGTCAATTTACTATTTCCAAGGTCATATAGATTATCTCAACACTTCAGTGTGGATCATGCTATGCATTTATAATAGAGTTAGTTTCACTTGTTTGTAGTGGTATGTCATCTTCTCATCTTTAATTATTATATAATGTGTGAAACATGATCATAGTTCTGAAGTCAGATATACATGAGAAGTTATACTCGGAGAAATACCTCCTTCCCATCCTTTCAGCCTCAATCCCGATTGCTCATTCTTACCATTCCATTCCCATTATCTCCTAGGTGTAGCCAATCTCATTAGTGTCTGGTATATCCCTCCTGTGTTTCATTTTGCACAACTGAGCAGATGCATAGATTTTTTTTATACAGTCTTCTATCTTCAGCAGTAGGAGAGACGTTGGGTTAACTTTTGTACATTCTCACAATGGAGGGCTATGTAGCTGTCACAGAGGATGAAGATCTCTGTGAACTAATATAGCAATAATTCCAAGATATATTGGTATCTGAAAAAAACCAATGCATGAAGAACAGTTTTAAGAAAAGATTCCAACTGGAAGCCCCTACAACATGTACTGCCACACAGTTCTTTCCCTACCCCTGTTTTTGTCCAAAATTCTTTCACTGGAGGATTATCTTCTTAGGCTTTCATGCCATCCCCTGCAAAAAAAAAAAAAAAAAAAAAAAAAAGCAGCTGTGAAGGATAACAGTTAACTGGTCACTTGCAGGCAGAGGAGATGTAAGCTAAAGATGGCAGGTATAATTTCTGTAGATACCAGGTACCAGGGGAAATGGGGAAGGGTATCACTGAATAGGAATAGAATCCTGGTATTAAATAAAATAGTTTTTCCTTCTATAGGCCAGCTAGGTTTCAATCTAGTGAATGCTTTGAGTGCATCTTATTAAGAAAAATAATGAGAGTTGAATGAAAAAATAAGGCAGAAGCCCTGACTTGAAAGGTTTCACCTGTGGTTTACATTAACTAGGCAATGAAAGAACTGCTCACATTTTGTGGGGAGGAAATAAACAGAAGAATAAATAAGACATAACAAGAATTAAATCTCTGGCCATAGTAAGTCACTGAAACAAATTATAAGACATTTGACAACCTATTCACTATCCCAAAAATATTATGGATTTGGGCAGAGTGGGAAAGAGAGGAAAGAAGAGGTGATCCCATATGGATTCCTGGGATGCTTGGCCAAAATATAGGCATTCTTGGAATTAAACCCCATTTAAGTGAACTAATTGCATTTTTTTTTCTAAATCAGGCGTCTTGGAGTGTTTGAGGGCACATAGATTCCTATTTTTTCACTGTTTTTCCTTGTTCCTTACCCTTCCTTCAAGAGAGATGCTAAGGAACTTCTTCCATGTGCCCCAGTATCCCATTTCTCTCTTGCCACATGGTCTTGTGCATGCACTTTACATGGACACCTGCTCGCCCTCCACTCCAAACATAAGCCACCTTATTTTGGCTAATTACACTCGGTCTTCAGGTCTCAGGTTAGATGTAACTTCTCAGGCAGTATTTTTCTTGACTCTCCAGAACTGGTGAGAGTTTTCTGTTTTGTATTTGTTTTGTCAGCTCATCTAGCAAACTGTCCTCCATTTGCTTATGTAATTGTCCACTTACCCTTCCTGTAAAGTCTTTGTTTGCAAAGGCTATATGTATCATATATATCATTAGATTCACCTAGAGCAGTGTTCACCACCCACAACCTATTTGCTAAGTGAATGATTCATCTGTGGTCCAACAATTTAGGATGCTGGATAATGTGCATTCTAGATCCTTCTTCCCCTGAGTAATTTAGAGGCTATGGATATAATTGGAAATGTATTGGAAAACAGTTTAAAAAATCAGGGTTATTGTGGCATGATTATCATCTAAGATATATTACATATTCTTTGTCACATGGTAGACAGCCTGATCAGAAGCCAATCAACTAATATTAATGGAAATTATTTTCTTAGCTCATGTCATAATAGAGATCATTCTTCTAGTGTAATCTTTTCTACAACTCCAAGTGGGATACGATTAATAATGTGAAATATGTAACAATTTGACATGACTCTAGTGGTTCTAATTTAGTTAACAGAAGTAACAACAGGCTGCAGATCTCTTAAAATCATACTAGTAATTTTTCAGAGAAGAACTTCATAGAACCTCTCATATGCTGCTGTTCATTGTGAATCTCTCAGGGGATATAGTAAAGAGCATTTCCAACTTGATCATGGGGTACTTTTCTGCTTCTCCCCACAACTTCTAGAGCATCATCTAGAACTAGTGCATGTTGCTTTCTACCTACCCACCTACTTGCCTGTTTATTGAAAGAGTGATATGTAAATTTTTACCTTCTCTTCCCTTTTCCCATGCTTTCATGCCCTTCCACAGTTCCTGTCTGCCATTAAACTTCTATTTTTTCAATTTATTATTTCCTGTCTACAGAAAGAAAGATTGACTTCAGATATACTTTTTGTTTTTGTATTGAAAGGAACCCAGGTCTTCCCCAGATGAAAACATAAGCATAAATGAATCATGTTGGGGACTAGTGTGTTGATGGCAGATGTGGGAATGTGTCCTTACAATTTTCCAGAGGAGGAAGAGCATTTGTAATTATTGGGAACATAATAGAACTATTGAACATGCATATCTCAACTGTATAAACCCTCAAATACTTCACTTCTGTTTCTGTAATGGTATAATATGGCAAATATAAAAATAGCAAAGTCAAAAATTAAAAATATGGCATTAGTCAGGGACATACATAAAACAGAGCAGGCAAGAGGAGTGAATTTATAATGACAGTTCTTTGGGTTGCTGGAGCCTTGGAGTTTGCTTCTACTTGCTCTGATTGGTCTCCTTCGCTTGTTCTACCAAATGAGTCAAACCAGTTAATCATCTTGTCATGTGGTGTGGGACAGAACAAAGAGGTTGGCCACACATAAATCATTTACAAGGCCCTTTGCTCCTTGCTATCTCTCTCCCTCGTTTGTTTCTCTATACGTCTTCTCTATATGTCTCTCTATTTTTAATTTATTAGCAAGCAGGTTTCTTGTAAAGTATGCCCATGCCTACCTTTGTTTTTAATTAGAAGTGCTTTAATAATGTGGGAAAGCGCATGGTGAAGCAAAACAGGTCAAATTATGTCCACTAAGTGACATATTTCCAAATGCCTGGCAAAAGAAAGAGAACTTAAACCTGGTACAACTATAATGAGAGTACTATTTAGATTGAAAACATTATCTTGGTTAATTTGCTGTTTTTCTCAATTTTACTTTGAAAAATTTCAAACCTGTAGAGAGGCTGAAACAATAGAACAACAAACTGGTTTTAGAGCTCCTCATCCAGGTTCACCAATTACTGGCATTTTGCAGTATTTGCCACCCCCCGACACATGTGCACACATGTGCGCATGCATGCACACCCACCCACCCACACACACACAGATACTTTTAAATTAAGCCATTTTAAAGATAGTTTCAGATATCTTTACAGTTCATTCCTGAATACTTCAGCCTATATTACCTGCTAAAAGCAAAGACATTCTATTATATAACCACCCTATTGTATCATATTCAGGAAATGTAATATAAATTAAAATTTTACTATTACCTAAGAAATGTAAATTTAAGATAATATAGATAATTATAATTCAATTGTATATTATATTAAATATATATAAATAATATGTATTATGTCTCTTATATATTTGTTATGGTCTGAATGTTGCGTCTCTTTAAAATTCGTATGTTCCAGCCCTAACCCACCATGGGATTTATTTGAAGGTGGTGCCATTGGGAGGTAATTAGGTCTGGAAGAGGTCACGTGGGTGGTACCCTTATGATATTGGGTCCCTTAGAACAAGAGACAGTAGAAAGCTTCCTCTCTCTCCATGCTTACTCATGGAGGAAAGGCCATGTAAGGACACAGTAAGAGGGTGTCTGTTTGCAAGCCAAGAACAGAGCCTTCACCAGCCCTGACCATCCTAGCACCCTAATCATGGACTTCCAGTCTCCGGAACCATGAGAAAACTAATTTCTGTTGTTTAAGCTGCCCATGCTATGGCATGTTGTTATGGCAGTCTGACCTAAGACTTTATCATATTAAACATGGCAGTCTGACAAGACTATATCATATTATATAACTGTATGTATTATAGATAATATATCTTTATCTTCAAACACATTTTATCTAATGATATACAATTTTAAAGTGTAGAGAAACAGTGTTGGTGGTGAGTATACTGTAATTAAATCACCTATCTCTCAGGTAGTGTCTCTCCCTAGGAGATGAGTTCTTTAAGATCAAGAATCACATGGAGTCCAGGCCTCCTATACCATTTGTCCTTGCATCCTCACCATCTAGAATTGAACTATACTTTGAATTAATTTTATTGACATTAACAGATAGCATGATATTCCTTTAAATAAGATTTTAGGATGTTTTGGAGCAGAATTCAAGTATATACACATTTCAGAGATAGTGGTTTTATAATTAAGTGGAAAACACTAATAGGGAAGATTTATGAAGAAAGGTTGGACAAGAGTTCTTATTTCCTGGAATGCTTCTTGCCTCTGTCAGAGAAAGCCTGAATCCATATTAAGTTTGTGAATCTCATGTGCCCACAGTTTTCACCTCTTGACTTGGCCCAGGAGTGCTGGGACTTAGTCTAGTTGGCCATGTCCATGCGTAGATGTGTCCTGTGGAGCTCTTTTTTCTCTTCTGGTTTGTTTTCTTTGTGTACAACCTCTCTGGGAGTAGGCATGATGGTGGCTGTGGAATGATCTATAGATAACTCTTGTTTGTCTCTGTTTTTGTCTTTACTTCCCCTGAGAACAGGCTATAAAGAGCAGACCTATGTCTCCTGAGCTTTGCTTTGGTAGGGATTTCATTAGCTCCTTCCGTGTCAGGCTTTCTCTATATATTCAATAACCAGATTGTCCATGATGTAAGCAATGGAGAATTAAACCCACCCACTTATTTTCTGTGTTGCAATTTTCTCTTTTTGCTGTACCTTTGTATCCTCTCTCCTTCCTGCATTTTTTCTTTCCCACTCTTGGAAGTATTATATATGATCTTCCCTTTCTTTCTTTTCTTCATGTTTCTTATAACTTGAGGCCAAGTTGGTGATAGACTTTTTATGCAGACTTTGTAAGAAGCTAATACTTTTGGGGTGAAGGCTTTCTCTAATTAAATTGTATCTGTGGTCTTTCAAACTTGAACCTAGTGAAATATGACTCTGTGATCATCTACAGTGAAGAATAAATACCATGAGTTAACCATGGCTACTCATTTTGAAGGAGGGTTTTCAAACGGAAAATCAAGAAAAGCTTGGGTGCTCTGCCGTGGCATATGGCAATGCTAAATTAAAGAAAAAATATAGTTTGTAGTAACAGATGGATTTGAACCACAGTTGGATCTGTTGAATACCTTTTAATATTTAATTTACAATGAATCTTTAATATAACATTTAACTAAGTGTTCTGTCATATTCCTTTGAAATGTATAAAGCCTTGTCAATGTAATTGTGTCTAGGAGATTTCCTATGAATATTAAGTATTTAAAATTAAAACTGTTGTTGAGAAAATGGTAATTTTCCTGAGATTTTTATGGTTCACTTATATTTGTGCTGTTTGAATGTTGTATATATTTCTTAACAGTCTGTCAGCTTTTTCTTTATTTCCTGTTAGCTATAGAAAAAAAAGGAACCAAATAATGAAAGTAACTTTTAGGCATGGAAATGAAATAAACATGAAAACCATGCTGAGGCCATTGAATCTATTCTGTTTGTTGGTATGGAGCCAAATGCCACAACAATGGTTGTAGTTTAATCATAGTTTCTATCCTTCATGGAAATGGGCTGAATAAATGTAATCACTAAGTAATTGGTAAAACAATGTAGTCAACCACATCTGAAGACACCCATGGATAATTTATATAGAATTACTTACAGTGTACTTGTGAAGACATTTCATACAAATTTATTTTTAATTTGTTTTAAAAAGTAGTTTAAAGCTGGGTATGGTGGCTTATACCTGTAATCTGAGCACTTTGTGGGGCTGAGGTGGGAGGATTGCTTGAAGCCAGCAGTTCAATACAGCAAGACCCTATGTCTACCAAAAAATAAAGCAAATAATTTACTGGGCATAGTAGTGTGTGCTTTAGTCGTAGCTACTTGGGAGGCTGAGGCAGGAGGATTATTTGAATCCAGGAGCTCAAGGTTGCAGTGAGCTATGATTGTGCCACTGCACACACACACACACACACACACACACAAAGTTTTTCAGATAGCAAAGATGGAGAACACAGCATTTTAGATATGTTCTGATTTATGTTTCATACTTCATATGCTTCATTGGATTGCCACCTCTTAATCATGATTATAACATCTTGGTCCCATTAATATAGAAAAGAAAAATAACAGTGTTCCTACTTCCAGGCCAAGACGACTTATAACAGTGCCTTCTCTTGCCTTTGATGATATTCTGTATTTTGGTTTGTGTTGGGCTGAGATTATCATTTTAAAAAATATAGTGGGAAAGGGGATGTTAGAGACATGCAAAACTCATAGAGAATTATGACTAGATATCAAGCCTTTGTCTAGTAAACACCTGCTGTAGAAGAGAAGGGAAGGACTTGGCTGAGGACCTATTTTTTTCCTGATTTGGTAAGAAGAACTTGTACCAAGTTATGGTTTGTTATGCATTTGTAGCTATCAAGACTTCAGAAGACTCACAGGAAAAAAAAATCCAGGTCATAACTCTCATAGTCTGTTTCTCTGGCCATTTCCTGTGCACCCTCCTACAATTCTGGGTCCTAGAGGTTTTCTTGTTTGTTGGTGTGCTTTTAGTTTTATTTGCCTTGCTGTGTATTACGGTGTTTCCACATAATGTCCCAATAGGTGTAGATGTTTAAAGACAGCTTTATAATCCTTCCTCTTAATTAGGGCCTTTGGATATATTGTCCCTTTGAATAAAACCAAACAAGGATGAGCAATGAACCGTTGTCTAATTGGGTGGGTTATGGGGGAATCATCACGACATGGCGGCATCTGCTCTTTAGGTCTTTGATCTTAGCCTCTGATCTGCGTCTAGCTACTCCCTGTACTTTTCCCCCTCACCCTGACCATTTGATAATGACATGGGAAGATGTATTATTTGATTTGGCTCATCTCTAGGTTTTGTTTTGGTTTGGTTTAGTTTTCATTTTTTTTGAGACGGAGTCTTACTCGGTCACCTAGGCTGGAGTGGAGTGGTGTGATCTTGGCTCACTGCAACCTTCACCCACTGGGGTCAAGCGATCCTCCCACCTCAGCCTCCCAAGTAGCTGGGGCCACAGACATGCACTACCATACCTGGTTACGTTTTTGTATTTTTGGTAGAGACAGGGTTTTGCCATGTGCCCAGGTTGGTCTTGAACTCCTGAGTTCAAGCAATCCACCCACCTTGGCCTCCCAAAGTGCTGGGATTACAGGCATGAGCCACCATGCCCAGATCTAGTTTTTGACTCTAATGTTGGATTAACCTTGTATATTTTGGGGGGTTATGATACTTTTACAGAGAAGCAGCTGGGCTTATCCTACATAGCCATTGTTTGATATTTGAACCTGAAGCTTCAGAAAGGAAATGAATAAGCTTTCAATTTCATAATAGGCCAAATGCTCTAATATTTTATTATTTTTTTTTCTTTTCAAGAGACAGGGTCTTGCTCTGTCACCCAGGCTGGAATACAGTGGCACAATCCTAGCTTACTGCAGCCTTGAATTTATGAGCTGAAGAAATTCTTTTACCTCAGCCTCCCAAGTAGCTGGGACTATAGGCAATTGTGATCACACCCAGCTAATTTAAAACACACTTTAGAGATGGAGTCTCACATTTTACCCAGGCTGGTGTCAAATTTCTGGCCTCAAGTGATCCTCCTGCCTTGGCCTCCCAAAGTACTGGGATTACAAATGTGAGCCACTATGCACTGCCTTAATATTTTTATACACTCAATCCATTCATATTTCCTTTGAGCAAATGGTCTCTTTGCCCACTTCAATGAGTGCCAAACTCTGTTGAGTCTTGGAGCCAGTGGTTTGCTTTAGTTTGGGGGCCATGTAAATGGAATCTCAGTTCCCCCTCCGTGGTCTGCCCCATTCCCATGCATTGGCTAACTTTGATATCCTTTCCTGAAGGGTATCCTTTTCACGTGTACTTCTTCTGTGGCTTCCTATGTAAAAATAAATAGCATCACTAATGCTCAGCCTATCTTGATTCTTTCTGAAGGGTAACAAAGGGCAGTGTTGCATTTCAGAATAGTTTTGCTTTTTTAAACAAATAAGAGTGCACAGTGAAATGGATTGTGAGTGATTTGTGCCCCACCGTTCAGTGACATTACTGCACCATATGGTGCTCAGTGAATGATTTCAAACATACTGGGAAATGTTACCTACTCTACAGTACAATAGGCATTTCTTTAAAAATACATGTAGCAATAAAGCATGGACTTATTTAGCCTTCTTCTCTCCTGTCAGGGATATTCTTTTAACAGAGCTTTTATTTGCTAGTTAATAAACATCACATAATATGATTCTACATGCTTGTTCTCCTTGTGCTGGGACATGTGCTGGAGCTGGTGAAGGTTTAATTACTATCTCTGGTGCGATAAAGCTGACAATTCATGCAGCCGAGGGGCTCCCTGATAAGGAAGATGATGATGTTATTTTGAATTTACCCTGTCTTGAGAACATATCAGCAATGCATTTAGGATTGCTTACACTGGAAGGGGATTGAGAGCTGAGAGAAGAGATTAGAGTCAACTATCTGCAGTTGTACACAATTTGAAAGTTTAAACCCCAGAGTTAGCTCACAGTTCATGAGTCTAAATTCATATTCACTTTTTTTGTTATTACAGAAAAATGGTGTTGATAGACACTTCACCACTGACACTCTCTTATCTCATTTGAGCACCAGGGTTCTGAAGATCAAACTGATCTTTCTTTCTCAGGCATGCTTTATTTTCCAAAATGGGCTGGGAATTATTTCATCTTCAGGGAAGGGAGCGCAAGGGAGTGAATAATGTAGATTTAAAAGGCTATTTTTTATATGAGGGATTTGGTTCAAAAAATAATATGAACTTTGCAGAGAGATCCTGTGGGTTTTCGTGGTGACATACTGGTAGTTTAATGGACATCCTAAATGTGTATTGATGATACTGCATTTCAGTTGGAGAAATTAACCACTGTACCTTCACTTTGCTTTTACCATAAACTATTCCTTTGCTGTTTAGTGCAAGATGTAATTCACTTAAACGATGACAGAAAGTGTGTGTTTTAAATAGAGTTTGTCTGGTGTTCCTAGCCAGGTGTCCAAAGATGATGATGTGATGTTAGAGTTTTAAAGTTGTACTGGTGAAAAGAAGTTGGAGGAAAGAAATGTTAATGAGAATGAGTTTTCAAAGGGTAGTGAGCCATTTCCGTTGAGCAAGAAAAGTTACTATGAAAGCAGTCTCCTTAAGAGCTACAAGAAGGTAACAATGTACAGATTAAAGCATGTGCAAAGCTTTTGTTTATGAAGAATAGACTAAGTATGGTAGAGTTAGGTTGCTCACAGGAATGAGACTAGACCAAAAGGAGACTATTAGGAACTAGCTTTTTCCTCACATCCACGTTCACATCTCATGTCAGGCATCAGTGAGCTCCCAAATGCTTATTTGTTACTGTCTCAAAAGGACACACTAAATTCCCGTTTCATTTATCTTTAATCTTCCTCTGCCTTCTAACAGAGATGGCACATGTATAGCCAGGATCTTCATTGGTTCAGACCTTTTGTTAGGGAAGCAGAACTGGTGACAATTTGGAGTTATAGAACTTTTTAAAAATACATTTTATGGTTGCATAATGCATTGAGAATTAAATGCTGACAGTTTTGTCTGAGATTCTTTGGGGCTCTACTTTAATGAGGAGGTAAGACTAGTTTTAATTAGCAGATCAAATTTTCACATAAACGAACTTTCTAAGAAGAATGAGAAAATTAGTTTTATTATAAGGAGCTAAATGTTCTTTTTACAACATTTTCTATATTATTCATTTTCATAGTTGACTTTTAAAATCCTATATAATAGAAAAGTGGACTTCAGCTAAGGCTTATATCCAAATTATTAAAGCCTGTGATGAACAGTTGAAATTAGTGAGGTTGTTTTACAGGGAAAAATATTTTAAGTACAATCCAGAGCGGGGAAAAAATATTTACATGTAGGTTCATTCCATCTCTGTTGCGTTGAAAGGTGAAGAAAGAAAGCTTTATGAGTTTTCTCTCTGTGTAAGACTCTGTCTGCAGTGGAATCACAAAGTAATTGAACTAAAAAATGTCTGTTAAAGGCACCAAGATAATTAGCATGAGTCACTGAAGTATAGGTTCTTAATGTTCCACACGTTGATCTTTGCTATACTTACAGGTGCTGGGGAAGGAGAGAGAAGAAAAAGAATGTTCAACAAATTCTACATGGGGAAATCAGAGATGGTTAAGAAACCCTCCTCCCGCAGTTGGGCTTTTATCTAATAAAAAAGACAACATGCACACAAAAAAGGAACGTGAGTTACAGTTCAGACCATGCTCAGTGATGGCAAACCAATGCCCATACAATAATAGTAACAAATAAGATTAATGGTGTTGGCTTTACAATCTATATTTAATTTTAACAATGGAATTTCATTTGTTACAAATCACCAACATTTGAGAGAAAGCAATAGAATAAATAAAAGTCATTGAGAATTTTCTTCTCTTATCCAAACTGTTAATTTAGCTGCATTTCATGGAGTCGGCAGTTTCTAAAGCTATAAAGGAATTGTCTGGCAATTGAATTTGTCCCCTTAGTTCAAATGCATTTTTGAAACAAGGAATTATATTTTTAATCCCTTTTGTGTTAGAGCCCAGGGCAGTGCTTGGAATCCCAAGTGCTGATGATTTTTAGATTTTTAATATAATATGATTTTCAATATGAAAATTCCAGATATTCTACCTCTTTATACTCTCCCACCTCCTGAATCTCAGAAGAAATTTGAGATGTTTCCAGACGTTGATTTGGTCAAACTGCAATCTGTATCTTATGGTGCTGAAACCTACTTGTATTATGTGTTTTTTGATCACATACATACAAAATCTTACCACTTTCTATCTCAAGTAAAATTGGAGTTATCAAAACGAATTGAAATGTGCTGTAGTGGTGCTATCTAAAGAGTAAGTGATATGCTGTGTATCATTTGCTTGGGGGAACCCTTTGATTTGGGGCAATCATTTGTTCCATGCATTTTCTTTTTGCACTAGTTAGCAACAGCAACAGGAGAAAAGAGGAGTGTGTTGGAATTCCAAGTCCTTCCTGAAAGTCTTTTACCTAAAAGAAGAGATTATCATACCTTCTGACCACAGGCCAGAGAGAATTTTTACAGAATGATGTATTTGGTGAAGAACGAGTGATCCTGTTTCTGAAAAGTCCCATGTGGTGAGACTAAACCCCGGACCCAGGGGTGAGTGAGTAAACAGTGTAAATTGGGGGTGCCTAGCTTGGTTGGAAAGAACACTGGGCTAAAAAACATAGATGATATGTATGTAGGGAAGCATGTCTATTTAGAGCGAGAATGGAGGAGCAGATGCCTTTTTGGAAGTTTATGCCATTGATAAAAAGAGAGTTGATGAAAATTTGTGGGAAGACATGTCCTAAAAACCCATGATTCCTTTCATACTCCTTGGATGTCACTCCCCAACTTGAAACTTTAGTGATCCCTCCTGTCTAGATAATGGAATCTATTCAAAGCCTTCTGCACTTGGTCCTAACCTTCCTTTGCAACATGCAGTTGCTGTCCACAGTGATCTCTGAACTCTAGCCAGCAACCCTCTTCTCCACACACTTGTTCATAGTGTTCATCCGCCAGGAATGATCACTGCTATGTCACCATCAGTCCACGACTTACCATCCTCTAAGGACCAGCAAAAGTCATATCTTTTTCATAAAAGCATCCTTGAGCCCCTCATCTCATAGTGCACTCCTTCCTCTTTTCTGCTTTCCTTTGGTAAACTTGATTTGTTATTGATTGACTGCTTATTTCTCCTTGCATATTTAATTTACGTATGTGTTGTCATCTTCAGTTGGATATGAGGCTTTTTCACAAGAGCACACCAGGTGGTGTATCATTTTATCTGCTTCTCAGGTCATCCTCTGCATAGTGCCTTGTTGCCTAGCAAATACTCTTTGCGTGCTATATGGATGATGGCAGACCTCCATTACAAAACTATTTGGGGACACTCCAATCTGAGCTGGGATGCAGTGGTCCTTTCACCTGTGTAACAAGGTGAGGCTTTCTTTTAGGATCCTCTCCTGGCTCAGCTTTGGAGTGACTGTTGTCTTGTGCTGTGGAAGTGCAGGTGTCCTATTTGCATTTCAGGTCTTGAAGGAACCTGTGAACACAGCTCCTACTGAGCACAGCTCTCCTGGAAAGCACAGCAGGCAGCACCAGGGCATTGAGTGCTCCGTGTGTCTCTGCAGGGCCCGGGATTGGGGTTATTAAAGCGGAGTGTTTCTGTATTTGCAGCTCAGTGGGAAAGCTCCCCGTGCCACATTCCAGCATGTTGACCTCAGCTTCCTGCTGAGCAGGCTGGGAATGTATCTGTAAACCAAGCTAGGACTGCAGGGACAGCTTGAGTTCCTTTGATTCATCTGCCCTTGTTCCCTAGTTTGTCTGTGTTTACATAGAAAGGTGACAATATATATCAGAGGTGCCCCAGGTGAGGCAAGGGGAAGACATTCGTATCTGTGGGTACTGCTGGATCCCTGTGACATCTTAGGTCGCTTTTCTGAAGGATTTAGGCAAAGGGTCATATCTAGACTTTTTAAAATGAATGCCTCATGTGAGTCATTTGATTTGCTTTATGCACAGTTAGTTTTCCTCTGGAGATAAGTCATCAGTCTGTGTTCTATGTCCTTTATTTCTGTTTTCCTCTTTTAGGAAGCTCATCCTTCATTCTCTCACCATATTGCAAGCATTGCAGTGTCACTCAGAACTTTTCCTGCTTTGTGCTGTCCTCCCCCTAACTCTTTGTATAATGTTTGGTTCCCAGTGATTAGGTGATTACAAATCACTCTGGCTGCTGCTATCTGGTCACTCACATGCCGTCACTCTATGCCCCCAAACCTTTACTGTTTTAAAAAACTCCTCTAAGAGGATAAGCATGCTGGCTTCCTGACTGCGATCCCCTATCTCCTGCCTTATGGAAGCCCTTGTTAACAAATATGATGTACACATGATTTTTCAATACCTCTCCTTTCTAATACAAAGTACCTTATAAATGTTATCTTCTGCTAAAACAGAAAATTTTCTCTTATGATTCATTTTTTACTTAGTGTCAACCCCCTAGTTGTCTTGCCGTACTTCCCTGGAGTGTCTGATCTTCCACATGGGTCCTGGGCACAGCAAAAGGACTTGAAGAGCAAGTAGTGCAAGCCTTCCGTGACATCTATCAGGACACAAAGGGTGCTTCAAGCATTTTTGCAAGACTGCAAGCCTAGGTTGATGTCAAGAGGCTCACCCCCTTCAGTTTGCCCCATATTTGAGACCCTGCCCTACCCTGTGGGTTTGCTACATTTGATGTCTCCTGCCAGAGGTGTGAATCATCCAGCATTCATACTTTTGGCTGCACCTGCCTGATCTTGGCTTGGAATCTGTTTCTCTTCCCTTTTGGAAGCCATGTGGCCACACAGACATGGTGCCTACACCATCAATCCATTAGTTTTAGAACTCATTTTACTATATTTGCCAGTGGAAGCTCTAAAGAGAGATGAAAATTTTGAGCATTTCTGTTATACACCTGAATTGTAAAGGTCCTGTGGCCTAACAGGGTGCAGGATGGATGAGGAATGGAACAGGTGTGGTCTAGAATGGGAATGGTGGGCTGGGGAACTCCTGTAGTAGCCTCAGTCAAATTGCCTTCTCACTGTGTTTCATCTGCACCTTACACTAAAAAGCGAAAGGCAGTGTCTCTGGTTTTGTCAGGTGCAGGAGTGGATGTGATTCAGCAGGTGTCCTTGATGATTGACAAAACCCTAGAAAGGATAGAAGCAAATTATCTGGCCTTATATTTACAGCTACCTCCTGTGTTGAGAAGAATAGATAATTCTTTGGATTTCCTCCATTGCTGACTGGGGAAATAGGACTGCTAACATTAGAGTGGTGGTCTCTTGAGCTGAGGAATGAATAAAAATCCTCTACTTCCACCTGCTCCTTTGACAGGAGATCACCAAAGCCTAGTAACTTATAGTCACACAGCTACCCAGTGAGGACCCCTGACTTTCTCTTCAGTCTTCTAGGACACTGTGCATGTTGCTTAGTTACATTTTAGCCCAATTCCCACCATCCTGATGAAACAGTCCACCATCACCTTTCCCTTCCTTGTTTACTAAGTTGCCACAGCAGCTGCTCCTGAGCCCCGCAAGTTGGAGATCTGAACATCATCTTCACTCTTCTCTTTCTACCCTAAGAGACTGAGTGACCGAGCCACATGATTCTACCATATCTAGAGATGCTGTTGTCTGTTCCCTTTCTTCCATTATCTTACGTCTGTGTGACTCTTTTCTAGAACAACTGCAGGCTCATTCCCTGCAGCTTTCTCTGACTTGCCTGGACCGTCCTGCACTAAATTCCACCGGTGCATCTCTGTGTTCCTATGGACCTATCCCTATCTTTAAGTCTCCCTGGACTCTCTGTGGCACTAGAATATCGACCTGAGAACCCAGGTTAGGAAAACCTGTGACTTAATGAGGGGAAAGCCAAAATTAAGGTTCATAGTTACACAAAGGTGTGTATGAGGAGAGACAAAGGGAGTACTGAGACATCATAAAGTCTAGCTTTGCCTTTCCTAGTAGCCTAAACAAGGTATGTTTTGATATATAAAGCTGCTAATGTTTTGTACATTTATATTATATACTCACATACATTTTTATATATCGTCTTAGGCAGCTCCTGCTTCCATAATGAAGTACTGTAGACTAGGTGGCTTAAACAACAGAAATTTATCTCCCACAGTTCTTCAGGCTGGGACACCCATGATAAAGGCCCCAGCAAGCTAGGTTTTATTCTGAGATCTCCTCTCTTGGCTTGTAGAAAACTCTTAACCTATAATTGGGGGTGGGGGGGGGGTCGGGGAGAGAGAGAGAGAGAGAGAGACACCGAGAGAGAGAGACAGACAGAGACCGAGAGGGAGAGACAGAGACCAAGACGGAGAGACAGAGACCGAGAGGGAGAGAGAGAGAGAGAGAGAGAGGGAGAGAGAGAGAGAGAGTGAGAGAGACCGAGACCTCTGGTCTCTTCACGTAAGGTCCTAGTCCCACTATGAGGACCCCACTCTCTGCATTTAAACCTAATTATTTCCCAAATACCTTGTCTGCTAATACCATCATATTGGAGGTTAGAGCCTTAATATATGAACTTGGTGGGGTGGGGGCATGCAGCATTCAGTACATAGTGTGCACATGTAAACAGACATATATAAACATTATGACACACGTAAACTTTTCCTCATGTTTGAAAGAATGATGTGCTCTCTAAGGCATAATGTTTTATTTAGGGAAATGCTGAAATCTTTTTCCAAGAGATTCCATTTAGGATATGATTTTTATTAATATTGATTATTCTTTTTATTATAATTTCATGCTGTTAGGATTCTGGCCTCTAGATTAGAAAGTCGAAAGCAAAGCTTATTTGAACCTGGTCTCTTCAAGCAGTAAAATTAGAATTTAGATGATAGAGGGTGATTCTGGATGTTACACAATTAGGAATAACATGCATTGACAAAGCAATATGTCAATCTGTATATATTGCGCAGAAACTGATCACTATGTACGCATTGGAATCATCATTCTTAAACCTATAGCATTTTTTATGTCCACTTTAAGGGAAATGAAGCCTTGAAGACAAAGTAATTTATTTGACGTCACACCTGCCAGGATCATGCTTGCCAACCTCTTGCTTAAGGCTCTAAGTATTACCTTCTAATCACTGAATAATGAGTAAAAGGGAACGGTATTGTTTTAACTTCTGTGGATGGCTACAAATGAAGCAGGGAGGGAGGGAGGGAGAGAGAGAAAGAGAGAGAGAGTAAGTGAGTGAATGTGTGTGTGTGTGTGTGAAAAATATTCTTCCAGGAAGAATTATTGATCTAGTTAAATATATAAGGCAGTCAAATTGGTATGATAGCCAGCATTAAAAATCAGCTTCCTAAATGTTCCAAATGAATGGAAGAGAAAACGTCTAGGAATTTGAATGAGATCTGTGTAGGTCGACTGGGATGATAGTGAAAGATTTTATGGAGCAAATGACACTTAAATTTTGCCTTTAGAGTCCAAATAATTTATCTTGTTCTTTTTACCTCTAACTCTTCCAGGGCCCTGAATCCTAGGTGATTTATAACCATAGACTCTCACACTGGAGAGGAGTTGGGCCGGCTACACTGGCTGTGTTAACAGATCCCTTCCAGCTACTGCCTCACACAAGTCCCTTACTCAGTGATTCTGCTTTCCTGAGAGCCTGACATAATCATCAGCTCTGCAGCAGAATCTTCTGCAGACTCAGCTGTGGGCCGTGATTATGTGTCTTAACTATTCTTATTTAGAGTGAGTCATTTAATTCAAGAGAAGATGATCTATATTCTTTTAAGTTTCATTAGTGTCATTAGAATGCTTAATCTCGTGCATGTTTTTTTTCCCTAGTCTGAAGCACTGCCATTAGTTTAGATAGCACTTATTAAATTTTTAGACTGCCAAGCCACTGTGCTAACATGAAATATTGAAGTTTTGCTCCTTTGATTCTAAGCATAAAGTCTTTATCACAAAGCATATAGTCACACTGTGTTTTGCACACCTGCGTAGGCTTGACTTAGCAGAGCCGGTGCCTCCTCTCCTTTTCATGATTTCTTGTCACAGATTTCTGTTGCTTTTGTTTTGTGCCAGTGATTTCATTTCATATTAAATCTTCATTAACTTAAAAAGTGAGAAGATGTAGTACAGAAACACTGCCAGGAGAACCTGTTTGAAAGTTGGATGTGATTTCAAAAGTGAGCATTGCAGCATTTTTAAAGAACACATTTGCCTTTTGGGATTTAAAAATAACTTTGTAATTATGGATTGTTTCAGCACAGATACATTTTTAAGTAACAAGTGCCTGAAAATCCTAACACAGTAGACCCAGCACAAAGCAGTCTGGAATAACCTTGAGGAGTTCACAGTTCTGCACAGACTAAGATAAAATCTGTCAATGTGAATTGAAAGGCATCTAGACGGCTGGAGTTTGAGGTTCTGTGTTTTCCCCTACAGCGGTTGATGACATTTTTTGATATGTAACTCAGGCCAGACAACTGTATTTCTTATTCTGCTTTAGGTGTCTGTGATGTCCTTAGCCAAAGAAGAAAAGAACATTGGAGAGACTTTCAGAATTGCCTCAAGTCATTTTTTCTAAAACTGAACTTGTTCATGGTCTTTAACTTCCACATCTGTGAACAGAGATGCCCCTTATTTTTTTATTTTAAAAAATTTAGCGCTTTCTTTTGCTGGTTTGGGATTTTAAAGATGTATTATTTATAAAAGTACAGTTTTTCATTCACCTTAAAGTTTACTGGCTAAAGTACTTTATCTTTTGTGTTGTCTTGAGATGGGGCTTTAATATTTCATTGGTAATAAATTCCAAAAGATGAATAAGAATTGCAAAGGAGGTTTTTGCTTTGTAGATTTATAGTGACTCTGTCTGGACTTGGCTCCTGCTGTCATATCTCAAGAAGGGCATTAACACTCGCCAGCTTACACACTGCTTGGATTCCAGAATGCTGGTGAGATTCTGCATGCCCCTGGACGGTGACCATGGCTTTGATGTTTCTGTGAAAGTGTATGTTTCACTTTTACATCCTTGGTCATAATTACTTCTCTAGTTTATGGATATTACCTACATTTTCTTAACGCTGTCGTCGTCTACTTTTCACGCAAGTCCCAGGAATTCTGCGGCATAAGGCAGCACAGGCTCAATAAACTTCAGATGTTGGATTAAACCTTGCTTAAAATACTCCCTAGTGCAAAGTACAAGAAAAGGAAGTGCATTTAGTGATGGTTTGACAGCGCTTTACAGTTTAAAGAACACTTTGATATCAATGATCACATTAAAGTAATTCAATAAGAGGGTAATTTACTATCGCCCTGATTTTATAGACAAGGAAACTTCATCACAATGACATTAAATAGTTTGTCCAGCAGCTTACCATTGGTAAAACCTGAGCTCAGGGTAGAACTCATGCCTTTTTATTTCAGGGCCAGTGTTGCTTTCATTACTCTGCCATTTCCTCCATACCCATCACAGACAAATATTCTAGTATAAAAAAAATCCTCATCAAGAGGAAATCTCTATACGTAATATAGTAATTAGATCATGCCCTTGAGAAGCCATAGTCACGTGGAAGGAATGAAGATGACTAGGCAATGCGAAAAGTGTTATTAGAATTAGATAATTGTATACCCATTCCTTTGAGCCTATAGAGGAAAAACTGACTGCTATTATCTTAGAGGTTTCCAGGTAAAACGATCTTTCAACAGGGGCCCAATGAATAAATACACAGATAAAGAGCCTCTAAGGTAGGCAAGAGAGCATAGGCAAACACATAGTGGCCGAGTGAGTGTGGACTGTGGTTGACCACAGGAAGAAGTGGTAGCAAATGAAGCAGAACAGGTGGGCTTTACAATTAATTGCAGACCAAAGCTTAGTTTCCAGTGTATGACCTTGTTTTATTGTTGAAATATCCTAATTTTTAACATGCAGCTAAGTTCATGTGTGTCATGGTGGTAAAACATCAACATTTAAGGCCTGGTGTGGAGACTCACACCTGTAATCCCAGGGCTTTGGGAGGAGGAAGCAGGAGAATTGCTTCAGCCCCGGAATTTGGGACCAGCCTGGGTGACATAACAAGACCCTGTCTCTACTGAAAAAATAAAAATAAGAGGCTGGGCGCGGTGGCTCACGCCTGTCATCCCAGCACTTTGGGGGCCCAGGTGGGTAGATCACAAGGTCAGGAGATCGAGACCATCCTGGCTAACATGGTGAAACCCTGTCTGTACTAAAAATACAAAAAAATTAGCCAGGCATGGTGGCGGGCACCTGTAGTCCCAGCTGCTGGGGAGGCTGAGGCAGGAGAATGGCTGGTGTGAACCTGTGAGGCGGAGTTGCAGTAAGCCGAGATCGTGCCACTACACTCCAGCCTGGGTGACAGAGCAAGACTCCATTTCAAAAAAAAAAAACAAAAAAAAACTAACATTTAAAATAATATGGTCTTATATGTGTATTTATAAAATTAACTCTGTTTCCCACGGTATTTAGAACAGGCTGTGCACCTAGGGGCTCAATGTGTATGTGATTTGACACATGGTACGTACTATAAATATGGGTGCACTCACATGTATGCATTCTAACACGTCTGGTCCAGTGTTGCAGTATCTCTCCTCTCCTGCCCCCTTTAAATTGGAAGGGGTTTGTGTCTTTGAAGTCTTTGCTGACAGAGCCAACCTTGTAAAAGAGCCTTCTGTTGTTAATGCTTGTTTATGCTGTGGAACTTCACTGTTCATTCCCCTAAACCCTTATGGCCTCCTAATGAAATGTAGAACCCTTGATCAAAGTTACACATGGTGGCAATTGCAGAAACCCAAAGTGGGACAAAGAAAAGAAAGAGCTGAGCCAGTGACCCACATTTATAGCTTGTGCCGATTAATTAGCAGGTAAAAATTTCCGTGTATTTCTTTCTCATATTTTAACTTGACAAGCCTAGAGAAGGGCGGTTGATCTACCTGCCATAAGTGTATCTCTGGTCTTCTTTATGACTAAAGGTTTACACTTTTACATCTGTGAGTTGACAGAAGTCTGGCAGCAATGTGGGAGTGTCTAGGCACCCCAGAAGTTGTGGGACTAAACTTTGGAATCTGCATAGAAGGGGAGTCAGTTACATGGGAGCTCTCTGGGAGAGACACTAAAGTTGAGGTGGGGGAACATCAGGTCTAGGTCCTTCATACCGTGTGTTGAAATTATACCCACTTGCTATTTTGAGAATGCCAGTGTGAAGTCACAGGAGACCTTGGCAGGCCGCCATGTAACCTCACTCTTTCCTTAGTGAAGTTTTCTTGGCTTTGCTAGTGCTATGAAATCATAGAAATTAGGGTGGGAAAAGTCTGTTTCATCTGATGATCTCACCCATCCCTTTACTCTCTGGCAGCATGGGGATTACTCCTTATGCTTGATTCTCTAGTGCTTTGTCCAGTCCACTTCTTAATGATGTGAGTGATAATGTATTGATCTTCCCTAGGGCTGAATTTCTTTGGACCTGTTAAAGCTGCCATTCCGCACACAAACTCTGGTAGCACCTAGTTAAGATTCTTCTGCTATCTGAATCCTACATGCCACCAATCTCATAATGGGGATGGTTACTGTATTAGATAGGGTCACACCTGTTGCTTTGTCTTCACATCCCTCTACCTACCTCTTTTTTTTTTTTTTTTTTTTTGTGACAGAGTCTCGCTCTGTCGCCCAGGCTGGAGTGCAGTGGTGCAATCTCCGCTCACTGCAAGCTCCACCTCCCGGACTCACGCCATTCTCTTGCCTCAGCCTCCGGAATAGCTGGGACTACAGGCACCCGCCACCACGCCTGGAGAATTTTTTGTATTTTTAATGGAGACGGGGTTTCACCGTGTTAGCCAGGATGGTCTCGATCTCCTGACCTCGTGATCCACCTGCCTCGGCCTCCCACAGTGCTGGGATTACAGGCGTGAACCCCCACGCCCGGCCTACCTACCTCTTTTTAACAGACAACAGTAGGCACTTTCTTCAGATTTATGCAGAAATTTAGTTAATAAAGAGATGAGTGATTGTCTTCTTTCTAGTTGAAATTGTTTTTCATGGTTCACAATAATTTCTGACATCTTAAACCATATCCAGCTAACAAAATTCTATTTTGTTGTAGTAGATTGCTTCACTTTCACATCTAGATACGATTCCATACTATCTATAATTGATTTCCCTTCTTAATCTACATCTCAGGTGTGTCCATAGCATGAAATAATTGTTGTTCATACTTAAAATTTAAAGGAAACCATACTGCATTTGAAACGCCAACATTCATGCTTAATTTAATCTTTTATTTTTTATTTTTACATCTTTCTCCCAAGTTTCTCTCTTTTCAGTAAAAATTTCTAGGAGTAAGAAGTATTCATAAAGTCTCCTGTCACTGATTTTTTTAAGCCACTTAAACCAAACCCTATCAGAGCATCATTCGCTCCAATTTAAAAATGAACTTTCCAACAAGGAATTATTAAAATTGTTAGCAAATAGAGAAACATGGTATTTCTTTCTATAGACATGTACACACCCCACTCAATTTAAATAGGAAAATCACTCAGCCCTGAGAGCCTGCAAATCAATCGGTTGACTTTCTAAAAGTACCTTATTGTTTTTTTAACTGGAAGATTCAGTGATTTCTTCTGTTAATTGTTTTTTACTAAAGAGAGGCTCAGTGCTGTGAAAGGGAAATCGACTAAAAGCCTGAGGAGGGAAAAAAAACGTCTAGCTTGTAATTTTAGAAGAGCTGTTGCTGTATTGTTAACCAAACTCTGCCTGCACTGGGTGCACGGAATCTCTGACCTATGAAAAATTGTTTGGGTTCCCCCACTTATGTTGTTTGAGCAGTAAAGAAAATATAAATGAAGAAATGGCATTGAAGAGCATCTTGAGTTATTTGTTATCAAAAGTGGCACGCGGGAGGCTTTCCACATTAAATTTAAACATAGGAAATGTCTAAATCTGTGACTGTGGGAAAGGGACAATTTGAGCTTACCTTTCCTTTGAAAGCTGTGGTAGAAAATGCTATAGATAGGGCTTACTTTGCTTTTTTTATTTTTTATTTTTTATTTTTCACTCTGAATTTTTTCTGAAGGTGGTGATGAGGGGGAGTTAAAGATTGGAAATGAGAAGTGACTTATGTTCGTGAATAATGGAATGTGATTTTTGCAGTTTGCAAATGATGGATGGTGAGAAGGAATTCCCCCCCTGCTGTAGTGGCAGCATCAGCATCACCTAGGTGCTTGTTAGAAATGCAGATTCTCAGGCCGGACGCAGTGGCTCACACCTGTAATCCCAGCACTTTGGGAGGCCGAGGGGGGCAGATCACGAGGTCAGGAGATCGAGATCATCCTGGCTAACATGGTGAAACCCTGTCTCTACTAAAAAATACAACAAAAATTAGCTGGGCGTGGTGCTGTGTGCCTGTAGTCCCAGCTCCTCGGGAGGCGGAGGCAGGAGAATGGCGTGAACCCGGGAGGCGGAGTTTGTAGTGAGTAGAGATCGCGCCACTGCACTCCAGCCTGGGCGACACAGCGAGACTCCATCTCAAAAAAAAAAAAAGAGAAACGCAGATTCTCAGGCCCTCTGCGTCCATCTGATGCATTCCCAAGTATGAGAACCCCTGGCTTAAGCAGTTTTCATAGATAAACTTCCCTCCTTTGTCTCCAAAGTGCTTTCTTCACTTGCTCAAAATGCTTCTCTTTTGCTAGTGCTGGAACCTTCTTTAATATTTAATAATTTCAGTAAATAAGAGATAGCAGAGACATACAGAGTTGAGATTCAGAATGGAAATACTTGAGCAGACTACCCGTATTTGACGCTCAGCTAGGCCACTTGATGGCTGTGCAACGTTGAACAAGTTCCTTAACGTCTTTGTCTTTAAGTTCATGTGTAGGATTAGGAGGGTGTCATGATCTTCATATCATCCATCTCAGTAGGATTTAGGAGTACAGGTATTTAGAGAGACAGTGCCTGGGATCCAGTAAGTATGCAAGAAGAATTAGCTATTATTGTAATTATGATTAGCAATAAAAATCATTTGGGAAGAGTCTATTTATTTAGTATTATAGTGGTGTGTAAATGAATACTATCTGCTTCTTTTCTGAAAGGGAAAATTGATCGGCTAAGTAATAAAGAAGAAAAATAATACCAGGTTTCCCAAAGAGCAGGACACTCAAGTGTTGGGAAAAGGCCAAGAATGGGATAAGAAATAGTACTGGGGAGGAATTTCCTTAAGACCTGCTCAGGAATCAGATTTTTATTAAGAAGGAAGTCTTGGTGGGGTGCGGTGGCTCAAGCCTGTAATCCCAGCACTTTGGGAGGCCGAGGTGGGTGGATCACTTGAGGTCAGGAGTTCAAGACCAATGTGGTAAACCCCGTCTCTACTAAAAATACAAAAATTAGCCAGGCATGGTGGCAGGCACCTGTAATCCCAGCTACTCGGGAGGCTGAGGCTGGAGAATCGCTTGAACCTGGGAGGTGGAGGTTACAATGAGCCAAGATCGCACTGTTGCAACTCCAGCCTGGGTGACGAGTGAAACCCCATCTCGAAAAAAACCCAAAAAAACAAAAAAGGAAGTCTCTTAACCAATGGCCCCTTTTCCCTAAGTTGCCTAGCACTGAATCTCCAGTCCACCATACTTGGAGCATGTTCAACATGTAGTTATCAAGGCAGTGTGTTTCCTTATTTTTATAGATATAAAGGTTTAGATGAAAAAGTTCTACCATTTTGCAACAGTAATCCAAATAAAAGGGTTATATGGTCAAACAGATCACGGGCAAGTACATAGTATGGTTGTAGATTTTTGGAGGGCATATATTCATATATAGGCATATTTTCAGCCAATTCAGCTTAATTCAAACATAACTTCTGTGTAAAATCTCCATGCAGTGTTGTGGCTATAAAGATGATGAAAGATAGTCTATGTTGCCAAGATTCTTACATGTCATTTTCCTAAATAGTTGTTATCTTTGGCTTATTTGTCTGATTATTGAATTAAGAAGGACTGATTTGTTCCAGAATGCATTGAATAAACTGTCTTTTGAGGTGAAATTTTGGCATTGATAAGGGAGTTAACTTTTAGGGATGAAAAAATAGAGCTCTAATGTTGAAAGCCTAAGGTTTCCTAGTGAAAATAAGTAAGGCATTTTTTTCAATGTTCATTGACGGTGTTCATTGTCATTGTTTCTGTTTCTTTCACTAATTTCAGAATTGACAAGTGAACTTGGAATCATTTAGGGTTTGTGTATATAGTTATTTCTTATCTGAATGGAAGCAAGATTCTTCACACTTTTTCCTGTGGTTTTCTACACTACATGTGTATCACAACCACTTGTGGAATTTTAAAACATTCAAAACCTTGGGGTCCATTTCTGGAGACTTGTATTCTGCTCTGATGTCTAATGGACATCTAGGATTGAGAAATCCTGCATTATTCTTGATTTCTGTTATTTGTGGCCCTCTAAAACTATAAGAAAAGAAACTAGGTCATTGCACTCATATTTTAATGTGTGTGCAAATCACCTGAGCCCCTTGTTAAAATCTGGGTAGGGCTTGGGGCTCTGCATTTCTTTGAAGTTCAAGGTAATGCAGATGCTGCTGCAGGCTTTTGGACCACACTTTGAGTAACAGAGAACTAGATTATCATTCGTCTTTTGTTTGGAAAACAATACCATAACATGACTGTAATGATGAAAATCCTGATGCCCCCTGTTGAACCTAGATCTCCCCACATCTTTCCCCTGCCTCTTTTATAAAAAACAAGAAAGAACATTATGACTTGCTAAATAACTTGCCCTTTCATTCTTTGCATGGTTAAATATATAATACCAAGGCTGAAAACTACTTTGCGGTATAGAAAGGATTTTGCAACCATAGTTTACCTCCTTAATGGAATTCTGGAAGTTAATGTTCTGGCTGATTTAAAAAAAAAAAAAAAAAAAAGTCTCGTGGGGCAATATGTACAAGCAATGGGAAGTTAAAGGGATTGAGAAAGAATATGTGTGTGACTTTCCAGATAGAGTTAATCTACATAGTCATAATCATCATTTCCTATTAACGGAATAGGCAACAGAAGATATCCACCTGTTAATCCCACCTGTTAAGAGAATTGTATTAGTCCATTCTTGCATTGCTATAAAGAAATACCTGAGACAGAGTAATTCATAAAGAAAAGAGCTTTAATTCGCTCTTGGTTCTGCATGGTGTACAGGAAACCTGATGCTGGCATCAGCTCAGCTTCTGGGGAGGCCTCGGGAAACTTCCAGTCATGGCAGAAGGCAAAGGGGGAGCAGGCATGTCACATGGCCAGAGGAGAAGCAAGGAAGGAGGAGGTGCTACAGACTTAAATGACCAGATCTCATGAGACCTCACTCACTATCAGGAGGACAATACCAAGAGGGATGGTGAGAAAACCAGCCCCATAATCCAATCACCTTCCACCAGGCCCCACCTCCAGCATTGGGGATTACGTTTGAATATGAGATTTGGATGGGGTAAATATCCAAACTATATCGAGAGTTAACTTAAAATAGGCTCTGGATATATAGTAGGTTATCAATAAATAATAGTTGTCATCCTGATTATTGTTATTAGTATTACACAAATGATGTCAATGCTCATTTTTTTCTAAGATTCTTTTAAGGGTGTGTTCTCAGCATTGGTTACAATAGCAGAAAAAAAAAATATTATGGAGAAAACTTCCAGAAGAGAAGCAAAGTCTTTAAGGAACAGAATTGAAAGAAAATATTGTAAAAACGTGTTTCCAAAAAAGTAAAATTGATCTTTGTGTTAAGTAAACACAACCAAAAGAAATACTTTTCTTATTTGTTGGTAACACTCTGGCGTTTCATTAATCCTAGCTAAGTCTCTCTAAATTTACCAATGCATATATTTCATTTTCAAATATCTCAATAGTTTCTCTTTATGGATTAAATGTTCATGTTCACTAGTGAAAACCCAGTTCCAACTGACATGTAATTTGGATATAATGGATTATAACTCTTCTTCATTGTCTTCTGAGCTGTTAAAAGAGTGTACCATGTATTCTCCCTATTGTTCTGAGTTAAAAACAATAAAAATAGGAACAAAATCTAAATTCCACATGCAGAAAAGCAGTTGGTTTTTAGTGGGCAATGTCCAAGTACTTTAAGGCACACTGGGAGCTTTCTTGTTTTGTATGCCATTGGGGCTTGTATTGGGTTGAGCTTCTGTACTTTCATCTGTGACTGCTAACCAGGAAGTACAGGAGGGAGTAAAATCTGGGAGAGATGCATAAAGAATGTTATATGCTGTAGGCATAGGAGGAACAGTCTTGACAAAAACGTTTGCAAAGAAACTAGACCTGGTTCTGCTGAAGCAACATATTTGTTCAACCTTAATGTTATGAAATACAAGGTTGTAAAGTGCGGAAGAAGCCACCTCGTGTACTTTCCCAAAAAAGATTCCTGGGATTCCTTCTTCTCCATCATCATTTCTCAGCTCCAGATTGAAATTCTTCAGTTAGTGCAGCAGAAGCCAAGCAAATTATTTTTTGGAGTTAGTCTTATCCCAGCATCACAAACATACATGCAAGATTTAAGTGTCTAATTAAGAAAAATGGGAAACAAAAGGGTATTCAATTAATGTATATTTTTATTTCTATAACTCTGTTTTTATATTTCTTCTCTTCAACATAGTAGTAGTCTATTCTGGGTCCATGCCCCCAGTCTTCACAGCTGTGTGAAGACATTTTGAGTTATACCAGTGGAAGAAATGCCCCACGTTGTGTGTGACCAACACGCTAAATAGGAAAAACTATTGGTCAAGCAAAGCTAAGTTTATTAGACTTACGTAGTAGAGGAGAATCCCAACTTGAGTTTTCATAGCCTCTCAAAAAGAGGAAAATAGGAAGCGTATTTATAATTTAAAAAGCCTGGGGTGAGTGATTTGGGGGCAAGTCTCGCAAAGTGAGGATGATTAGAACTGGCAGTTCTTGGCATAAAAACTTTGGTCTGGTGGGCAAAGTGAGATGAGTGGATGTGAATATTGGTGAGGAAGCCATTAATCTTGCTGATAAGTAACCTATTGTACTTGGTTTACAAACATTTTCTTTTTGCTTAGTCTCGTGTTCTTTAGCACAGGGACTGAAGACTATAGTGGACTCAATTCTCAATCTTGATGGAGAAATGGTATGTGTCCTATTGTTGCTGTAACAAATTACCACAAACTTAAGACTTAATAACACAGATTTCTTTTAGAGTTCTGTGGGTAAGAAGTCTGAAATGGATTTCACTACTCTAAATTCAAGTTGTCTGTAGGGCTACATTTCTTTCCAAAGGTTCTCTAGGGGAGAATTTATTTCCTTGGATTTCTCAGCTTTTAGAGGTTGCCCATGTTCCTTGACTAGTAGATCTCTCCCTCCACTTTTCGTTTGAGTCAGTATCTCTGTCACCCAGGCTGGAATGCAGTGGCACCATCCTTAGCACACAGCAGCCTCAAATTCCTGGGCCCTAGGCAACTGACCCTCCCACCTCGGCCTCTCCAGTGGCTGGGACTATGGGAGGTTGCCATCACACCCAGCCAATTGTAAAATGTTTATCCTTTTGTAGAGACAAGATTGTATTGTGTTGTCCAGGCTGGTCTCAAACTCCTGGCCTCAAGTTAGCCTCCCACCTTGCCTTTCAAAAGCGCTGGGATTACTGGCCTGATCCACCATGCCTGGCCCCTCCCTCTATCTTTAAAGCCAATAAAATTGTGTCTCTCTATTCATTCTTCGCAAAGTTACACCTCTGTCTTTCATGTTTAAGGAACCTTGTGATTATATTGGCACACCTAGTAATCTAAGATACTCTACCCATTACAAAGTCACATCGGCAAAGTCCCTTTTGCCATATAAAGTAATACTCACAGGTTCTAGGGATTAGGATAAAGACAACTTGGTGGGGGTAAAGGGGTGGAAGATGGTGTCATTTGGCCTATCATATGGAAGATGGATTTCACAGAAATTGGAAGAACCTTGTTCATTGCAGCCTTTGGCCACTAGAATGGCTATCTCATGGTATAGATAATTCTTTGGTATTTATTACTTAGCATTTATTTATATTCATAAAAAGCAAGAATTGTAGCATTTCTTCTTGGAATAAGGTTGGCTCTCAATAGGATCTATTTGATAACATTCATATATTTTGTTCTTTTTAAAAAATCTTTTCTGGGGTGATTTTAGGAAACCACTATTCTTTTCATCATATGCTAGTTAGTCCCATGAGGACCTGGGAAACCTACTTTAGATAATCATGCAAATGTAACTAAATATCTAAATACCTATTCCTACTTTTTTTTTTTTTTTTTTTTTTTTTTTGAGACGGAGTCTCGCTGTCGCCCAGGCTGGAGTGCAGTGGCGCAATCTCGGCTCACTGCAGGCTCCGCCCCCTGGGGTTCATGCCATTCTCCTGCCTCAGCCTCCCGAGTAGCTGGGACTACAGGCGCCCGCCACCTCGCCCGGCTAATTTTTTGTATTTTTAGTAGAGACGGGGTTTCACCGTGTTAGCCAGGATGGTCTCGATCTCCTGACCTCGTGATCCGCCCGCCTCGGCCTCCCAAAGTGCTGGGATTACAGGCATGAGCCACCGCGCCCGGCCCTACTTTTTATCCTCTGGAATTTTAATGTCTCCCTTTTCACTTGTCACAATACTATTTCAAATTATCTTTGGTGAGAAATGACTTGTATTTGAGTTTTTATATCTCACTGTCATGTAGATCATTCTCAGTAATGCTTTATGTGGATTAGGAATCCACCCTGCTCTCAGACACACTGTAGATAGTACTCACCAAAGTATAGAAGTCAGCAAGACAGTTGTCACCTCATTTGAAAAGCACCAGTGACAAGCATAGATTGGAGTGTCCTACTTTAGGTATTGAAAATGAAAAGCACCTGTGATTCAGAGGAAACTCCCTCCTCCCTTTTTCATTACCATAAGGTCTTCCAGCCATAGAAGATATGTGGCTCCTATGTGAAGGCCTGTTTTAAGGAAAGGGAAATTGGAAGAACTCACTGTAGATCTTAAAGATCATTTTAGTTTTACACTTTTGTGTGGCTGAAAGAAAAAAGAAATAATTATATTCCTAGTAAAGGACTTTTTTTGCTTTCATCTTCTTTTTTCTCTTCTTCCCTTTCTTCTCCTTCTCCTTCATCCTTCTTCCTCTTTCTCCTTTTTCTCTCTCTCACTCGTTTTGGTTTATCTTTTTCCTTTTTTTTCTCTTCTTGACCCTAGGAGTTTACATGACGTGTATTTCAGGCAAACCACTTAACCTTTCCTATGAAACCAATCATGTTTGTGTCTTAGGGGTAGTTCTTCAAAAGCAGAAGAAAACGATATGTACAAAGATGTTTGTCATATAATTCTTTATGTGATGAAAAATTAGAAATAACCTAAATGCTTATTAAGCAAATAATTTATGAAAGCGATGCAATGTCAATGAATATATACTGACATGGGAAGTTGCAGAACAGTAAAATTCTATTTGTGGTATATTTCTCATGTTTCTTGATCTGGAAACAAGTTACAATGTTGTGAAAATACAAAAAAGTTGTACACTAATGATTTACTCTTCTGTGTGTATGTATTTCATTTTAAATAATATTCAAAAAACCATGTCCATATTTATAGTGAGAAGAATGTGGAAAGATATATTTTTAAAAATAATGCTAGGATTGACATATTCTTGGGGCTTTTGCTTCCTACTTTACCTGCATCTAGATAATTTGAAATTTATGATGAGCATTTATTTTCATTTTGTAAAAAAAAAAAAAATTAGGAAGCCTGGTGAATTTATGGTATATAAAATCGACCTCAGTAAAGCTGTTTAAAGCAAATATGAAAGCAAAAACTACAATGAGATACGACCAAAAAGGGAGGAACCGAATTCCAGCTTCAATGTCATCTCAATAGCAGGAAGCTTAAGGAAAAAGGAGAAGAGTTTCTATGTAAATATGTAGAAGTATGATTTCTCTTATTGCAAGAAATCTTGACATTATAATTTTCAGGTCGTGTTAGTAGTGAGAAAGGCACAAGGGACAACCTTTAGATAAAGGGTAATGGAAATAGTGTTTCATACCCTTTTTGTATCCCAGAAACAAGCAGAGTGCCCAGTGCTTGACACCTAATACATTTGTTGGATAAAGAGATGGATGGAGCAATGGGAAGACCTCAGGTTCCCTCAGCTTTCTTTGGCTGTTTGTTTTTCCTGTAATGTGCTTTGCCTAGTTACTTTTGCAAAAATAAGAAGCATAGGGCTATTCTTCTGCATAGAACTCGTGGGAAATTACATGGATAATGTGTGTTAAGTGCTTTGGGAACTTCAGGTTGGAAGAAAGACCTTTTATTCAAAGCAGTATTATTTTCCAATGTTCACATCTTAAAGAACAAGGGCTGTTTCTATTATTACTACTTTCTGCTAATATCTAGCACTATAACTTGACTATTTGGACAGTTTATAACGCTAGTTGATCATCAAAATGAAGATAAGTACTGCTTTTCCCTGAAGATGTGGCTATCAGAAAAGACTTAACCAAAAAAGCTACCTGCAAATCTGATAGGGTTAAAGAGAACACCATTTGAGCAACATTTTCCATATCAAAAAGAAAAGAAAACAGGAGATAGTGGGGTGGAGTCAGTGTTAAAATTAGCCTAACATTTGGATTTTCTTTTGTCTATATTGCTCAAGTTGTCTTTTTTTAGTTAAGAATTTCTCTGAACTTACTTTTAGATTTAGTAGTAGAGAGTAAATCATTTGAAAGCTGGAGGGGTCATGATTAATCAACATACACCACCACTCTAAACTGCTCAGAACTCACTTCTCTGTGTTTAGTGCTGGCTCATTTCCATCCAGAATACATAGACAACAGCTAACACTAGATTTTCACAAGACAAGAAAGCACCTTTCATTCAGCACAAAAATCTGCAGGCACTTCCTCAGCCTCTGACTTTATTTTCCTCAGATGTCAGCAGGTCTCAATCTCCCGTTCTCACAGTCCTCACATGTCTTGTGTGGCCCATAGCTGCAGGATTCAAACTCGATTCTTCAGCACAGGATAGAGCTGGGGCACTGGCACACAGGAAATTTGACCTGACTGTCAGGAAAATACTTTTATCAGCAATGACTTTTCCTGATATGGTGACTTTATCTCTCTGGGATTAAGAAGAAAAAGCCCCAGAGCTTGAGCCATGGGAATACCAATTTGTAGAGCATTTAATATTAATAATTTAGTAAGTATTAGACTAACTAGCCCCTCAAGGCATAACCCTGAGGTATTTATCTCACATTGCTCAGCCCCTTTTGTTTAACCTCCTCTCTATTTTAGCTCTGAAATCTACATTTAGGAATTTGATCATTGTGTCAGGGGTCCCCGTAACTACTCTCAGGGTTGATGAGTCACCAGGAGCACTCATAGGACTCAGCGTATGGTTGTATTCAATGGCTATGATGCATTACAACGAAAGGTTACACAGCAAAATCAGCAAAGGGAAAAGGCTCATGGGGCTGAGTCGGGGAAAGCAGGCACAAGCAGTCAAGGGTCCTCTTCCAGTAGAGTCACACCGGGCGCACCTCGTTCCCCCAGCAGCAAGCTAAGACAACACATGCAGATGATCCCAGCTAGGGAGGCTCCTTAGCGACTCAGAACTGAAGATGGCTTTTATTTTCTTTTTTTTTTTTTCCCGGGAGACAAAAACCTCCCTCGGTCTCCCAGGCTGGAATGCAGTGGTGCGATCTCAGCTCACTGCAACCTGTGTCTCCTGGGTTCAAGTGATTCTTGTGCCTCAGCCTCTCAAGTAGCTGGTATTACAGGCATGCGCCATCACGCCCACCTAATTTTTGTGTTTTCAGTAGAGACGGGGTTTCACCATGTTGGCCAGGCTGGTCTTGAACTCCTGACCTCAAGTGATCAGCCCACCTTGGCCTCCCAAAGTGCTAGGATTACAGGTGTGAGCCACCATACCTGGTCCCAAGGTGGCTTTTTTTTTTTTTGTATAAATTTATAGGATACATGTGAAGTTTTGTTATATGTGTATTATGTGTCTCTTCTGAGCCCAAGGGTTTTTTTGTTTGTTTGGTTTGTTTTTTGTTTTTTTGTTATTTTGAGATGGAGTCTAGCTCTGTCACCCAGGCTATGGCACGATCTTGGCTCATTGCAACCTCTGCCTTCCAGGTTCAAGCAATTCTCCTGCCTTAGCCTCCCAAGTAGCTGGGATTACAGGTGTGTGCCACCACACCTGGCTAATTTTTGTATTTTTAGTAAAGACAGGTTTCACCATGTTGGCCAGGCTGGTCTTGAACTCCTGACCTCAGGTGATGTGCCAGCCTTGGTCTCCCAAAGTGCTGGGATTACAGGTGTGAGCCACCACGCCCAGCCCAAGCCCAAGGTTTTTATTGGAGGCTGATCCTGTAGATACCCTCTGCTGGGCACATACCAACATTCTAGGCTTTCATAAGGAAGCAGGGGTCTAACACAAGCTGTAGTGTTTGTACAAACAGTTCAGGCAGAGTGAGCCATGCTTAGCAGGTCTAGGAATGGTGTAAACCTTCACAAAATACAAGTTCCCAGATGCCAGGCAAGGGCCAGCCTAGTCAACAGTCCTTTTAAGGAACAACAGTCTGGACTATGTTAACCTTTTTTTGCACAATCGTGTACCAATTTACAACCTTCTCAACTTGCTTGCCGGAAGTGTAATTACACACACAGCAGATGCTTCTTGAGAACTCAAGTTGCACTTAACATCATGCATTGAGTAGGTGCTTTTCAGCTGGTCTTTGCTCTGTTCCCTCATCCCAGTGTACAGTTGTCTGCCAAGTTCTGTTTCATCTAGATTTAAAATATGTTCTGAGTCTGTCTCATTTGTTCTCTCCTCTTCTGCCTCCTGATTCAAGCCACTCTCGTTTGTAGTCTGGGTTGCTGCAATAGCGTCCAAACTGGCTTCTCTATTCAACATTTGCCTTCCTAATTTAATCCACACTCCACCAAGAGCCTGAGACTTTTTCTTGATTTAAAAATTGGATGTTACTCCTTTACTTACAATTCTTCTGACACTTCACCTTGCTCTTAAGATCAAAGCCCAGCGTCCAGATTATGACATTAGGTGATCCTGACCTGTCCAGCCCTGTCTAGAACCATTCTTTTTGTTACTTTGCATCTATGCTGGTCTTCTGTCATTTCTCCAAATTCACCAGGCTCTCTGAACCTTCAGGGTTTGAACAAACTAATTCATACATAGGAACACTGTTACCTCTTATTGTTAGTGAATGCCTATTAATTTTTTAAAGCTTATTTTAAAGATAGAGAATCACATAATTTATCATCCAAACCAGGACACTATTTAGAGGAAAAGGGGATGTTATTTATAATCATTCCAGTTCAACAACTGTAACCTGGGAATTTCAGTCACCCTACTAATAGGTCCTTCCCTTGCTGGGGCCTTTCTTGACCTCCTTCTTTTAAATGAATCACTGTGTTTCTCTATATATAACAACCTATCATTTTCCACCATACTACTCATCTCATAATCACTAATTATATCATAATTTATGTGATTATTTGTTTAACATCTTTTACCTCCACTAGGCTGTGAAGTTTCAGGAGCTCATGGGCATTATAGCCAGCACCCTACAGAGCTAGTAGATACTTTATAAATAGCCCCTTAATTTGTAATTAGATACTAACAGTGCTTCTAAGCAGACATTAAAAAAAAAAAAGTGTCTCTTGTTTATTCCACTCGCTGTATTCTCCTTTCATCTCCCCCCACATTGAAGTTGTATTTGAGAGGCTCTTCCTTAAATTCCTGGGTTTATCTTTCAGGTGTCTTTACTGAATACATAAGGAATTAATTTGGTTATCTTAGAAAAATGTAGTGGTGGACTGTTTAGTGGTGGGATGTTTTACCTCTGCAAAAAAGTCTCAGGCTTGTGGTTTTGTTAGTGATTTGGACACATTTTAAATAAAATGGGCATACTTCAAATTTCATTTCATTCTTTAAATTTTTAAACAGGAGTTTAAAACAGTTTAAGTAGTTTTCAATAAAACAGTGGCTGAGCATGGTAGCACACACCTGTAATCCTAACACTTTGGGAGGCTGAGGTGGGCAGATTGCCTGAGCTCAGGAGTTCGAGACCAGCCTGGGCAACACGGTGAAACCCCATCTCTACTAAAATACAGGGCATGGTGGCATGCACCTGTAGTCCCAGCTACTTGGGAGGCTAAGGCAAGAGAATTGCTTGAACCTGGGAGTCAGAGGTTGCAGTGGGGCGAGATGACACGACTGTACTCCAGCCTGGGTGACCTAGTGAGACTCCATCTCCAAAAAAAAAAAAAAAAAAAAAAAGTCCTCTACATAACCATTAATTCCTCTCACCATTGGAGGGAGGAATTTTGCTCTGACCTCCTGGAAGTGGTAAACACAAAATAGATTTCTAGGAGCAAACCAATAGACTCTTCATGCTATGCAGAACCTCTGCCATTTCCTAGTCCTTTGAGTGGTAATCCAGACATTGCTATTTTTTTTCTTTTAAGGCCTAAATAAGTCATATAGATCTACAAGTTGTAGGTAGAATTAAAATTTACCCCAACTGCTATAATTTTGCTATTTTGATATTATATTCTCTAGAGATAGAAAGCTTTTATTTTGTTCTGATTCAACTCAAAGTGAAGAGTTTGTCAACTTTCAAGCCACGTATTTTCTGCTATCTTTAGAAACTCATTTATAAGCCAGTTTCTACATCTGGGCATCACAAATTTGCATGCATACATATGTCAAAAGTTAGTACACTTAACATCTGTGTCTCTTTAAAGGATAAGAAAAAAGTTGAGAATTGGAATCAAGTTTGCTTTAATTACAGGATAAAGGCTTTTCATTGCTCTTAATTCAGTATAACAATTTAAATTTTAATTGTGAAAACTGGTGTGGATGTAGTTGATTGCCCACCAAGAAGGTTCCTCTTTGCCAGCAGAGCTATCCTCAACTATAAGGATGAAAGATGAAATACTCGATGTTTTCTGAAGCCCCTGTGGCCAAGTAATAATAGGCATTTGACACAATGGGACCTGAAGGGAAATGTGAGAATAGGGTCTGACTGTAATCAGCTTGGTGACTTCTGGCAATGATTCCCTGGTGATAAAAAAACAGCTGTATGAGGAGAAACTACCACTTCTTCTGCCTTTGTATAAGAGTATTAAGGATATGATGCCTGGAGCAATAGCAGGCCCATTGTGATCATGAAAAGTCAACCCTGGTGATGGCTGAGTGGAAGGATGAGAGGAGCTGGGGCATTCATGACATTATTAGGTAGTTGCACCAGCCTTGGAAGCATCTTATCCCCCAACACTTGTGCTTGGGAGATAATACATGTCTTTGTAGTGTAAGCCACTTTTAGTTGAGATCCTTTTTTT
This sequence comes from Homo sapiens, assembly GCF_000001405.40. Lineage (NCBI taxonomy): Eukaryota > Metazoa > Chordata > Mammalia > Primates > Hominidae > Homo > Homo sapiens. The sequence continues at coordinate 35,400,233 of NC_000008.11, forward strand.
TTTAACGGAAAAAATGCTGATATATTGGGAAAATTAATTTTAAAAATCCAAATGCATTTTAATAAATTTACCTTTAAGATGCCTATATTGTGAGTGTGTAGTTGTGTGCATATTCTGGTGATATGTTATTAATTCAGTATCTGAAATGGGAAGATAGATATTTTCCCATTGGGCTTAACCATCAAGCTCCTCATTATCCCGGATTACGCTAACAACAATTGAAGCAAAATTTTGTCAGGCAGGGACACTTTCTTCTTTGCTGGTCTTTTCTGTTCCTTCCTTATAGGTCTAAAAACAGATGTAAACTTCATTTTTTTGGTTAATAAAACAAAACCCTGCACTCACCTCTCCTAGCTGTGTTTTCCTCGGTCATTAGGGTAACAAATATACCAGCATGTTTTGTTGGTTTTTATCAGGTTACACCCAGAGGCATCATCTGATAGTTGATGAAATAAATCTTGACAGAATTTCATAGGCATTCCACTCCTGTCCTCATCTCCCACCACATTCAAAATTGGCCGATTATAATCCTTCGTCACCCCTCTCATTCAGCTCCACTGGTGGGGAACAGTAAGAGAAGTGGGATGAGAAAATTTGTAATTGCCACTTTTCTTGTTTTAGTTACTTGTTTTTGCATCTTATTGAGTTTTGTGCACGTGTACAGTGGAGGGGGCATGTATATAACTGATATATAATGCCTGTTTATTAGCACTGGATGTGTCCCCAGGAAGCCGTCAGTCCTGCTGATTTCTTGGCACCAGTAATACAACATGCATTCATACTATTACTAAAATTACCAGAAATAAACATCAACATTATATAATTATAGCAATGACAGCCTAGAGTAACTATAGTCCTCTTACAAAAGAAGGTAAAATACTCATAATTAAAAAGGAAACAGTCCATTTAACCATGATAAAGATACTGCTATAAAAAACAAGGGTCCAGGTGCGGTGGCTCAAAATGAGGGGCCAGGTGCAGTGGTTCACACCTGTAATCCCACCACTTTGGGAGACTGAGGTGGGAGGATTACCTGAGGTCAGGAGTTTGAGACCAGCTTGGCCAACATAATGAAATCCCGTCTCTACTAAAAATATAAAAATTAGCCGGGCATAGTGGCACATGCTTGTAATCTCAGCTACTCAGGAAAGTGAGGCATGAGAATCATTTGAACCTGGGTGGCAGAGGTTGCAGTGAGCCGAGATCCGGCCACTGCACTCCAGCCTGGACAACAGAGCAGGACTCCATCTCAAAAAGGGAAGGAAGCTGGGAGAGAAATACTTGACAGATGAACGAGACAGTTCTGAGATGAGGACACCTCGTTTCTCCTTGCCTGTCTTTTATTTAAGACTTCATAATATCATATGTTTCAAAGACATTTTAAGAGGAAAGGGTACACTGCTTGTTTCAACCTTATTCCTCTCTTTCCCTAAACTGAAAGTTGGTGCAGCAGACACCAGGCTAGAATAAAGAGACGTCTTACTAAATCCCTGTGCACCAGGTTCATATTCCAGAACAAATTAAAGAAAAAAACATCTCTAATGTGTACGGGTTCTCTAGAAAACTGTCTTGGATGAAGATGTACAGCAAAGACCTTTCTGAAGCCTTCAAAAGAAACTGGCAAAGTCGGCATTATCCTGTGAAAATACTGCCATCTTTCCTGCTTACTTTCATCTCCTGGACTGTGTTCTTAGTGAGATGTGAGAAATATTCATCTTAATTTTGTGTTGTAAATAATGGATTGAGCCTGGACAGCTTTTTCTCGTGTACATACCTGCGAACACTCTGATCATTCTGTGCATGATTGTTTTTCTGCTCCGTGTGGATCACTGAAAGGCCCTGCACTTCTCAGTGTTAACAAACTGATAGGCAAGGAGTTTGGTCTTTTCATGCTACGTGGAGTGGCTTATAGAAGATGTAATCTTTATTTCATTTATCTGTCATTATCCCCTCTCCACCTGTATTAATCCATTTTTATACTGCTGATAAAGACATACCCAAGACTGGGTAATTTACAAAGAAAAAGAGGTTTAATGAACTCACAGTTCAACGTGGCTGGGGAGGCCTCACAGTCATGATGGAAGGTGAAAGGCACGTCTTACATTGGCAGCAGGCAAGAGAGAATGAGAGCCAAATGAAAGGGGCTTCCCTTATTTATAAAACCATCTTATCTCGTAAGACTTACCACCACCGGAACAGTATGTGGAAAACTGCACCTGTGATTGAATTATCTCGCACTGGGTTTCTCCTGCAACACGTGGGAATTATGGGATCTACAATTCAAGAGGAGACTTGGGTGGGGACACAGCCAAATCATATCATCACCTACATGAGAATTTGAAATGTCCACATAATCCATGTTCTCATGACACACTGGGAGACTGGTTTTCTTGGTCTGTTCACCAACTCGGTGATCAGCTTATGTGATAATGGCTTCTCATCCTGGCCTCCAAGTGTTGGAGGCATTAGGATTCTGCAGTAGGATGCTTAGTTTCCTGCTACTGCTTCCTCTTCTGACCATCCTTACTAACCTTAGCACTTCTTACTTCTTAGCCCCAAAAGAATAGTGAGAGGTTGAGTACTGTGGCCCTTAAGGGATTGGGGACAGTTTGATGTACCTCAGATCATCCTGTTCCTAATTTCCCTAGGAGCTCTCCATATTCGTGCCTACCTTGGATCTGGTGCTGCCCCACTCTTGGAAAGCCACACCTGTGTCAGTGTTCATTTTGCCTCATAGACCTGTTCTTTCTCTCCAGTATCATGGTCAAATCCTGCTAGGTCATTACAAGATGGACACTATCAGGTTCTGGGAGTCAGGGAATACATGAGCTAACATTTACTAGCTTTTGCTGTTTCTACTCCATGTCACCTATATTTACTAATCAGGCCAGGTCATCACATTATACCATGTAAATCACAGAAATGAAAGCATAGCTATTTGTAATGTTCTTACCTTTTGCTAAAGCTTGTTGGCCAGCAACCCTATGTCACTGTGTCACATTTATAAAAGCTGCATTCAGGGCACCTCCTTAGCAAAACTGCTGTGTGTTAACACCTTTGTGTTGCTACCTACTGTGGCAGTCTGGGCAGCTAAAGGAAGATGCTTCTGTATCTAGCCTAAAGCCTACTCCTTAGAGTTTCAGTCCTCCTCACCATCCCCAAATCCATTGTGATGCATAGACTGTGAGTAAGACACTGAGCTAGGCACTGAGGACAGAGTCTTCGGAAGTACCTAAAATGGAAGAAAGTGCAAATATACATTGTGTGTTCCTTACCTAAAATGTTTGTGACCAGAAGTATTTTGGATTTCTTTGCACTTTGGAATTTTGGCAAAACACATAACAATTGAGCATCATAACATAAAAATCCAAGATCTGAAATACTCCAGTGACCATTTTCTTTGAGCATCATGTTGGCACTGAACAAGTTTCAGATTTGGGAGCATTTTGGACTTTTGGGTTTTTCGATTAGGGATGCTCAACCCATACCTCAATGCCATTCTTTCGCTCACAATAAGAAAATTCTGCTGCTAATATAGAGAATGACCAAAAGGGTCATCGTCATTGTCTTCTTCAACTGAATAATTAGATCAAGCTAAATTCAGATAGTCACTCCTGGAGGAGCAAAATCTGCTGTCTCCTGGACTGCATTCCCTCTGTCCATCTTCCCCTCTGTTCCCTCCACTGACATTCTCTCCATTCCCCCCACCAAGTCATATCTCATGCCAGCTCTCTGGTTTGCTGTGTGAGATGACAGTGTGGGTGTTGATGCGTATTGCCTGCACTTGTTCTCCCAGCCTGAGGTCCCGCAGATGGTATTCCCTTCTCTAGCAGCTACTCCCTAACAGCCTGAGACAGCCTGTTATAGGACATGAAGTTGCTAGAGCCTCTCTTATATTGAAAACAAAGACAACCCTTCTGATAAATGGTAACTGTTGGTAGATCTATTAGGAAAGATAACAGTATGTGGAGATGGGCTGGAAGAGGAGTTTGCCCAGCATGGTTAGAAATTTCAGAAGGAAGAAGCCTCTTAATGGTTTGTCAAGAGGCCAAGAAAGCCATTGAAGGGTTGAGTCACATATGTGAGATACAATGTACCATCCTGACACCCAGCAGCAGGGTTTGAGAAGGAATAGAAGGAATAGATACTAGTTATAAAGAAAGCTGGGTTTTGTGGTGCTTGGACTTAGAAGGTTTGGGTTCAAATGCTGTCTATACTTTCCTGCTGAAAGTATGATCTTAGAACAGCAGAGTTGATGTCATCTAGGAGATTATTAGATTATTAGAAAGGGATATATTCAGGCCTCACCCTGAACTATGCCAAATTAGAATCTCCACTTCAACAAGATTTCCCATGTGATTTTTTTTTTTCTTGAGACGGAGTCTCGCTCTGTTGCCCAGGCTGGAGTGCAGTGGTGCAATCTCGACTCACTGCAACCTCTGCCTCCTGGGTTCAAGAGATTCTCCTGCCTCAGCCTCCCGAGTAGCTGTGATTACAGGTGTCTGCCACCACTCCTGGCTAATTTTTTTGTATTTTTAGTAGAGATGGGATTTCACCACGTTGGCCAGGCTGGTCTTGAACTCCTGATCTCAGGTGATACCCTGGCCTCGGCCTCCCAAAGTGCTGGGATTACAGGAGTGAGCCACCGCGCCTGGGTCCCATGTGATTCTTATGTACATTCAAGTTGGAGAAGCATTGGTCTGTACTAAGAATGGCTAAAGTGACTTTTTAAGTTAGACGCTATACTTCAATATTCTATTCTTAACTAAAAAATGAGTTTTAGAGCTACCTCACTATTAGTGCACATATTTAAAAAATATATTTGGATGTATTTATGAAACATAAAGCTTTTTAGAAACAATATGTGAGCAAAGAGCTGTTAAAGCCAAGAATTCAGAGACTTCCTGCAAGCAATCTCATTTTTCATACCAGCAGCATTCCATGCCCAAATAGTGGTAGCTGCATGCACCCAGATAATGGGGAAAGGAGGAGCAACGAGAAACTCAAGGTTGGGTGTATGGGGAGGCTAGTGGTGGTGTGTATGATAGAAATCAGGTGGTGTGTAATAAGATCATATTGGTTCCCAAAGAAAATGAACCTTGTATCCTAATTAACATGTTGCATTTTTCTGAAATTCCATAGACTGAATAGATAACATCATAGAGTTACTTCTGGATTTAAGCTGAGCCTATGATGCCCATATTACCTTGTGCCAGATTTTGACCAAATGGCTTTAAATTGTATAGCAATGTGACCTGGCAATAGCAATATAGATTTAATAATAATTGGAAATGATTAATTTGCATATTCACATTTCCAATGGTAAATGTGAAAGAAGTATAAGAAAAAATTCTCTCCACCTTTTTGTTTCTATTTCTGTCAGAATTAGTCTTCATTTGGTAATGACGGTTCCCCTAACGTTAAACTGTTTCTCGGAGTTGACATTCTCTATTCACAACTTTTTTTTACGGGCTCTGAAATCATATTATCACAGTTGTTTCATTTTCTAATTTTCATCTTCATTTCTAGTTACAACTCTGACCAGCTTTTAGCACTTCTTTCTTGTAGGAAAATATTATTACATGTAACAATTTCCTTTTAGTGTGCTGCACTGCAGTATGTAAAAATAATATCTATGTGAATATAAATATAATTCACTGAATTTAGAATCCTGACATATGTAACTCAAAGATTTAGCTGTATTCTAGGTTTGCAGACTTAAATGGACTAAAGGGAAGGAAAATGCAAAAATTAAATATTTCTGAGTATGCTAAATTTGTTAATGTAGCATTAAGTTAATTATGGACTACAAATAACTAAATGTGTTTAATGAGATTCTTTGATTTTTCCTTCTATTTTATCATATTTCAGGCTTGATAGTAAAATAGTGCCTCAAACGGGATAGACTAGCGATAACAAACTTTGATCCTTCCAATTATAATTACTTTTTAAAAAGGCCTTTAAAAATAACTGAATTATCTTTAATAACATATGTTGAATGCCAAACCAAAAGATGACAATACTTGGTAAACTGTTAACTGTTTTCACTATTTGCATCCTGAGGTATTGACAAATTGCACATATTTTTAGAAATCATAAGTGATGTTACTTTGCAAGGAGCCTTTTTCCTGCAAGTTATTTTTTTATGAAAATGAACTTTTCTATGACTCACCGTGTTTCTCAGTGATAGCAAATACTGCCACTTTTTTCAGCATGATTAAACTTAGCTACCTTAATTTTCCAAGATGGTACTTTAATCTCAGTCATATTGGGCTGGTCCTGAAAAATTGTTGTAGGGTTATTTGGTCTAAAGAAGTTCAAAGAGTGAAAGACAGTACCAGCTTCAGCTTCAAAAAGTATATTTCCCAGAGAGAATCTCGGACTGAGTGAAGTGTGGGAAGGCCAGGGAGGGAAAATAAACAGGAAGTTCTCCCTTTCCTTTTAAGGGCTTCCCTGGGGCTCTGATACAATTTTAGGACTTGAAGTGATGCTCTGGATTTAGGAAGCTGAAGTCTAAAGAATGCTAGTGTCTTGTTCAAGATCCTATAACTAGTTGGTGACAGTTAAGATTATAATCTCCTAGTTTAGCAGTTTTGTTTTCCAGTTTTATGTTCATTACACCACAAATTTGCACATACAGAAGAATTACATAATGTGTGTATGATGCACGTATAGATGGTATATATGGTGCATGTATATATGTGTATACATGCATATATATGTATACATATATGAACTATCATGTACAGACATGCCCTGCATAACGACATTTTAGTTAACAATGGACTGCATATATGACCATGGTCCTGCAAGATTGTAATACTGTATTTTTACTGTACCTTTTCTATATTTACATATGTTTATATACACAAATACTTACCATTGTGTTATGGCTGCTTAAGGTATTCAGTACAGGAACATGCTATACAGGTTTGTAACCTAGTGCAATAGGCTATACCATGCAGCCTAGGTGTGAAGTAGACAACAATATCTAAGTTTGTGTAAGTGTACTCTATGATGTTTGCACAATGTTGAACTTGCCTAACGATGCATTTCTCAGAACATATCCCTGTTGTTAAGTGACACATGACTGTATATACATATTAGTATAAGTAAAAAAAAAACACTTGATAGTAATATTTTTGAGGATTAACTATTTTTGATTTTCTGGTCATATATTTTGCAAAAGCAGACAGACAGACACCACTACACTGGATCTGATCACTTTCTCAGAGGAGTCCCGGAAGTTGCACTACAGAAATACAGGTTTTCATTTGTATGTATGTATGTATGTATGTATGTATGTATGTATGTATTCCTTTTAAGTTCAGGGTAGAAGTTCAGGTTTGTTACATAGGTAAACTTGTGTCATGGGGGTTTGTTGTACAGATTATTTCATCACCCAGGTCTTAACCCTAGTACCCATTAGTTATTTTTTCTGATCCTCTCCCACCTCCCACCCTCCACCCTCTGAAAGGCTCCAGTGTGTGTTGGTCCCCTCTATGTGTCTATATATTCTCATCCTTTAGCTCCTGCTTATAATTGAGAACATGCAGTATTTGGTTTTCTGTTTCTGTGTTAGTTTGCTAAGGATAATGGCCTCCAACTCCATCCATTTCCCTGCAATGACATGATCTCTTTCTTTTTTATGGCTGCATAGTATTCCATGGTATATATGTACCACATTTTCTTTATCCAGTCTATCCACATTTTCTTCATCCAGAGCATTTAGGTTGATTTCATGTCTTTGCTATTGTTAGTAGTGCTGCAATGAACATACACATGCATGTTTTAAAATGAAAGACTAAACTGCAATTATTCCTTAATCATTAGATCATTTAAAATTAGCTCTCTGTCAGAGGAATGTTTGTGGTCATTCATATCAATTTCAGATAGGCACTTTTATGAAAATATTAAGTTATTAGTATTTGAATAAATGCAATAAGATCTATTTTAAACATGCTATGTGTAATGATTTGTTTTCAATGTTTACTTTTAGTTTACTCAGCAATTAAACATGAAGGAACTAGTTTATCATCTCCTTTTTTTATAATTATGCTCCTGAAAGTTCTTTTCTTTCTTTTTTATTTATTTTTTTGGTTTAATATGATGATGTAGATATGACAATCTAGGAATAAACACCCAAATTTTAACAATGATAGTCTTAACGCACATCAGGAAAAATGCAAAGAACAGAATGTAAAAAGTCCGTTGGAGGAACCTCCTTTCTGTGTGTACCATTTTGTCATATTATGTTAAATGAAAATTACATGGTGAGCCATACTTGGACAATTGGCCCCTATGAAACTGTTTTCTGCTGACGTTTCGCTGCTTGTTTATTTATATGGCTGTCAGAGCGTGACTAAAATGGGTTATTTTGTGTGTATGTGGGAACCGGAAGGGGTATTTCCTATATTAAAGAGTGTGGTTAATTGTTGAATGCCTTAATGCTACCACAATTTAAAACCCACATTCACCCATAAAACTTAAATCCCACAGTGTAACCATATGTGGGTACATAGAGATTAAAAAGAAAAAAAAAACTACTACCAATCACAAATGTCCATGGCCTTAAGTATTTTAATTTACAAACAGTAAAGCATATAGCTCTATGAATTTTGACAAATGCATAGAATTGTGTAATCACCATCACATTCAAGATACAGAGTAATTATTTTATTTCTCCTAAATCTCCCTCGTGATTTGGAAAACACTCCATTCCTAGCTACTGGCAACCAACTTGAAAACTCCTATAGTTTTGCATTTTCTAAAGTATCTTATAAATAAATCACACAGTATATATCCTTTTAAGTCTAGCTTCTTTCACTTAATGCTTATGTGTATCATCCTTGTTGTATGAGTCAATAATTTGCTTTTATTTCTCAGTTGTATTCCATTGTCTGGATGTATAACTGAAAAATATTTGAGTTGGTTCCAGTTTTGGGCAATTGTGAATAATGCTGCTTTAAAAATTCTCACATGGGTTTCTCTGTGGACATACGTCTTCATTTTTCTGGGGTAAATATCTAGGAGTGTGGTAAGTATATGTGAACTTGTAACAAGAAATTTAGCAACTCTCTCCCAAAGAGGCTGTACCATATTTCATTCTGCATTTCCATCAGCAGTGGATGAGAGCTCCAGTGCCTCCACAGCCTTGGTGTTGTCAGCTTTTGCTTTTGTTGTTGTTTGTTTGTTTTCATTTTATCCTTCTAATAGGTGGATACTGGTTTCTCATGGTTTTAACTTAATTTTTTGTAATAACTCATGAGGTTGAGGATTTTTAATATGCTTATTTGTCATCTACCTATTTTCTGTGGATATGTGTCTTTTTAAATCTTTTGCTCATTTTTAAATTGGGACTTTTGCTTTCTTTTTGAGGTTTGGGAGTTCTTTATACATTCTGAGTATAAATTTTTTATTGAATATGTGATTCGGATACATTTTTTCCCAGTCTCTGGCTTGTCTTTTCATTCTCTTAGCCTTATGTTTTGCAGAGCAAAAGTTCTTAATTTTGGTTTACCAAGTTTTTCCCTATGATCATGCCTTGATGTCACATCTAAACCCATCATCACCAAACTTAATATGCAGATTTCCTCCTATTTTTAAAGAAATATTATAGATTTACATTTTATACTTAAGTCAGCAGTCCATTTTGAGTCAGTTTTGTATAAATTATGATTTAAGAATCTTAGCTCTTTTTTTTTTTTAAACATAGCATACCTGGTTGTAAAGCAACATTTGTTGAAAAACTGTCCTTTCTCCATTGAATTTCCTTCGCATGGCCTCCTCAAAATTGGGGAGAATTGACACTTGAACAGTAATGAATTTTCCAATCTACCACCATGGGAACTCTCCACTTTACGTCTTGGATATATGTTTAATTGGAGATTATTCTCTAATTTGAGAAAATCTAGTAACTCACATGAGCAACTATTGTCTGGTACGTAGTAAGCATTCAATAAATACTTACTGGATAAAGTAGCAGCTTAACAAAGATACTACTAATTTTGCTTTTTCTCCCCATATACTGTCAGCTAGGGAAAACCTCAGAAGTAAAGGAATGTACACATTACCTTAAAAAAAAGAAAAAACAAGTCTCTATGGGATTTGCCGTAATGGTTACTGAGTTCAGTTGTCAAAATGATGTTCTAGCAGTACCATGGAAGGGTTTGTTTCTTCTTTGAATAGGGGAAACTAACAAGTGGCTTTGTAAGGCAGGATACAGTTTGTTTTTAAAAAGGTCCTCTCCCTCCTCCTTTCTCATTTAAGTTTGAGTGAGATTTTTGGATCTTATTAAGAGTCTTGGTATTGTGGAATAGAAAGAATGCAAAGAACATCTCTTTCAGTGATTATAAAATTTTATTTTTCATCAGAGCACCGTTTTTCAAAAGAAATCTTACCCAGAAACACAGTCAGAACAGATAAAAGCAGAGCTACTCAGGTTGAACTGAGCTCTGCAGAGATATTTGAAAGTCTCATATCAATACTGCAGTGATGAGAAAACAGAGTCTCAAAGAGATTATGTAACTTGCCCAAGGTTGCACACGAAATTGATGTGGAAGCGTGGAGCCCCCATCTTCTGATTCTTAGGACAAAGCTCCAAATGACTGTCTTTTCACATTTTTTCTCAGGTTGTATTACATGTTTCTATGGGAACTGTGTTTTATATTTCCTTTGCACGCTATCATGAGAAATGTGCCTGGACTTTTTCTTAGCTTAAATATTTGATTTGAGGTGTGGACACCTTGCAGTCCCTTCCCTGTAGGAAGAAGCTCTCATTAATGCTAAGCCTCCCCTGTTGATATTTTATTTATGTTATTCCTGCATCCAGATGGAAAATATTGGTAGACCTGGGAGATAGAGATCACTGAAAACTAGATAACAGGATAGTTTGAGAGGGGCACCTAGTTAGTACAGGACAGTGCTATTCTAGCGACGACCCATGGCTCCATGAGCACCATGGAGGTGCTTCTGAACTTAAAACTTTGTTTTTATCTTGGTGTAAAATGCTTCCTGATATCTCAGAGATGATGAAAAACCCTCCTGAGATTTGCAAATTGAGTTGTTTAAACCTGTTGCAAGTATAATTCCTTAAACATGTACATTAAATGTGAATAAACAAGAAAACCCCAAACAGAAATTGGATGAGTCCTACCTAAGATGACAGTCACCATTCCTAATTTGAGAGTAGCAGCACTCTTTCCTAACCCTAAATATTTTTTATGGGGCAGAGATTTTATGAAAGCCACTTACTCATGTGTGCTGAATGCCCAGAACAGTGCTCACACATAGTAGACACTTACTAAATTTTTCATGAATTGAATGAAAGATGAAATAAAATAGTTCTCATTTAGATCTCAGCTTGAATATCACCTATTTAAAGATGTCCACCCTGGCCATCTTACCTGTAAACCACAACCTCATCATTCTTAATTCCTTTAACTAACTTTATTTTATTTAAATCTTATAAATAGCACTGACATTGCATTATATGTATATTTATTCATTTTCTCTCTTACCCCCTAGAATAGAATCTCCAGGAGAGCAAGGACTGTTTAATTTTTTTTATCAATGTTTATCGGAAGTACCCAGAATGGTCCTTGCCATATTATATTTTTAAAAGTGTTCAATATGTGTTCCTTGAATGAGTAAAATGCTTCATATCTGATTGGCTCTATTCTACTCAAAATGAAAGACAAGATCTATGTCACCTCATGTCCTCGCCTGTCCCCGTGATACAGGGAAATCATTAAAGAGAGAGGAGTAGGTATTTCAAAATGAACACAACATCTTTAACTGAAGAAAGTGTATGTGCTGTTGTTTACCTGACTTTTTAAAAATCACTCTGTTACTTTATTGGTGTGTAAACTGCCTCTGGTCAGTGTCTGGTGGTCTGCTTTACATCATCTTCAGTAGAATTGCTTCCAGTACATGTTGAATGCAGGATTGGCTGTTAGGTTCCCTGAGCTCCTGCCTTTTATTCTAATTTTAGAACCCTCCATTGGGCACCAGTTAGGATTATACTTAAATTGTCCTCACTGACAGTAATGGGGAGAAAATGTTCTTCTTAGATTGGTGGTATTGGCTCTTCTGATCTGATCTTATGCTAAAAATGTAAGCACTATTGCATTGAGCAGAAACAAATGATTTGACAGAGACTTCAGAGGTGTTCCCTTGGGCTAAGGATGCTCACTGTTTCTGTTGCCTGGGCCCCTTGCTTTTTGTATGTTATGACAAAAAAAAAAAAGCACTGAACCACAATCAGAAAGATCTGACTTCTATTCCTAAATACCACAGGTTCTTTATGACCTCAAGCAGAATTCTTAACCTCTCCCTCCCATGGTGTTATTATCTTTAATATGATAAAAGTGTCATCTTCCCTTTAGAAATGGAAATCTTAAAAAGATGAATCAACACATGTAAATAAAGCACTATGAGGCCTTTAGGAAGGAAGTTCTTACCATGAGATAAGACACCAGTAGGTTGGCCATTCTGCTATGTTCTGATGAGACTTTTCTACTGAGTAGACTGCTTGTTATCAGGTGTGGGAGATGGCTCCAGTGCTCTCCTATTTATTGTGCATAAGAGTTAGATGTTCGTTCCAACTCCCAGGACTAGTAATCTAGAAACTGAAAGGAGCTCTGATTCCATGGAGGGGTGCAGGAAATTCTTTGGAGAGGAAGTCAGGTATGCATGTAGGTCTACAGAGGGAGTGCTTCATAACACACGTGTGGGTCTCACTGGATTCTTTTTGAACATATGAAATGTCCTGGTTCTATTGAATTTCACTGTCAATTCAGTTTCTTGTTTACGCTGACAGGCTGCAAATGCGCTATGTAGTGGATTAATGCTAGGAGCTGCATGCAAAGTTTGCCAGTAACTGGTTTGTTTACTTCAAGGGGCAACCATGAATTTCACTGTCTAGTCAATGCAAAACGAATCTACATTAGCTATGTTCCATGCTCCTGCATCTTAGATTTCTGAAGGCACCCCTCTCAGAATTCCTAATCAGGTGGGGGCGGGTCTGTGTGTGTGTGTGTGTGTGTGTGTGTGTGTGTGTTGTGTGTGTGTGTGTGTTTTCTCTCTTCTTCACTGTTTTGGGCAAATTGGAGATGGACATCTGGAGATTAGGGTTTTTACAGACTTTGAAAAAAAAAAGTTATTCAGCTGTTTAACTCCCCTCTTAAACTCATTAAGAATATAGCCAGAAGCCTGAAGCCACCATGGGCTTTTTTTTTTTTTTAACTGCGGCATTCTGCATGTAAAAATAGCAGCTGTTGGTGTGCTGCTGACAGGCATTTATTAAAGGGGATGATGATGATGATGATTGCCCTTTGACTTTCTGCTACTATCTAAGTCACATGACAACATTTAGAAGTAGTCAATTTGATCTTGATGAAAGGATCTCTCTACCCAGGGAACTTGTCATAGAGTACAAAGCCCTGACTACTCACTCCAAATTCCTTGTGATCCATTTAACTTAATGATTATGATCTTCATAAATGCCATGTACAAGTACTGAGACTGGCTTAAGAAATCACAGAAAGTGGATGAAAAAGGAGCTACCATAATCAATCTCTTAAGTGGGTAGCAGAAAGGGTTGTTAGTTTTTCTAGTAGGATAAGTCTTTAAGTTTTCTGTCCTATAGAATATTATAGAGTATGGATGCTACATCAGTGGGTCTTAGTGCTGGTCATATATTACAACCATCTTGAGGGCTTTTAAAAAAGACTTGTTCTAGGGCCATTAAAGCTGACCTCAGATTCTTGACTGGAATGGGACCCAAATCCTGATGTGTTTGTTTTTGTTTGTTTTTGTTTCTGAAGCTCTCTAGGTTGTTTGAAAGTGCTGCTAAGGTTGATAACCACCTGTTTTAGTATTCATTAATTCTACTGTTTAATTTTTTTCTCTGGCTGTATATACTGGAGCCAAGATAGGAACAAATAACATCTAAAATAGACCCAAGAGCATATGACCAAATTGTGATTACAAAGTTCCTCAAAGGCAGGAACAATGTATTTATTTCTCCTTTGTGTGCTCTTGAATACTTATGCTGTACCTTAGTGCAGGATTTTAGTTGTCCTAAAGTTTCAAAATTATGGTGATTACTTTGCCATGTAGTTATAACACATTATCTTACCTCCATCCATCCTCAGACTGTAGCTTCCTTCTTCTACCTTTGCTATACTTTTCTTACAGCTGCTCTTGCCTTATTTAAAAAAATAGTCTACCTGTTGTTAGTCCAATATAGGTGTTCTAACTTTTTATTTACTAACCTAAAACTCTAGAATTAAACCCCAAAACTAGGATCTATATAATGATCCTTTCTTTTATTAAAAGGGATTTTTTTCAAAACTAAAAAATTACACAGGCCATAAGTTTAGAGGAATTTGAGGAAAATTTCTGAGGAAGTTAAGCTTCTTGAAAAATAATTCATTGTCTTATTTGTCACATTTACCACAGGCTGTGAAAAGTCTGACCTGGGCTGAGGTTTTAGAATTTACCTTTGAAGAAATTCTCTCATCAGTCACACTGGTTGTCTTATTCATTCCTAGCTTTCCTTCAACTCTTGGAGGGTCAGTTTTCCAAATCATAATAAACTTAATTTCTTTTTCAGTCCCAGTAGTGAACTTGGAATTATGCACTAGGCCCTGAACAAGAAGACTCATTATTTTTCTCTATTTTTTGTCATTTAGTAAGAAATATTTTCCAATGACTGTCACAATGCTTAGTGGAACTCAACTAGGAGTGTGCCAAATTATCCAGGGAACCTTAAGGTACCTGTGGGTAGACCTCACCTTAGGTCTAAATCAGAATTTTGTTCAAAGAAAGGCAGGTTGGGTGCCTACATAACTATATAAAAACAAAATCATGTAGGAATTCTGCAGAGAGTATTTTGTCTCTCCCAACATTATTACAGAAGTTATGATAGATTTTTCTTCTAGTGTTTTATAGTTTGTTTCTAAGTCTGTAATTGATCAAGACATAATTGTGTGTTGATGGACTGACAAACCTCAGGATTTGGCTTTATTGTTGTCTGGATACTCAAGTCACCCCACATGAATGGGTGATTCTGATGTGAAGTTAGCATTCAAAATTAAATTTCCAGACCCCCTTTGACAATGCAATCCACCTGTTGTTTATTTTCACTTCTTTTATGGATTGAATAAGCAATAAATGTATGTCATATATTATTTAAAATCTATTCAGAGTTAAACAGGGAAGATAAATTCTCCATCTCACTTTGTAAACAAATGGCCATTTGGTTTTACCCTATCTCTTACAACAACCACTCTTTGGTTTCTTGAATCGTCTCCCCCTGATTCCCTTTCATCAAGGTAGCTCTATACTTCTCTTACACATTGACCATGGGATGCAGGAAGTACCCTGTGACTTGCTAATGAGGAATTGTCCAGGCAGCTACTTTGAATTTCTAGTCACCAGCTGTTCCCACTACTTTCCTGACTTTTGTGTTCATTTTTAGTTATACCACTTTGAACACTAAGTATTTCCAAATATATAGCAGTTATGAAGACCATGACTTTTCCCCTCTCTGCTCCCTATTCTCCTACTCTCAATCATGTATACTACATAAAATTTGTAATTATTTTATGGACCAGAAAAGTAAACTACAGTAGAGTAGGAAGATAACTGAGCTTGTATCTGAAAGACCTGAGTTTGATTTGTGCTGGACATTTACCTTGCAAACTGTAAAGTGCTGAGCAAAGTGAAGTTTTGTTATTGCTGCTGTTGCTGTTAGTATTAACACTTACGTGATGCAACATTCCAAGGTACCAAGAAGGGTCATAATTTGATTCTTGGAACACAAGGGATAACTGTTTGAGGTGATGGACACCCCATTTACCCTGATGTGATTATTATGCATTGTATGCCTGTATCAAAATATCTCATGTAGTCCATAAGTCTATACATCTATATACCCACAGAAATTAAAAATTAAAAAAAAAGGTGAAGCATAACCATAGGGAGACTGACTTGGTGTAGGGATGGCACCTGCTGGCTACATTTTTTGATTGATTGCTAACTAGAAAAGGAGAACCGGATTTCAGGAATACAAAGGAATTGTAAAAAACACTCTAAAGAGAAGTACAGAGCCCAGCAAAAGAAAGAAAAGTTCACGTTGTAATGCACTGATTTTTTTTCTTTATACTTAAAAAATGACTAATTGAGAACACATTTAAATCTGGCATTTGGTTTAATTAGTATTTCATAAACAAGTTGATCTTTAAATGCCTGGACAATGTAAATATCAAAAAATGGTTAGTCACTTACAAGAGATAAATTTGAGAATGGCCCTAAAAATATCTAATTGGTTAAATGTGTAAGAAAATACAGGTGGCCTTCCTGTTTTTCACTTTTGTTGTGTTTTAACAAGTGTTTGACTTTGTGATATTTCTTTTCTTATAGTAAGAGTAGAATCAGGAGTAACTGTTGAGATTTTCCAACTGGAAGAGAAAAAAAAAATGTCCATGGCCTTGGTTTACTTATGATCATATTTCACATACAATTTTGCATCAGTTGCAGACAAACTTAATCTGAAAGGAAGCCAGTAAGTATATAACAATAATTTTATTTTTAGCACCCATGATTCAACAGCAAACTCAGTTGTCATTGAGATGATACTTGGCTATTTGAGGGTTCTTTATTTATTGCAGAGAAAGAAGGGAATTCTGTTTATTTTTTATTTTTATTTTTAATTGTTGTGGGTACATAGTAGATGTACATATTTATCAAGTACATGAGATGTTTTGATACAGGCATGCAATACATATTAATCACATCATGGAGAATGGAGTATCCATCCCCTGAAGCATTTATTATTTGTGTTACAAACAATCCAACTACAATCTTATTCTAAAAGATACAATTAAATTATTGACTAGTCATTCTGTTGTGCTATCAAATACTAAGTCTTATTTATTCATTTTCACTATCATTTTTGTGCCTATTAACCATGTCTACCTCTCTCCCACCCCATCCCCACCCCACTACCCTTCTCACCTTCTGGTAGCCATCCTTTTACTTTCTATCTCCATGAGTTTTGGGGGTTCCTTGAAATGATCCCTGTGGATGTGGGGTCTGCAATGATGAGTTTACCTCAAGAACTCATAGTCAAAGAAGGATGTGCAGACTTATTTTCCTCTCAGATTCACTGGGCAGTGTGAGTTTGGGTACTTAGATTAAGCTTGGATATACATTTTAAATAGGATTGATGTGGCTAAGGAGTGGGCTGTACAGATGATTTATTTTCTCCAACAGAGCCATTTGAAAAAAGTTAGTGTGCAGAAAAGCAATATAACATGGAATGAATCAGCCAGTACAGCACTCTGTTCTTATTTTGCTTGAAGTAACAGGTCAAATATATAGATTTTTTTTTAATGACACAAGTCTAGGTGTTACACCAATAAATTTTCTCTTTTAAACATGCTAATCTCTTTTCATTTGCTTATTTATTATGATGTCTTCACCTTTTTGTTATTAAATTTCCCTCTTGAAATGGAAACTGTCTTTTCATTTTAAAAGTAATTGCCAAACAGCCACCCTGGTCATGTTATATTTCTGCTTCCATATTTCTAAGCAAATCAACAAAATAATCATTATGCCAGATACACATATGTAACAGTATTAAAAGCACAGTATTTGTGTCACATAGTAAATCAGTGGAGGGGAGATGATGGGACTTCTGACTCCGATTTCCAGATTTTAACTATGCTAATTTTCAACTCTGCTGAACAGTGCTTAGGTGAGCTAGTTTAAATCAGGTTGAGTCCATTCATTTCTCATTTAATTCCATGACCTTTCCTTTTTGCAGACCCTGAGCCCCCTGCAGAGTGAGTGAGCTTTGAAAATAGAGATAGGGGATTGATTTTAAATATTTTTTTTTACTTTATTAAAAAAAATTCTGTCCTGTTCCTTTTTGTCTCTTACTGCCCAGGGCTAAGGTCAGTAGTGTTCAGAAACAATCTCAATTGTTTATTTTGGTAACCCCTGCCTCCCTGGGTTTGCTCACAGCAATCTCAGAGCCTCCAGGGAGCAATTGTTATCAGAGACTCAACCTGTTCCCTTGCGGATCTAGAGAGTTGCTGCCAACATTTCATTTCATTTTAGTTCCATCTGCGAGTGCCAAAAGCTTGCTTCATACTTGACATGTAAAGGCATTTTGAGCATATTGTTGTTAATCCAAGTGCACATTAGTGATGATTTTATAGCCCCTGTTGCAACCCCTCTTTTCTGTGTAATATAGACCCCTGTTGCAGGCTGATGGAACCAGGAAGCATCTCTGATGAATTAGACTTTAGCATTTTGCTGTTTAGTCTTCAAACTGTGTGTCAGAATGGTATTCAAGATCTGGTCTCAGTTCCTGATTGTTACATAAAAACAAGAAAAGGCGAGAATTAATTGGGAGAACCTCATTAAGGAAAGTTCCACCCCATGGCCACTTCATATCTCATCAGTAATATCATGCTCTGCACAAAACTAACATGATGGAATGTTCTCACCTACGGACGTTGGTGCATTCAACTCGTTCCTCTGTTTCTCCAGTGACTTAAAGGTGTGTCAAAAATTGTTTAGTACAAATTCTTAGGAGGTTTATTTTTGAGTCAGTAAACTGTTTTCAAGGTTGGAAGGAAGAAGTGGTAGACGTGGATATTTTAATGCTTAGGTATTTGTGGAAACAGCCTAACAATTCATAGGATGGTCACTCAATTCTGCTGCTCACTGGGACCCTGAGAATTTGAACAAACTGTTAAGGTGCAATAGCAGAAACAACTAGAAATCTTCCAGGAACACTTATTAGCAGAGAAATTCACAGCTCTATGTGGTTCCCAAAATACAGCCCCAAGTATTACAACAAACTGGCTCATTAACACCACTTTTAAATTACTCCACTCCTTAAGTTGTATGACTGCCTTCCAGTAAGTATGATGCCAATCATATGTGGGGAATCTTTTGAATCTTTGTGACCAGCTAATTGACACAGGATTCTTTTGGTGCTGCTTCACCAGCCAGAAATCTCTGCGGCCAGTGATGCCTCTGCCCAGGCTTCACTCAGCTCCAGGCTCACCGTTGGGCTAGTTCTTCCCACTTGGCCAAGCAGGCTGCACTCAGCTCGCACTACCAGCCCAGATTCCGTGCCTGCTGCAGTTCTGTGCTCAGTCCATGGCTGGTCCCAGCATGCTGTGACTGTCTTCCACCCTGGGTGCCAGCATCTGGATGAGGGGGACATGGTGCCACCAGAAAACTTGGAGAGTCCAGCAATCATGGAGCCCCAAAGGGTGTTGTGGCTTTTGCTTGGGGAGTCCCAAGGTCCGAGCCCCCAAGGGCTGTTACAGCTCTCTCTCCTTTCCACCACCCACAGCGCAGTGGATGGGAGGGAGGTGTGTTACAGCTCGTTCGTGTTATGGCTTGTTCCTGCCACCTGCAGTAGGACAAACAGGGTGGGGTATGTGGTGCCCAGCAGCTTCCTCTCCTGTTGCTTGACAAGTGAGAAGGGAGGATCACAGTGTTACTGGTCCTTTTACACCCACCATTCAGCAGGCTCCAGGTTCTTGTCCTGTGTCCAAGAAGAATGAGGTTGCATGGACAACGGAGAGTGAGGAAGGCAGATAAGGGTTTATTGAATGACAGAACAGCTCTCGACACAATAGAAGACCCAAATTGAGCAGCCCTCTGTGTGTGGGGTGGGGAGAAAGCAGATAGCCCCAGATGTGGCTGAGTCTGGGGGTTTTTATGGGCTCGGAATGGGGGAGTGCATGCTGATTGGTCCATGGGTGGGCCTGGAAAAAGCATTATTTGATGGAATAAAAGGCAATCAAAAATCAAAAAAGGGTTTTCAGCCCTTAAATTGTCTTTGGTTTGAAGGTGAGATTTCACCAGGGACCTGTGCCTGCCTGCCTAGGAATTTGTCTATCATATTGAAGAATCATTCAAGCAACTATTTTTTTGTTTCTTCTTTTTTTACAATAAAAGAACATGAAATTGAAGAAGCTACAGAGCTTTTATTAATATACATACAATTTAAAGCATTCATAAACCTGGAGTATAATTCATACATACCCTCTTGATGAGAGATTTAAGAACAAGATCTGCCTGCCTAGGAAACTTCTCATTAGAATCAATGAACACAGCGTTTTCTCTTCCTATTTCTTTCCCCTCCACTAGTGCCTTCCTGGTGGTTCATAAAGGTGATTGCCAATGCGGTACTCTGAACTGTCTTGTGTGTGTCTTGAAGTAAGCTCTGAAAATGAAATTCAGTATAAAGTGCTTGTTACCTCTATTAATTGGAATACAATTAGTCTGAAGTCTGTGGAAGCCACAACTCAGGAGCAGACTAGCAGGTGCATCTGCAAAGACACCAGTTCCCTCTAGGAAGCCAGATGTGCCTCCTACTCTCCCCTTTGTCCCTTAATAACCTATAGTTTAAGATGTGAGTGACTGGAAAAATCATACTGATGCCTTATTAATTAAATGGTATTAATACCATGGGCTTTTTTTTTTGTTTCCTAGAGAGACTGCCATTTCAGTGTGTTGGAATAAAGTATATATATTTCTCTCATGCCTTAGTACAGAAAGGGTAGGCCCAGGAGAACTATAAAAAAATCATTATTACCTAAAGTATCTGACAAGTCAAGTAGGATACAGGTCAGAAATGATGTGTGATGACTTTGTTCTGGCATTACCAGAGACTGACTTAAGTTATAGGTTAGTTGCTGCTATCATTCTTTGTAAGACTGATCCCAGGCTAAATGGTGAAGGTAGAAAATGTCCCTTTTTCATAGCTTCTATTGAATCCCTCTCCATTCCCTCCATCCATTTAGGGACTCTTGCCACAGAGGACTACCTCTTCTGTGCCCATATCAAGGTTTGCTCTCAGGAAAGGTTATGACATTAACCTTTATCTAAACGTGCCTCAGTGGTTTATTATCTCAAGAACACAGTAGGAGTAAGTAAGGGATCTGTGCAATTTGGAAGCCAAACATGACTTCTTGGTATCTCTGAAATGGCATGGGCTGAGGTACAGGCTTTGTGCTAGGTAACTTGCCCCTACTTGGCAGCTGTACCTGGAGAGCCAGTGGTGCCATCTGCCTGAAGACCTCACCTAACGCCTGTATGGGGAAAGGGAGAAGAGAATTATTAGTATTGGGGAATAAACATGATTTATATAAACACAAATTAAAAGGCCACTATGTTATTAACAAACATATACCAGATTCTTACTGAAGATATTCAGGCGATAAGTACAGTTCTTGTTTTTAGAGACTTTTAAATTTTACTTTAATAATAGGAATTGTTGGTAATTCATCCAGTTTTGTATAAAAACTAGTTTTATAATGTAAACAATTTTTTATTGATTGCATTCTTTTATTATGAGCATGTATTTGTATAGTTGTAAAATAGTTATATATCAGATATCTACACATATGTATATATCATATATTTATGTACATATATATGTACTCACACACATAGAAAAATACAACATTTATGAAAAAATAGGAATAGTAAACCCAAATAATCCCACCCTTCAGGTTTAGATTACTCTTGGCTAGTCTAAACTTTTCTTTACACCATCATTTACCTTTTAAAAATAGTGAGAAATAAAACTTAAACTCATCATATCTACCGACCTATTCTACAGTGGGCTTTTCTGAATATATATTCACTGATGCTCTTCTGAAAGACTCAAGATAAAAGCCAAATTTGGGACAGAATAATATACCTTCTACTTTGTTCATGTCCATTAAGAGAATCTTTTTTCAACAATTGTTACATTTTGGCTTTTTTAACTCTGAAATGATGTTTTGTGTGTGGTAAACCATGAACGGTATAGCCTCACGCTGGGATTGTTGCAGTGATTAGATGCCTAGAGAGCCCCATCTCACACTCTCCGAGCTGCCACCAGTTGTCACCGGTTGCAATATGGCCCCTTTCCTGCAAACTTAGGGCCTACAGTAAAGGCCAAAGTTGGACTGCTTATTAATGGGACTCTCTGGAAACACCAACACCAAAGAACGTGCTAATAAAAACGTGTCATGCTTAGAAAGAGGTTGGAGAAGACTGGGTTTCATTGGGAGACCATTTTCTCAGTTATTCTATGTTTTGCTGAGCCAAGTACATTTGAATCAATCCTGGCGGAGAGAGAGTTTGACTGTTCTCTAAAGGGACAATATTCTTTCATTGTCAGTGAATGTCTGGAAACTTAGCTGTCATACCTAGTAGGAGACCACTCATTGGATTCAATCACTAATAAGCAGGAGAATTGCCTCTGCAATACAAAATGACAAAAGATGTCTTGCAATTGATGCTAAAATTCCATTTCTCTACAAATTTCAGTATCTATGCACACAGATAATTATTTTTTCATGTGACCAAAACCAGTGCTGATTTTGTTTACATGAAAATTTGGACATGGTTTGGCATCACTTGAAATCATAGTAATGGAGAAAAGGACTATTATCGTTTATTGAATACCTACTATGTGCCAGGTAGTAGGGAAATAATTCCATTTAATTTACACAACAACCATGTGAGGTATGTGGTATTTTCTCCCTTTTGGAAAAAGGGGATGGAAAAATGTGAACATAATCTGTCCTCAAAGCCCGTGCTCCCCCTAGTCTATGTGTAGTTACAGTAATTAAAGTGGTCACATGGGTAGATGTTATATTGGAGGCTCTCAAATGCCCCACAGATGAAGAAACAAAGCCTCCACAAGTTTCAGTGACTTGCCTCAGGTTATGCAGTTACTATGTGTGAAGAGCAGTTGCTGGAATCCAGGTTTTGTACTTGTCCTCCAGTACTGACCCCCACCAAGTGAAAATCACCCTTTTGCTTTTGAGAAGCAGCTGCAATGCAACTTAACCTGTGGTTTAGTGGTCAATTTTATGACATGTGCATGGAGAACAGGTCTTATAGTTCAGTTGGTGAGGAGAGAACAGAGAACATGGTTGTGTTGAGCAAGAGTCCTCCTTGTGAGTGAGACTTACACATCCACTACATTAGTCCCTGTCACCACACGTGCCCTTGAGCATCTTCACAGATAAGCTCAGGGGCCAGGTTCTGCCCTACAGATGCTGTGCTCACTGCAGCTCCAGCATTGTTCATGACATCTTCCCTCTCTGAAATGTCCTCCTCCTTCCTGCCAAGTCAGCTGCTCCTACCTCAGGTTATAATAGATTGTCTTTTACACACATAAGCCCTGGTCTTTTCCCTGATGAAACTATTTTGAGGTCAGAAACCATGTAGCTAATTCTATTTTTCTCAGTTGATTTGTAGACACTTGTGCATAGAAATTTCCTCAGATTTTCAGTGTTTCGGTGTAATAAACAGGAAAATGGCAAAAACTTGAACTAATACTGTTTTGGCAAGTACTGCTTGATTGTTAAATTTGTTATGACAGTTTTTAACAAGTGTCATGTTTTGGAGACAAAGCAATTGGAAACTATCTCCTGAAGAATGGAAAAGTAGGGGCAGTATTATTTCTACAGAAGTATGAAGAATGACTGCCCTTAAATTGAAACTAAAAAGTTTGAAATGAAGCTGAAGTGACTTAAGAAATAATAGAAGAGTTTGTAAACTGGAAGATGTTAATAAGGAGTACTTTTTTTTTTTTTTTTTTGAGACAGATTCTCACTCTTCCCTGCAGGCAGAAGTTCAGTGTTACAGTCATAGTTCACTGCAACTACAGGCATGTGCCACCAAGTCTGGCTAATTAAAAAAAAAGTTTTTGTAGAGATGGGGTCTTGCTATGTTGCCCCAACTGGTCTGGGACTACTGGCTTCAAGCCATCCTCCCACCTTGGCTTCCCAAAGTGCTGGGATTATATACATGAGCCACTGCACCCAGCCAAGGAGTACTTAATGCTGAGGGAGTTTGAGGGATTTTCTTCTGCTGAATTGTTGTATGGGTAATGAGACAATGTATGGGAAAGAAAATTAGAAAGTCTATAGAAAGGCAAGAGATGATTCATATAATAGCTATAAGCCACATATATACTTTTAAATGTTTTAGTTATCACATTAATAAAAAGGAATGAGAGAAATTAATTTTAATGATATATTTAACATATATGCAAAATATCATTTCACCATGTAATCAATATTTTACATTCTCTCATTAGTAGTAGTCTTGGAAACCCAGTGTGTATTTTACACTTACAATAAATCTCAGTTTGGACTAGTCTCATTTCAAGTGCTCAGTCACCCATGTGGCTGGTGCCTACTGTACTGACAAAGCAGATCCAGGCTGTCAGTCTAGGAATGAGCTAAGAAGTGTGTGTTTCTTGTGTCAGCTACAGAATCTTCTACAAAGCTTTAAAAAACAAGATTCCCTAGACCCCATTCCTAGAGATTCTGGCTTGGTAAATCTGGGTGGGAGGCTTTCACATCTGTGTTTATGAAGCTCTTCAGGTGATCTGGAGGTGACGCAGATTCAGCTACACACTCATCTCTATAGTGTGGGCTTAGGACTCATGCCCCTGCAACCTGGGAAGGAGCATCAGGAAATCTGGAGGCCTTCTCTTATTCTTACCTTCTCCAATTCAAGCTGCTCTGCTCTTCAGGAGGTAACTCAGTATGTAACGTATTTATAGCAATGAGGAATTGGCACTTTAGAAGTTGACACCTAGGTGGTGTGTTCTACAGGGCTGCTGACTTGTTTTCTCCATTTAAGCTGTGGTTGTGGGATAGTGATGGGGATGTTTGTTAGAATGTGGGTGATCATGTACTGGGCTGAAATTGTTCCCCTTCCTGTGTCCATGTGTTCTCATTGTTCAATTCCCACGTGGGGTGGGGGAAGGGGGGAGGGATAGCATTAGGAGATATACCTAATGTTAAATGACGAGTTAAAGGGTGCAGCACACCAACATGGCACATGTATACATATGTAACAAACCTGCACGTTGTGCACATGTACCCTAAAACTTAAAGTATAATAAAAATAAAAAGAAAAAAGAAATTGTTGCTTCTCTTCTCACAAAGGTGAATGTTAGGGAATTTATCTTTACCTTTGGTTTTTTGCCTCACCAAAATGCATGTTACTTATAAAAACTTGGCGTAGAAACCAAGTCAGTAAAAAGGCAGAGATCTGGGAAGTTTCCACTTCAGTCCCTGGCTAAAGACATTATTCTCTTAGCTATCCTTTCAGCTCCTTAGAGCTTCTGTTTATCCAGGCACAAAATGTGGTAAATGCTGATGTGTAAACTCTCCGAGACCCCCACCCCGGTTAAAACACTGCTGTGCTGGGTATACTGTGTCACCTTAGGATTATGGTAAGCCCTGCAGCATGCCCGTGAGTTAAGTAAGTGTTTATAGAAATGTGAACAAAGCTGTACTTTAGAAGGTCAAATTGACTTGCTCAAGGACAATGCGTTTCTCAAGGGCTCTGATTCTCCTCCCTCAGAACCAATTGTCTTTCTCCTATTCACGTCTCTGTCATCCTCTGGCACCTTTTCTGCCAGTTCTACCCTGCTCTGCCCTTCAGAGGGAATATATTGGCAGGCTCTGAATTTGTGAGGGTTTGTTTTCTGGTTAAGTAACAATTACCTCTCTTCTTTTTAATTGGACATATCATAATTGCACATATTTATAGGATACATAGTTATGTTTTGATACATATAATATATAGTGATCAGACTGGCGTTTAACCATTTCAGGGTCAGAAGAAACCTAAAAACCATCTGGTTTAGGCACTAACATGATTTTTGAACGTCCTTTTTAGTAGCCTGACACATAACCCTCCATGTAACGCCATGAACGACAGAAATTTAACCAATACCTAAGGCGGCCCATTTCATGTTTAAACAGTTAATTTTCTCCTTTGTTGAAACCAAAAGGCATATTCCTGTAAATTCTACCCTTTGAAACTACATAGGATACCGAGACATAAGAACTCTTCAAGTGTTTGACAATAAGACGTGGATTCTTCCCACCACCATCAAAATATTCCACTGCCTTTTCTTCCTTAGGCTGAGTAATTGAGTTCTTTCAACTGTTCCTCATAAAACATGGTTCTAAGTAGCCTTACTGTCCTTTGAATGGAATTCATAGACTATTCCTTAAATATACTACTTTAAACATAATTTGATCAGTGCAGAATCATAACAAAATTAGAGAATTAGGGAAAATAAAGATGTAAAAAAAACTTCTGTAAAAGTTTTCTCCTCTCTTCTGAATAATCTTGGCATTTGTGATTTCAAAAATAATCATCATGACACCTTTAGTATTATGAAGATGAAACCAAGTCAGAGGAAACTAGGTATCTTTGCTCTGCTAAACATACTCTTCTAGTATCACACTAGGAGAGTTATTTTGAGGTTAACTTAATGTAATCAGTAAAATATCCTGCAGTTGTTTTATGGGGATGTCCTTTTGTATTTCTTAAAGGCATCTATCTTTTATTTGTACAGTTACCATCCTTAAAACTATTAAAAAGGTGATTTTTTAACTTCAGAGTTTTGTTGCACCCACATGCCCCTTTTCAATGTTAGAAATTAAACAGCAGGGAGATTTAGGCTGAATGTTCCAGAACCATTATTGTTAGCTAGACCTCTGAGATGCATTCAGCTTTGCAGAGCTAACGGAGTATTTAATCTACGTCATTGCTTGGACTCTAGGGTAGTCACCCAGTGGAAGGCATTCATTTACCAAATTAAAAGCACAGTGAGTAAAAGCCATGGTATTATTTAAGCACATTTATTGACTCCCATTCTGGTACTATTTACTGAATTTCTTGGTGATGGAAGATGATGAACGAGTTGATTTTTGCAATCACTTGGCTCTACTAAAGGTAAAATACATCTTCTTTGATTTATTCCCCTGAATTGACCAAACAGCTTTTAGTAGAAGTGGAGAATATTCAGCTCCAGCTCAATATAATATGTAGAATTCAGGGTTCCCCCCAACTACCCCTTTGAATTATTCTGTTAGGTCTGACAGGTGAAATTTCCTAATAAGAAGATGCTGACATGCTTGGTATTCAAGGCCGGCTTTCACTTCTGCTGACATAATTTCCTCCTTTCTCTTCTACTGAATGTTCACATGCACATAGGTGAGTAGACACACATGTGCATAGACAATTGAGTGCTGGTCCTCACAAACCCACCTGGGGCTACCTTGGGTGGCATCTTGCTAGATGGGAAAACAGAACAATGGGTCCCGAGATTTTCAGACTGCCGCTGTATGAAATTCTACTTACCAAATTGCTTTTATTATCAGTGAATTCCCCATGTGTTTTAGCAGGGTGGATGTCAAACATAGTGAGACAGCTTTGTCCATCATCAGGCCTGAGAGACAAAGGGATTGGCACTGTTCTTTGAAGAATGAGTAGGGATATTAGATATAGATGATGAAACATTGATAAAGTAGGAAGAAGTTGTTTATCACAGACTATTTCAGTTCGGATCTTTCCTGTTCTGTGATCCTGATAGGAGTCTCCTGTAATCCCTGTCCTTTCATATATTAATATACTGATCAGACTAGAATAATTTATCCTTGGTTCTCTTTAACAATTTTGTCCTCACTCAAAATCCTCAATGTGAAATCAGTATGATCAAAAGAAAGTTGACTCTGGAAAGCTCATTATAAATTACAAGCTTCTGGGATATATTTCTTTCCTGCTGATAAAACTGTAAGCCACTGTATCAGGGCAGTGCATGTAAAAACTCACTGATGCAGTAGGAATGGTGACTGTATCATAGAGTCCTGGTTTACAAACACTTTTCAATAACAAAGTCTTCTGGCTTGAAAGAAATATTTTGTGGAAGCTCAATATTTGATAAAGATAAAGGAAGTGCTGCCCAGACTGAAATGTAGATGGATAGTTAGAGTCTCAAAGTTAAGAGCAAGGTTAAGAACCTTACTCAGGTAGCTTTTCCCACATTCATGGAAACAAATCTGACACCCAAGGGTATGTCAGGTCATGTTTTTAACTCTACTTCCTCTTTTTGAGACAAAGTCTCACTCTGTCACCCAGGCTGGACTGCACAGTGGCGCCATCTCAGCTCAAGGAGCCCTCCACCTCCAAGGGCTTAAGCAATCCTCCCACCTCAGTTTTCTAAGTAGCTGGGATTACAGGTACATGCCACCATGCCTGGCTATTTTTTTTTTTTTTTTTTTTTTTGAGACAGGGTTTCACCATGTTGCCCATGCGGGTCTCAAACTCCTGGGCTCAAGCGATCCTCCTGCTTCAGCCTCCCAAAGTGCTGGGATTATAGGTGTGAGCCACTGCCCCCCGGCCAAATCTACTTTCTTGCAGAATAAATGGATTGTGCTCCTCCTTGGCTCTCTTCTGCCCCACTGAAGACACACTTTTCTTCTGTGCAGCATAAGAACCCTATGCTGATGTTTGGCGGCTATGATACACATGCACACTCTCACTTCCCCATAAACTTTTGTTAGATATCCATGTTTCACAATGGGTACCTGAGATTGTGAAGCTGGTGTTGAACCCTTGACCAGCAAGGACTTATCCAACAGGGTTTTCTAACATCACTTAACTGAAGCCAAACCAAAAGAAAATAAGTCTGTGGTAGTGACAGCTCAGATATGAAAACACCACCAACCAACCATCCCTCACTGAAGAGAGAGTGACTACCTTCCTGACCATTTTCACTATTTGTGAAAGGCTTTATTGACTTTAAACAAGCAGAAGAAAATCATTGAAAAATAAGTAGACAATTCACAAAGAAATCTAATATGTTAATTGATTCGTCATTGAGAAAATGGGAGATGTGACTAAGCTGGAGTAAATCCATCTCTTAAAAGACTTTGTCCCAGTTTGCTGGTTAAATGGAAAATATGGTAGCTACATCCATAAAAGTGAGATCTGCTTGCTATTTTATGCTTCATTTAAATTGTATAGAACACATCATGGTTAATTGTCAGCATGAAAATGGACTATTTTTCAAAAGCTGCAATAATCTTCATTTTATCCCTTTCTTCTTTGATAATGAAGAACTAAGGAATCCTGTGGGTTAGTCTTTTTAAGAGGTCAGGAAGTGTTGTGCTAGAGATTCTGAGCTATAGGTTTTTCATAGAGATAGCAATGAAATGAGATTATGAATTAATTAATTAGATTTTCTCCATGAAACCTGTTTTTTTTTCTTTTTCCTGTATAGGCATTTCAGTGAATAGTCAGACTACCACTAACTCTCTGTTTTCTCTATATTTGTGACTTATATGGGTTTGTTCAGCTCAAATGGTTACTTACAGTGTCATTCTTAAGATTTTAGATACTGATGTCAGAGCATAAGTATACAAACTTGTTTTGTATTTTATTATATCATCATTAATTTCATTATTTAGCCATTAAAGATAAAAATATTACTAGAGGAAATGAGTTATTTAAGCTTTCTCTACAAGGTATAAAATAACACTTTTTTTCCATTTTATCAATCTTATAACAGTGCAATTTGTGCATGATAAACTACATCAATTTAAAGAGTATTCTTTGAGGTTTCATTCAGCCACATTCAAGATAGAGAACATGTCCATCACCTCTAAAAGTTTCTTAGGATCCTTTGTGATTTCTTCCTACCCTAGTCCCCAGCCCATGACGACCAATGATCTTTTTTTTGTTACTATAGAGCCTAGCATTTTGTTTTCATTTGCCCCAAAACCATTTTCTCGAATTTCAAGACTGTTTTTGCATTTGACAAACAACTATATTTCTTTCTGTATCCTTAGTAGTTCTATAGATTTTGACTAATGTGATATTGTGAAATATATATTTGGTCTTTGTCCCACTGTTATGAAATACAACTGCTAATATCCCTGGAGTCCCCAAGGTGATGTCTTTTGTGTGCTAACAAGTTGAGCTGGAGGGCTGGCAGCTCCTAAGTAGCTCCAGGATGGTGACTGGTCACTAAAAAGAACATGGCTTGACTAGAGGATTGGGACTTTCAGCCTGCTCAACCTCCAAGGAGGAGAGAGGAGCTTCTCCTTGGTTATGTTGATCACCAGTGGCCAGTGGTTTAATCAATCACATTTACTTAAAGCTTCCATAAAACCCAAAATTATTGGGTTCAGAGAGCTTCCAGATAGCCGAACATCTGGATGTTTCTGGAGGCTGGCACACCCTGAGAGGGCATGGAAACTCCACACCCTTTTCCCATGCGTTGCCCTGTGCATCTGTTTATCTGTACCCTTTGTAATATCCTTTATAATAAACTGGTAAACATAAGTGTTTCTGTGAGTTCTGTGAGCTGCTCTAGCATGTCAATTAAACCCAAGAAAGGGGTCACCAGAAACTCTAAAGTTGATCAGAAGCACAAATGAAACAACCTGGGGATCGCAATTGGCATAGGAAGTGGAGGGCAGTCTTATGGGA
The DNA here is from genome assembly GCF_000001405.40 of Homo sapiens. Lineage (NCBI taxonomy): Eukaryota > Metazoa > Chordata > Mammalia > Primates > Hominidae > Homo > Homo sapiens. Next base: position 35,430,578 of record NC_000008.11, read on the forward strand.
CTGAGTCATTACCTTGGGAGATCTGATGCTATCTCCAGGTAGATAGTGTTGGAATTGAATTGAATTAGAGGACACCCAGCTGGTGTCCTCTGTAGAACTGATTGCTCACTTGGTGGGTGGGGGAAAAACCTCCACATATATATGGTCACAGAATTATTCTGTGTTGCATGAGAACAGAGGAAAAACATTTTTGCTACTGAGAACAGATAACCCCTATCAGCTCTGTTCTTCCCAGAGGTTTAAGATCTACCTCAAAGCCCAGAGTAAGAGTGCAGAGTGACAGATGATGGAAGAAGCACCTTGGTGACAAATACTAAATCACACACACATGCATGCATGCACAAACACACTACTTAAGTGCTGTCGTAGAATGTTGAACATTGTGATGGACACATGGCATGAAAAAGTTTGAGAAAGTATATTATTGTTATTACCTCTGTGATCTTGGGCCAGTCATTTAACTTCCTCAGTTATCTGTATACTTGAATATTAAATGATGGTAAATAATTATATGTTAACCAATTGTTATAAACTGTTAATAAGATAAACCAGGAATCTTTATTGACATCTGCTTCAGTTTCCATTTTCAAAAATGGGTAAATACTTGTTTAAATATTTCCCTGTAAAAGACCATAAGTGTAAAAAGGGTAGTTATCATAATGGTTAGTGAAGTTCATTTGAGGATGTCCATGACTCAGTTATTCATTCAGTTTATTACTCATCTGAACATCACCACCTGCACTGGTCATTTTGAAGAATGCATAATTTTACATGGAATTTATGCTTAATCTTGTATTATTTAATTTATGCTTATCATGTGCCTAGAATAAGAAATTAGGAATATAACAGATTATAACTTAAACATTTATTTCAAGATGATCTTTACCATTATTTTCAAGGCTCCTTAAGTAAACAAAAAAGAATGTTTCTAGGACTTCAAAAAACCAATGCTAGAAAGAAAAATGCGGTTATATTCCATCTGGCTTTTCATTGAGGAAAGTATAAAAACTCTGCAACTACAATAGGTTATTTATGGAGAAGAGCTTGAAAATAACACCTGAACACTTATTTTATTTAGAATTAAAACACAAATATTATATATACCAACATATATTTTATGGACAAAGTACAACAATTTTCAACATCAGATAATGAAATTAGTTTGGTATTATTTTTGATATCACAGTACATAGTTTTCAGTCTATATTTCGATAATGTGTGTTTGCTTTCCAAACCTAATACAGTGTAATATTTAAAAGTAATTTATGAATTCGGATTTAACTCAAATAATAGTAATAATAAATTATTCTTGAAATAAAGCAGAATGAGCCATTTGTTAAATGACAGAAACTAAACAATTTTCTTCATAAGTTACAGTTAACTTTAAATTCAGTATTAAAATTAATTTTATGACATAATCCTTAAAAGCATATTGATTTTAATTTAAACTTCTTTATTAAGTCACAAAGGAATGGTTAAGAGTATGGCCTCTGGAGTCAGTATACCTGAGTTGGAATTCTGGATCTATAATATACTAGCTGTGTGACCTTAGGTAAGTTATTTAATCTCAGTTTATTTATCTATACAATAGGGAAAGTAATGCCACTTACATCGTAATATTATCGTGAGGATCAAACAACTTTAGCTGGGGAAAATATTTAAAATAGCATTTGGCACATAGAAAAACCTCTATTATTGTTGTTATTATTACCCCATCCTGAAATAGTTTTTTAATTCTCACAGTTTTAATGAGACAACATTATTATGACATAGTTTTATAAATCAGAAAATTATGGGAAGTACTCAGTTGGAAGATGTTTAATTTTCTTTCTCTTGTTTTACAAAGTACCTCTTCCCAGGCTGGCTTGAGGTGCTGTCCAGGGTGCTGAAAAGCCCCACATCCACTTCACTCTTATCAATAAACTTTATCCACTTCACTCTTACCAATAAGCTTTATAGTAAATATTTTAACTCCAACTAGAATCACTTGTGTTAGAACAACTTGGGGTTAGCTCATAATTCTATGCAACTAATGTTTTATGCTTGCTAGTGGAAAAGCAAGAGGAAAGTGTTTCAGGGTGGAATGAGCTGGAAAAACGGGTCCCTCATCAGTTAAATAATAAACCATCTTATCTTACTTGCACGGATATAATATTTGTGTATTTTTCATCTTTGCATGAGAATAAAGGTTTCAGTTTCCCAACTCAATTCACCAAATAGTTGACTGTCCTGCCGGAGTACTTTGATCTGCTATCACTTTCGAGGCCAAGGCAGCTTTGTCTGGTGCCAAGAACAATTAATTTCCTTGAAATTCTTATAAGGAGCATTTCATTCTGTTACACAGGTAAATAGCAATGTACAAACAAATACAAAATATATTTACTGATTAACTGTGAAATTTGGGGAGGTGAGAGACCATGTCGTAAACATAATTATATCCTTAATAACTAAAAAAGTGTTGGCACTTAACTTTTTATGAATTTGAATTGAATACTTAACTGATTTCTGATGTTCGATGTGAAAGCTAACACATTTATTTTCATTGACTATCTTTGCATGAAGACTTGTGTGATGAATTTCTATTAGTATGCCAAATTTGTCTAAAAAGAACAAGAATCAAATTGTAGTTGGATGACCTAATGAAATAGTGTGGTCTCAAGAGGAGATAGATCTACCTGGCACTTACAAATATCTTGGAATCTCTTCTTTCATCTCAAAATGTTTATGTCCTTGGTCCATTTGGTCCATTTGTTAAGGATGTAATATTGAGTCTCAAATCATTTAAAATGTTCTTTTTCTGACTTTCTAAAATTTCCTTCTTGCTTTATGATAGCATATGAGAGGAAAAGCTAACAGATTCACTAAGGAAAGAAATGGTAACTTACACAAGTTTACATGTATTAATTTCTATCAACTCCCCCTTCAAAAAAAATAATAAAAATTTACTCAATTCAGTTATGAAAAGACTCCTTTTAAAAATAGTTGCTTATTTTATTAGACTAGAATATGAACATAAATGAATAGAATATTCATGATGCTAACTTTACATTTAATTCTTATATCTTTTTAATTGGTTTATAAACCATCAGTACTCAAAGGCCATAAGAATAAAGAAAATACTATTGGCCAGGCATGGTGGCACATGCCTGTAATCCCAGCTACTTAGGAGGCTGAGGCAGGAGAATTGCTTGAACCTGGGAGGCAGAGGTTGCAGTGAGCCGAGATTGCACCATTGCACTCCAGCCTGGCAGCAGAGCAAGACCCTGTCTCAAAAAAAAAAAAAAGAAAGAAAAAGAAAAAAAAGAAAATACTATATTCTCATTTATACCAGTGGAACTTTCTTAATTAAATTATGATCTTTATCAATTATCTTTCCTGACTCCTACTCTATTTTGTGACATAGGCTTGCAATGTATTCTATGATTCTCACCTTATTTATACAATAATTTATTTTAAAGCTAGCTTTTTTTAGATATTAAAAAGTCAGAATATGTAACATAATGATAAGCCTTGATATAAAGCACTAAAATCTATTGATTTAGGAAAGTATGAATTTTAAGCTTAATTGAAAAACCTGGTGAATTTATGAAGTTTTGGCTCAAAATTGACAGTAAATTAAATCTCAATTTCACGTGGATTTTACGTATCAGCTCATGTATAAAATTGAAATATGGAAATAAATTTGGTAACATTTTAATGAAAATGTAGCAAGTTCCACTAATGAGAGTCAATGATTCCATTTTAGATTTAAAAACTATCAATTGTTGTCTTAGAGTTCCTCCAAAGTGAGAATTTTTTTTGGGTGGGGGTATTGGAAATTAAAGTAAGTAATTTTAAATTTTTTTTTATTTTAAGTAATAACTATGTTAACAGAAATAATCTGTTTTTAAACTTCTCACCTGGAAATGTACAATATTTGCTTCCAGACTTTTTACACACTATTGGCTTTTTTGGTAAGAAATTATTCCCCAGAATAAATTAAAGTTATCTTTTCTTCTTCCACTTTAACTTTGTCTCCTCTTTCATAAATAATTGTCATTCTCTTATTATAAATCAAGATACAAAACTTGTAACATTAATACAGTTCCACAATTTAATTAGAAGTGGTTTTCATATACCATTCATTAGGAGGCATATATTTTTCATGATATACCAAAATTTAAAAGCAAGTTAGGAGCGTGAAAACTTACATGATAGTTCTTTCCTAGATCAAATTGCATTAAAAGCAAACAAAAAGTGTACAGTTTATGTAGTAAGCATAAAATATTTTCTCTGGTAAATGCTAGACCTAAAGCAATGATGTGGTCAGTTATTAGTGAAAAGATATGAACCAGTTCTTGGTCTGCTATTCAAATTGTATGTCGTGTGTGTGTATCTGTGTGAGTTTTATTCTGGCCATATCTTCATCTGTGCACTTAGTGAATCCTTCTACATTAACTGGTGCTGAACCTAAAAAAAAGTTAAAGATCTTAAACTTGGAAAGACTGTGGAGTATGGTTTTTTCTGAAGAGGGTTCACTGATAATTTGGAGTTTTTAATCTTTTTTGTTTTTTATGTGGGGTTTATCAAAATTACTGTATCTATTTTATATATAATTACCAATATGGTAAATTCTTAATTTTGTTTTGAAGTATCTTAAACACTATAAACAGATTAATCCAAGAACACTTGAAAGATTAAATATGATTCACATCCTAATGTAGACATTAAAGATTGCATTTCACTTTTGTAGTAACAGAGGATAGGTTATAACTTTCCAACAGTAGCAAAACATTCTCTGTCTTCACTCCTACATTTCTTCAATGCATTTCTGGAGAAAGCTGGCAAAAGAATTATGCTGGCTAAAATGTACTAACTTAGTAATACAGAAGTGCTACAGTTTCTAAGAACTAGTAATTACAGGTAGAATGACATTGGAAGTTGTATTCAAATAGTACAGTAGAGCCATGTGTGATAACAATAATCCAATTGACTACATCATTATAATATTTCTAAGCATATGAAACAATGTAAGAATTCATTCAAAAAAATGTAAAGCTTTTTTGGAGATAAAATGAAAATAACTCATAAGGGCCAAAGAAGTAAACAAATGTAATCAACTGATATATCTAAATTAGTTGTAGGTGGGGAGATGAACTGTAAAACTTGAATTTCAAGTGTTGGACACTGTCTCCTCTGGTTTATGGAATCATTGACATGGAAGCTATAAATAGTGTTCAAAGTTTCCTCTAAAGGTAGCTGTCAAAGGCAGTCAACCTCTTTGAATTCTGGTCATTTTCTGAGCTGCAGAATACTGAGAAATCACACCAAAATTATGTTGCAGGGTTACATTATGGACTTGAAATGATTATTTTCTTGGAAATAAGCATTTATCAAACTCTTAGAAAGTTTTAGCCATGAAGTATAGAAGATATGGATTTTATTAATATTTATATTAAAAGTGATTCTTAAATATTTATACTTGGCAATATTTATGAATATTTGGAGTATCAGAAAAATAGATTATTCTGTGACTTCAATTTCAAATTTGTAATTTCAATAATTAAGTTATAACTGATTGTAAGTGGGACCTTAGTAAGCTTGTAAACATTAGAGCACATAATTTGTAAATTTTGCATTTCTTCACATTATAGTTTTAATGTGTTTGATTCTAACAATATTTTGATTATACACTGGGGTCTATAAGTGAGACTGTTGAAGTCTTCAGAAATATTAAATATATGAAAGCTGTTTTAAATGTTTGAAGATGTTTAAATTTATAACAAAACAAGCATTAATCACAGCACCCTTAAAATAATGTTTATTACACTTCGGATAGGATTCATTTATCTACTTAATTTAAGAAAGCTATATTTTGGGGCTTATAATTCCTTTAAAATTAGTATTATAGAAGCTAAACAAAAGCCCTGAACTGAGTCCTTTTCTGCACTCAAAAACTGCTCTTGAGTATACCAAAAACTGTGTATTTAGCTGAGAAACTTTCTAGTATTTTCAAGAGTTGGCATTCAGTTGGGTCAGTTGATGGTGTCATACAGAAATTTTTAGTATTAGATTGTATCTCCATATAAATACTAATCAAAAACTGTATTCTGTCACAATAGGAGAGATTGGGAATGTGGAGACTGGAAGACAAAAATTTTTTATAACCCACAAATGCTTAAGGGACTATATACCCTAAAATGATGACTACTGAGATTCATAACTCCTACTGTGTTTCAGTTAAGAAACAAAACAAATGACAGACATACATACACACATATAAAAAGCCTAGAGACTTTTTCTCATGAAATATTTAGTACCAATTGCTATATGATTCTATATTTGGTGGGGGAAGTACCTAGAAACTTTTAAATATGTTTAATAGCAATACTTGAATCTTATTCAATTTATTACTGTCATTTACTACACAGGAACTTCATTTTTAGTCATTTTTTTTTTCATTGAGACAGTGTCTCACCATGTTTGTTGCCCCGGCTAGTCTCGAACCACTGGGCATAAGAAATTTCCTGCCTCAGCTTCATGAGCACCTGGGATTACAAGTTTGTGCCACTGTGCCTGGCTCATACTTCGTTATTCTAAGGGACAAAGTATGCTCTCATGTTCTTTAGAATGGATATTGCATTTATCATGCTCATTATAAAAATTTAAACATGTGCCATTATCTATAGGTGTTTTCCTGAAAACCATCATATTATGTTTATATTATTGACTTCTTGATTTTTCAATGTGTTACATTTCCTCTCCAGCATGGAATGAGTAGATGGTACATCTCTAAGATAAAACTGCAATGAAAAAAAAAAGTAATCCTTTTGATCCATGTAGAATGGTCAGCAAAGTTCTTTTCTGACAGCAGATAAACAGGTCTTCCCCATATAATTGTTCAGCTGAAGGAAATATCTATGGATGGGTATCTGATGAATACCTATTAAATATTCTAAACCATTAAATATGCTAATATCCGTCCCAGGATCAAGGCCAACCAACATTTATATACATGAATGATATTTTATTGGCTTCCTATAAAATCGTTCTTTCTCCTCCATCCTCCAACACCCACCCACGGAGTCTTCTGAATTATGGTTTGGAGTGGTGCTATTAGCCGATATCTAAGAAGGCTATAGAAAAGAGATCTATAAAACCTTGTGGGGCCTTCTGTAAAGATGTTGTTATGATCTTTGTCATTGGATTACAGTGTCCCTTTTGTGAGTACCTTTTCTGCGAGAAATGGTTTGCTGCTTTGTGAATTTAGTAACAGGAGCAATTGGATTTCTTCTGAGCGGTTGATTTTTTTTTTTTGTCTTACTGATATTTGGCTTGTAAACTGATTGGATTTCTCTCATGAGAAGTCAGAATATTGAATCTTATGGTAAATAATCTGGTATTACTGTTATATCTGGCTCAGTTTTAACTCTGTACTTTGTTTTTCAGTATTCTTATTTCCATGTTTTCCAAATTTATGTTATATTAGTATGTTTTAAATCTATTTGGAAGCCACCCTTTGTCCATTTTGGAAAAGGCAAAACAAACAAACAAACAAACAAAAAACAAAAAAAACCCACACAGATTAGTTGAGAAAGCCTCACAGAAGGCAATATGATACAGTAAGGAGACCGACTCCAGACAGACGTGGCTTTGAATTTTGTCTCCATTTAGTAATAATGGGATTTTGAATTATATATTTTGACCTTTCTGATTTTCACCTAACTCATTTGTATAATGCGAATAAGGTTAGCTACATTTTTAAATGAATGTGAAAATTTTAAAAAAGATTAAGTGACGTTTGTAGAGTGTCTTCATGGTGCCTCAGTGGTGCACAGGATTAGGATAACTTTAAGATGTATCATTCCAACTCAGATGGTTTGGAGAGTTTAATGGGGCACTATTAGTAATCATGCTGGGACAACCAGCTTAAAATCAGGTCTGTTCTAAGCAAAGATATGTGGGCATCTTGTATATAGAAAACTATAAATGTCTTTATGCTCACATTCACTATCAAGGATCACCTTATTTGTGTGTGTGTACACATTTTTTTTTTTCCTGCAGAGAATAACATAAGCCAAACTATCTTTAGTGGGAGATTTACATTGATTCTGGCCTTCGCATAAATTTGCTTTGATAAAGTTTGCAGCAGGAAGCAAGGCTCCAAGTATAAGGTTGGAGTTAGGTGAAAACTCTAGTGAATGATCAAGAACGTGTAAAGCAGAGACCGAGAGCTAAAGAATTTAGGATATCAACTTATCCAAGAACAGGGAACATTTATCAGAGGCCCATTTAGCAAAATTAGGACCTGAGGTTGTAGTCCAATGTCAGATAATTCTGAGGTCAGGTCTGGCTTAAGGGACTGCAAGGCTAAGCATATAAGTGGAGATAAAAGGACCCCTGTTCTGGGAGAGATGGACGCAGGGGGCCAGAAATCTGGCCTGATGAATTAGACAGCTCTGGTTCATACATTGATTTTTTTTTTTCTAAGCTGAGTGTGACCTTGGGCAAATTATTTAAATTATCTCAGCCCCTAGTTCTAGATCTTGAAATGCGGATAATAATGCCTATGCCACAGATTGCCTTACAGACTGAAAAGTACTTAAAATAGTGCCTGGTTCCCGGTAGGCTGTCCATAAATCATCGTCATTCTCATCATCATGTCTGTGTATGATGCCTGCATTCTGCAAGCTGATTCAGTGTGTGCCACTGTTAGGAAAAATAACATGAGAGTAACTTCTTCTTAATTTTCAGGAAACCTAAATTTGGGATGTTCTCCGTTGACAGTTTCTCTGAGATCCATGTTTTCCCCTTTGGTGTTTGCTGCTCCTTGTTGGCCAGTTGGGGGCAACAGATAACAAAACAAATGAACAAGCTGCATAAACATTTCGTGCCATTCTTCCCAAATCAACCCATTCTAAGTGGTAACTACTTGGGCAAGTTTAAAAACCAGTGTCTGATTAAGAACACCGTGTTTGTGACATCGTGAATTCTTGTTTTAGCAGAAGTCTCTTGAAGCTATGGAAAAGCAACACCCTAATTCTTCAGGCTTCATTTTCTCCACCTGCCAAAGCCATGGGATAGACTAAGGTATATCTGAGTTCTTTGTCATTCCCAAGAAGGGTGTCATCTTCTAAATATGGAAAGTCCTTTTTCCATCTTCTAAATATGGAAAGTCGTTTTTCCATCTTCTAAATATGGAAAGTCGTTTTCCTAAATATGGAAAGTCATCTTCTAAATATGGAAAGTCGTTTTCCTTCTAAATATGAAAAGCACAGTTCCTGTGCTATGTGTCTATACCTTTACTGAATTCCTGACTCCACTGTTAGTCAAAAATCTCTCAGGATGGCGTATTTCACTTTTAAAGGTAAACTGAAGGAGGTAGTGAAATTATTTTCAGTTGTAAGAAAGTACATCCAATAGCACTATATAGAGATGTAAAGGTCACAAAACAAGTATTTTCAGAATCAGTGCTTTTCCCCCCATAACCCACCTTCTAATCCTCAATGTTTTGTTTACCATACTGTCCTCAAGTTCAACTCTATCACGCTGGTGACCTGTATTGCCAGGCAGTAGCAATAGGCCTCTGGGGGCTCTACCTAACTCCATTCTTTGTTGTGGAGAAATGTTTCTTCATATGTAAGAAACTAAGCATGTCCATCTGGGCTTAACTGAGATCCTGAAAGCTCTCTGAGTGCATGTTGATGGTCTCATTTTAAAGTCCCCGTTGTATCATGGGGACACATCACAGGAACACAAATCACTGTTAGCGAGTGCATTCTTCCAAACTCAGCCCGGGTGTCTCGGAAAATTTAGCCACTTTTAGCTGCTTCTCATGAAGGCTGTTTTATGAGAAAAATTATTAAAACATGAATTTTAAGCTTTTTTGTTCTCTGTTGTGATTTCTTTGAAACTTTGAGCTTATATTCAGTCAGACAGATAGTCCAGTGTCTGCTTCTGTTGGCATCTTCCTGATGAATATATTTGGTCCATTTGTTAAACTAGCACCATTTAGCAAGTTAAGTACCTAACTAGCATGCTAAATTAAGTAACTAATTTAGAAGCAAACCCTTTGCATCACATCTCCTCCCCAAAGCCTTCCTGGGCTACCCTTGCTCTTTATTTTAGACATGAATATTAATACATATGGAAGCGCTGTGCAAATGTGAGTGGCTGTTGCCAATTTTTATCTTCCCTAGACAACTCTGCCACATAAAACATTTGTCACAAGTGAATCAGTGTATGTTCATTGATTGATGAGTGCTATTTTTGTCTTCCTAATATTCGTGATTCATGTGTTTTCATACATACCGATCAGTGATTCATATATGGTGATCTTATCTCCATGAAAGACTATACATGTTCTGAGAGGAGGGTAGGGACCAGACTGTATCTACTCTTTTGAGCGAGATTTAGTAAGAGTCTGCATTTTATATGTTTTCTAAAACTGTGGCTACTGGAAGATTGCAGGTCTTTGGGGCAGGCAATCTTCTGTTGGTGTGACTCCCCTCTTGGCCATGAACATTTGGTTTTCTTATACCAGTAGACCTTGACCTAACATTTCATAAGGCTGGATCCAGAGATTATAGTTGCTCTTCACTACTGCCGTTTCAAATGTAGCCAGAAGGGAGAGAAACTCAGAACATACTCCTCACCTATCCATGGTTTCTCTTTCCTAGCTTTCAATTACCTGCATTCAACTGCAGTCCAAAAATAGGTGAGTACAGCACAGTAAGATTTTGAGAGAGAAATAACTTTTATTACAGTATTGTTACAATTATTCTATTTTATTAGTTATTAATCTCTTACTGTGTCTAATTTATAAATCACACTTCATTATAGGTATGTATGTATAGGAAAAAATGTAGTATAGATATGGTTTGCTATTATCCACAGTTTCAGGCATTCACGGAGGGCCTTGGAATGTACCCCCTGTAGATAAGGGTGACTACTGTAATTTAGTCTCCTCCACTTCCTTTTCCTGGTGGTGCCTTGAATTGTGAACTTTTTAATATCCTAGAACAGAAGTAGGTCAAAATGTTAGTTAAGAAACTGAGTATGTTAGACGTGGGTCACTGGCTTTCAAAGTGATTCCTAACAATTGACATCTCTTTGATTTTGGTATAATGAAACTGAAGTATAAAATAAGTTGCCCATTTGGGCTATGATGTATCATAGAGTAGGTTAATGAGAATATGCTGGCTGAAGAGTCTATACTAGATCTTACTTGGGAGGAACGAAGGAGAATCAGCGCCATATGCAATAGAATCCATCGTCTGACCATTATTCATCTAATAAGAAGCGGGACAACCAACAAGAAGCAGAAATTCTTTAAGGGGTTTGATGAAGCGCCCTGTCTTGTGCCAATAGAATTCTGATTCCAGGACCTATTTGATTTGTAGAATAACAAAATAATTTTTTAGCACTATCTATATTCCAAGTGCACCATAGCACATGTTGTCCTCAGAAAACCCTGTACAACCTGTACAGCTGATGTTTCCTTGCAAAACGTGAAATTACTTTCATTTTATTTTTCTTCCTGTTTATTATAAATTGACATAAACACATTTGGCTATTCAAGGTTATTAGATTTTTTTAATTGGTGGTTTTTGTTGTTTTTTAATAGCAGGGACCTACAGTTATTGAAGGTAGGTGAGAGTTACATGTGTCTTCCTTCATAACCTTGCTGCCATTCACAAGTATATTTTGTACCAAATCCTACTACACATGAATATATTTATTGGAAGGAAAGTATGAAATTAGTTATACACCACACTAGGTAAACAGTGACATCCAGCATTCCCTTATTTAAGGGTTCTGCTCCCAGCATGTATGAAAGATTGATTGTGACAAACACAAGAGTTACTCTAGAGGCATGAGGTAAGAGTCTATACTAGATCTTACTTAGGAGGAATTACAGTAATGTAATTTATAATCAGCATTGGTAACCAGAATCTTCCGAAATAGTGGTTGGATTAGAGATTCTTTAAAAAACAAAGCTCAAGTCCCACCTCAAATGTCCGGTCTTTGTATAACTTGTTGATAGAATAGTTTGTTTAGTAGTTTGAATAATATTTCCAGCCAATCCAAGGAATTCAAGCACAACAAAATTCACCAATGAAAATCCATACGAAAAATCTGTTTTATGTTAATTAATAAAAGCTCTCTTCCCGAGCAGAGATAAGACAGCTGAAGTGTTTGTTGTAGCTATTATAATGCTTAGATTATATGAGAGCAAACCCAATTCAGACAAGTAATTACCTTGGGTTGGTTGTAAATTAAAACTCTATTTCTTACACCATCTCTCTCTCTCTCTCTCTCTCTCTGTTTCTCTCTCTCTCTCTCTCTCACACACACACACACACACACACACACACACAACACACACACACCACTGTGCTTAAGTATTTGACAGTAAATTACAGACATCAAAATACCATAATATAGGTGAGGACCATTAGGATCAGGTAGCTTCCTCTGGGTTTACAACCAGTAATTCAGAGAGGAGAGGAATGACCTCATGGCTTTGGACATATTCACATATTTTCTTTATACCATGTCAGGTATCCGAAGCTTATTCTATCTCAGGGTGCTAAAACCCAAGTAACCGTATTTAATGTACTAAGAACACTGTACTGTGCTTTACCAAGAAGGATATTCTGAGAACTTCTGTAAAATGTGTACCTACTGTGTGTGCTGTCTTGGGGCATACAGAGACTTCTCTGCTAGTGAGTCAGTTTGCTCTCTGTGGAAATGAGGAAGGATCTAGGGGAAGGGCATGGAGATCATTCTGTGGGAGTCACAGACTCCCACAGAATGCTGAATCAGGGGGCAGCCAGCATTCTTAGGCTGGAAAAAGTTGTGAAACAGTGAGAGGAGATGGGAATCTAAAGCACAGAGCTGGACCTTGAAAAGAAGAGGCATGTTATGGCATCATCTTCTGCTGCTTGGTCTAAGTGATGGTGGGTTTAGTTCTTTGGTGATCTGCAAAAGAAAGCTGACAGATCTCAATGGGAATCTGCGGAATATTTAGTTCTATTTCAGAAAGAGGGCACTGCATCATTTCTATTTCAGATCGTTGCCTGCCAATGGTAATAGCTTCACACTGGAAAGAATATTTTTTATTATTATGGTTAAATGTACAAGACTATTTTGTAAATGATCTTTCCCAACTCATTTTATTGAGGTCTGATCATTGTCATAAAGTAAATACTTAGGATATAATATAGAATTATATTTGCATATACAGTTCTCCATGGAAGTGTATCAAAAGGTTATATATATTAGCTGATCATCTTTTTTAATGAGAACAGAATCAGAAATTGTATGCTATTTGTAAATCCTCTTAAAAGATATAAGAAAGGGTCACTTTCTTCACTGCTTTTAATATAGAAATTTATGATATTTATTGTAAGTGTTTTTTCTCACTCATTCTTTAAACACATACTTTTGTTGAAAACATAAATTATTTGACAGATTATAACACAAGAATTTGATTTGGTAGTCTTTCTTATCTAATGTTAAAAGTATTTGGGGGAACCTTTTTTTCACCCATCTCTGAATGTTCGTCCTCCATACAGAAGGTGACTGAATTGGCAGTCATTACTGAAAGAAACATCAAATTTCCCATTCTCTATTCTGCCCCACTGAAGTGTGGATGTGTTACAGTACTTGGTTTCATACTCTTTAAACATTCTGCTAGCTCTTCTTACTGAACCGAGTGATAAGCTCTTTGGGAGGACTTGGCTAATTTCAGTTAGTAAGCACGTTCAATCTGAGATTACTCTAAACATTTAGAGAATGTTTATCTCCTGGAAAGTAATCAGCCTATTGCAGACTTCTTTTCTTTCTTTTTTCAGCCTTTATGGAAGGGCCTGATTAATTTTCTTTTTCCCTTTCAAGTAACACATAGAATGAGTATGTGTGTGTGTGTAAGTGTGCATGCATATGCATGATGGCATATACCATGCATATAGAAACACACACTTTCTCTCTCTCTCTCTTCCCAAATTCATTCATCTTCTGAAATCAAATTAGAAGAGAAAACACTCATGCCTTCATTAATCCTAGCCTTAGGAAGATCAATGGCAACAGAAATGAGAGACTATGTGGACCCAGGATGGAAATTTCTGGCCTGGTCCACTGTCCACCCTGAATTGAAGACTCTTTGACTCCTAGGTTTCTATTATTTCAACTACACTTATGCTTCCTCTGAAAACTATTAGAATTCCAAGATTCCATAGTAATACAAACCTCATAGGAATTATCCTTGTCAATAAAGGAGAATAACAAATTTTAGTTAGTAATTTTGATATTTTAAAAGGTGGAAGCCACAGATAGTATCATTTTTGCATTTTGACCAATTGTAATTGTTAACAAAACACCTTCTTCTGTTTACTTTCAAAGTGTCTCAGTTTAGATGATAAACTATAGCATCACCCTAGCTGTGGATCATGATGTTTCCCTCCTAGAGTCATATTTTTATTATTTAAATGTAGACAATCTTTCTTGACCAAGTGATGTGTACATCAGACCTTATCCATTATTCTGTTGGTATCAGAGTGTAGCCCCCAACTTCCTGCCTCCCTGTCTCTCATGCCAGCCCCCAGTACCTCCTGGGTTCAGGGTTCAGTATTTAACTGGCCTCTCCCTCCACTCTGTCCACTCCTAGTCATTCAGTAAACACATAATTCTTTTCAAGATTCTGAAAGACTTTGTGGCAAGCAACTACAAAGGAATTGAAAAGGAGTTAACAAAATAAAAACTATGAATAAGTTTCAAAATGTGGTAGAAATCTTTAAACCTGTTACTTGACATTTTTAGTGAAATATGAACAATGCTAGATTTTCATTCTCACTAAAATAATACATTTAACATTTACTATGTCATAAGTGTGCTTCTGAGTTCCCTGTAAATGTTAATTTATTTAAATTATGGAACAGTCTTAAGGGGTTGGTACTATTATGTGCCATTTTAATTTTTACTTGACAAATGAAGAAACTAAAGCTCAGAGGTTAATTAATTTACCCACTAAAAACAAGTGTTGAAGGTGAGCTTTAAACTTGATAATCTGGCCCAGAAGTCTATGATCCTATCTATAACCCAGTAGTCTAAAGTGTAGTCCCTCCAGTATGGGAACATCAACATCACCTGGGAACCTGTTGCATCAGAAACTCTTCGGGAGGAACCCATCAGCAAACTATAGGTGGTGCTCATTCATGTTTGAGAAATGCACAGCTTTCAATTCTTTTTGTGTTTAAAAAAGTGATTAATACATCTGTAGTATTTATTTATGAGTGATCAAAAGTTACTTTAGAAAATTTGGAAAAATATATAAAAGTTTAAAACTGAAAATTGAACTGGTGGCCATTATGATGATTATAATTTTATAATTTGCTTGTATTTGCTTAATGTATTGTGAAAACCTTTTTAGGCATTGACAATTTTTTCTTAAATTTTTTATTTCTATAGGTTTTTGGGGAACAGGTAGTATTTGGTTACCTGAGTAAGTTCTTCAGTGGTGATTTGTGAGATTTTGGTGCACCCATTACCTGAGCAGTATACACTGACCTCAATTTGTAGCCTTTTACTCCTCACCCCCTTCCCACACTTTCCCCCCGAGTCCTCAAAGGCATTGACAATTTAAAAATATTATTGTAAATGATTCCCTGCATTTCCAACATGCAGATGTTTTATTTGTATGTGGGATTTATTGGTTTTTTAATGTTGTTGAGATTTTGTTTAATTGCAACGTAACTCATATACCATATTACATTGTCTCTATGCCCAAAAGAATCTGCAACTGGAGATCAGAAGAAAATTCACTTACATTTTCTTGTAATTACTTTATGCATTTGATCTTTATGTTTAATTCTTTAACCTCCATAGCATTTGTTTTATTGTGATATAAGATGTAGATCTAATTTTTAAAAACTAAAAAAAAAGTAATTACCCAAGTGTAATTAACTAATTCATTCCTTGTCATTCTTTAAAAAAGCCTAGCAAAATAACTGGGTATGGTTTAGTAAATATTTGTTAAATAAATGAGTTTCATTAGACATCTCCAAATCTCAGAAATTCCCTGTTGTTTTAATGAAGGTTTCAGTTTCCTTACCCCCTTTTCTAATTTCGCAAATTCTGACGTGGAGCATCAGTTAATTGCCCTTGGGTCTGTAGATCTTTCACCTCATAGAGAAAATCCAGTTTGTTGCCCATACCCACACTTTATTGCCTAACACAGTGACTCTGATGGCCTGTCCTGTGAGGATTACTCCTTCCCTAACAGAATCTCAGTTGCATGTGAGCTTCACCTTGAGGGAAGACTGAAACTAATATCCATTTGGTGTTCTACAGTTTGTGCTTTCACAAGCATGGATCTCATCTTCACAGGGATATCCAGAGGTATTGGAGCAGATATTAATTAATACCACTTAGCACAGCGACTCCCATCACCACCACCACCATCATCATTGCCATTATCCTCAGAGCTAAGAGTGAGCATTTTGGTGCGACAATTTTTAATGCCATATGGTTTTACGTGTTCTCCCTGTAATAGCTTGTCTAATTTGTATAAAAACTCAAGTTTTCATGGTGGCACAGAAGTGGAGGAAGTTGGCTAAACTCACTTAGCAAGGAAGGAGAAAACATCAGTATTTTGTAGATGTACAATCTAGTAAATGCTTATCACTAACTCTACAAAATATGTACTAAAATTCTTATTGAATTGATGTAATTTAACTTTATTTATAAGGCATATAGCATTCAGGGGGTTAATTAATTTGTCCAAGGACAAATGGCTAGCTGTTTTTTAAGAGAGCTGCAGCTAAACTCAGAGGTTCTGATTATAAAATTTTTAGCAACTTCAAAAAGGAAGTGGCCTATGGGAGAATAGCCCAGAGAGTCCACAGTTGAAACTAGGTTTCAGTCCTTCTACTGACATGCATTACCTTTTTTCCTTCAATTCATTCAAATTTTCTAAGCCTGTTTCTACAAGTATAAAATGGAGAGAATATTACTGTATTTCTAGGAGAAATTGTGAGACTAAAGTAAAATTTAAAGTGCCTAAAAATCTGCCTGGCAGACAATTGTGTCCCCGCATATCCCAATGAACAACATATTTTATTAAAACAGTAGATGTTTTGGGTGAGCTGACTTGTGGATCTCATGTGGGTACTGACATAGCAAGGAAAAAATTACTTTAGTGCATTTATTATTCATCCTCTACCCTCATCGAGTGATAGAGATTTGTAGAAAATCTAGTTCCAAATATTTCCTCCTATTCTTTGCTTCTGGAGTCTTCTGCTATAATTACAGTCCAAAACCAGTAACAGGAGAACTTCTGAAGGTATGGAAATCAAGCATTATTCTACCAGGAAATAATACTCTTCTGTCTGAAAGTTTCCAAATTTGTTCCTAAAAAGTCATCTCATTTTTATATCTCTTTTCCAGTATTCTCCAAAACCTCCCATCCTACCACCGCCTCCCTTTTGGTCTGTTGCAGAATTTTCTAGCTGCAGCAGCAACACATTTTGTCACCAATTTGAAATTAATATTTTTAAATGAACTGGCTGAACTGGAGTTAAAAAAATATATATTCTATTCATACTTCTGTCACCCTTACCCTATGCCTATCCCTGGAAGATTTCAGGCTAATGGTTTTTCCATGTCTTTTTGACCAGTGGGGTTTGGGGGCTCCAGTCTGCTAGTTATCATATTTTTAAGACTTTTAAAGAGTATTTTTAAGACAGACTTGAGGAAAGGAGTTAAATGAGGGGTTATTTCAAAATTGCTTTAAAGGTGATGATGCTGATTGGGAGGCTGAAAAATAATTCCTTATTTTTTAGTAAATTTTTTCCCTGCTTTAATTAATTTCCAGTATAGACATTACTTGACTCAAACTCTTTGGTCTTTAAGTTTGTATTCTTTAGGTAAGTGCTATTTAAAAACCAGGCAGCATCAGCAGCACCTGGGAGTGATTAGATATTCAAATTCTTGACCCTAATCTGCACCTCCCCAGCAGAGGTGGGGCTCAGGAATCAGTGATTTAAACCCTCATATTTCTTTTTATTTGTATAATATAGAAAATACAAATGCAGTTTTGTTACATGGATTTATTGTGTAGTGTTGAAATCTGCACTTTTACTATAACCATCCTAGAATAATGTTCATTGTACCCATTAAGTATTTTCTCATCTCTGACCCCTCTCCCACCCTTTCACCCTTCCAAATCTTAATATCTGTTATTCTATACTCTATGTCCGTGTGTACACATTGTTTAGCTCCCACTTATAAGTGAGAACATGCAGTATTTGACTTTGTTTTTTAATTGTTTCAATTAAGATAATGGCCTCCAGTTCCATCCATGTTGCTGCAAAAGGTAGGATTTTATTCTTTTTTTATCACTGAGTAGTATTCCGTGGTGTGTGAGGGCAAGAACCAAATCTGTTGTGCTTATTGTTTTGGCAGAGTAGATGTTCAATAAATATTTGTTTAATGAATGAACACCAAAGCAACATTTTATAAAATCCAGTCCTCTGTTGATGGACACTTAAACTGATGACATATCTTTGATATCGTGAAGAGTGTTGTGATAAACATACAAGTACAGGTAGCTCTTTGATATAATTTCTTAATGATTAGTTTGCAATAGGGTGAAGACTCAAAAAGCTTTCTACTTTCTAGGTTGGTGCCTACTGAGTTGAACTGCTCACGATTCTTCTCCCTAACCCTGTGTTTCTCCTCCCTTCTTTTGCTCCCTCACCATGAGACCTTTCCCGTGGCACCTTCCATGTCCTCTCTGTTATTGAGCTTCTGCTCGTGGTCTCTGACTCAATGAAGATGTCAGCTCATTCAGGAAGCATTTCTTGGGTCTCAGTCTTCCCCTCCACTCTACTGACCTGTCCCGCCCCATGCATTTAGCATCTTTTATAGTGCTTTGGGGTTCATTCATTAAACAAATATTTATCGAGCATCTGCTGTTCAATACAATAAGCCAAAACAATAAGCACAACAGATTTGGTTCTTGCCGCCATGGAGCTTTTATTTTATATGCTTGGGAAATGGAATTTCACTTATGTAACTTAACTCACTCTATGTCATCCTGTTGTCATTATTCTTGCCCGTTTTATGTCTTCCACCATATCAAAAGCTCCATGAGATCATCGTACTCTTTCCTCCAGCCTCCCATCTCTGGCACCTGACCTACTGTTTGCACATGGTAGTTGTGTAATATATTTTAGACCCACAGAGGCTCCTCTACATTGTAACTAAACTGACCTCTGACATTGATTACTATGTGCCGCCTTCTAGTCTTTGGCCTTTGGGCTTCCATGGTGATCCATTCAGCATGACCTACCCCTCTTCTCAGCTGTTCTAGGCATTCCTGTCCTTCAAGAATCCATTCCCATTTATCTTCTTTATCCACAAAGCCTTTTCAGATTATTTTGACACATGCTGATCTCTTTCCACACTCTAGTCTGTATATTGCTTTGTATTATTCTGGAACTATTCAGTGACACATGTTTGTTAGGTTCATATTATACTAGGCATCATCCCTCTGCTGAGTTTTAAGCTGCCTGAGGACAAAAAATGAAAATGGAACTTGTTTAGTACTTAGTAAGAGTGTTGTCTGTAAGTGCTGAATAAATCTGGGTGAGGAAATGCACAGTAATGCACACACTAGTGACTCACTAAAACTCCATCTTTGACACTTTTAGAGACCATGGCTCACGTGTCCTGTCCGTTGCTCAGAGTGAGTTACTGGTCTTCTATCAATACGGAGAATAATCCTCAAAAAGATAGACCACTGTATGCTCACCGAGGTTTTCTATTCTGGGCACCCAGAACCTTTACTTTTTATCTATTCATAATATTGATATCTATTTATAATATCAAGATTGTTTTTTTCCTTAGAATTTTAGGAAGCTGAAAATGCTTTTTGACTATGTCGAATGAACAAAATAATGCTGTTCTTGCATCTATGACACAGGTATTATCGTTGCCTGTATTCTTCAGAGAAAGCTATATATTATGTATTGATTATAAAATATACTTCAAACAAATGAAGATAAACTTAACTATTATTTCTGACGGTAATCTGCATTTTCCTCAGTAAAAAACTACAGATTGTCTCTGAATTACAATGGGACAACTTACAATTTTTTAACTTCACAATGTTGTGAAAATGATACGCCTTCCATAGAAACCATAATTTGAGTACCCATACACCTATTCTGTTTCTCACTTGCAGTGCAGTATTCAAGAAATTAGATAAGATATTCAATACTTATAAAACAGGATTTTTGTTGGATGATTTTGTCCAATGATAGGCTAAAGTAAGTGCTCTGAGCACCTTTAAAGTAGACTAGGTTAAGTTATGATATTTGGTAGGTTAGGTATAATTTTCAACTTACGATATTTTTGATTTAGGATGAGTTTATTGGGGTATAACCCTATCATAAATCGAGGAGCATCTATAATAATAATCTTTTTTTTTTTTTTTTTTTGAGACACAGTTTTGCTCTTGTTTCCCGGGCTGGAATGCAATGGTGCAATCTCAGTTCACTGCAACCTCTGCCTCCTGATTTCAAGCAATTCTCCTGCCTCAACCTCCCAAGTAGCTGGGATTACAGGCATGCACCACCATGCTCGGCTAATTTTGTATTGTTAGTAGAGATAGTGTTTCTCCATGTTGGTTAGGCTGGTCTTGAACTCCCAACCTCAGGTGATCCGCCTGCCTCAGCCTCCCAAAGTGCTGGAATTACAGGCATGAGCCACTGCACCTGGCCCTATAGTAATAACCTTTTATAAGAGTTGACTGGGTGGCAAGTGAACACTTCATCTAATTAGCACATCATTAGGCATGATTTTAAGCTCTTTATATATATTAAGACATTGAGTCTTTACAATGGTCCAAAGTGGTGGGCATTGTTATCCCAGTTTTATAAATGAGGAAACAGAGGCGCAGAGAAGTTAGATGACTTGCCCAAGGTCACAGAGCAGTAGGTGGTTGAGCTAAGATTCCAACCTTAGAAGAATTGCTCTACAGTTTTATTCCCTTTATATTCTTAAACAATATGCTGTGTTTATCTCTTGTTCTTCTATATTCCAGTCTGTATGTCCCAGAGGGTCTTGGTCCTGCTATGATGCTGTCCTCTGATTACTGCATACAGGGCGTTTTTAGTTTGAACTTGTTGCTGAATGTTTCTAGCTTTATCATGTCATGGTTATGTGCTTTCAGTCTTTCTAGTGGTTGATTTCTCAAATTCATGTTGTTCTGCACAGTGTGATATTGGGAGAAGAAATTTCAGGTTCCTTTCAAGGGAAAGCCTTGAAAGGAGGGAGGTAAATTTAAAGTAGATCTTTCTTTTCTGAAGCCCCTAACACTTCCTCTGAAGTCCCTTTCTTCATTCCCATGCCTAGGCAATAAGCAATACTTTAGCTCCTTTGTTTAATTAAAAGCTTGTATGTGTTACTTCTTCCTATAGGGGAAGCTTTGTATGAATAAGGCAGTACCATACATATCCACTTCAGAATGCAGTGCTCAGTTCCTGGCACACAGTAACCAATTAATATATATTTGATGAATTAGTATATGAATCAATATTGTGAATCACAAGTGAACCATACGATTTATTAATTCTTTAGAATATCAGTGAGTTTGTACACGTGTATGTGTGCAGAAAAGAAAATTCTAATATCTATTTTTATTTTTATTTTTATTTTTTTGAGACAGAGTCTCACTCTGTCACCCAGGCTGGAGTGCAGTGGCACAATCTCAGCTCACTGCCATCTCCACCTCCCAGGTTCAAGCCATTCTCCTGCCTCAGCCTCCTGAGTGGCTGGAACTACAGGCACATGCCACCATGCCCAGCTATTTTTTTGTATTTTTAGTAGGGACAGGGTTTCACCATGTTAGCCAGGATGGTCTCAATCTCCTGACCTCGTCATCCACCCACCTCAGCCTCCCAAAGTGCTGGGATTACAGGCGTGAGCCACCGTGCCCGGCCTAATATCTATTATTAACAAATTTTACCAAGCACCTGAGCATGCATGATAGTATCCTAGTTACACCCCAAAGTTAGGAAAAAAGACACGGTAGTAGCTTTTTTTGAATTCCTTATGATTTAAAGCACGAAAACAGTGTTGCTGATGAATTTGCACAAGACATGCTGAGAAAGAAGGACATTACATAGAAAAATAAGTGGGTATTACCTACTACTGTTCTGTGAGCCACAGGTATTTATTGTCCAAATGGATTTATGTGAAAGGTTTCTAATGGAAAGATAACAGACTTACGGTCTCTTCAGATAGAGGCATTAGTATTCTGATCCAAGAGCTTCAGGAGGCATTAGTTTACTTTGAATATTTTTATATCTTTTTACTACTGGGGCCTTCAGTATTGGAACAAATTGATGTCTAGAGTCCAAAAAAAGTTGTTTAGTGTGTGATAGTGGAAAATTAACTAATGCATTTGTCCTGCAGGCTTCTAGCTTTTACAGTTGTGCAAAATCAGTAGAATACCCACAGCCTCTTTTTTGAATGCCCAATATCTTCACTGGAAAGTAGGGAAATCTAATTACTGACCTCAAATGAATGGCATAAGGATTAATTTACATTTTCATATTTGAATTTCTGTTCCTGTCTCCAGTAGCATTTTCTAGGACCGAGAATAGTGAATGATCATCCCAGAATTCCAGAGTTATTTTTTTAGCCATGACCAGTGAGACCATCTGTGCACTATCTCCATCAAAATGGAGATTTAAGATTTATGAAGCAAAGGTGTTGTACTGTGAGGGTCTTGAAAAATGGGTGTGCTAAAAAGGAAATCCAAGGACATAGTTAACTTGGAAGTCTGTAGCATTGAGTCTGAAAGTTCAAATTTCTGGCAACCCCTGGTCACGTCAATCTAAATGATTATTATTTGAGGCAGGTAGTAGGGCTACATTGACCACAGAGTCTTAAAAGCAGTAAGAGATCAGCAAATCCAATAATAGAATAATTTTGTTTCCTTCACATTTAGTTTTAAATTTGTATCCTGGGAACAGGGAAAAGAGAAGAGAAAGTCCTCTGGCATTTTCTCAGTTAATTTCTTCTCTAATTGCTGTTTGGCCTAGTTCTTTTTTTGTCTGTGTTCACTCCTTGCAGGCCTCTTGGCTGCTTTTGCATCTCAAGGGGGTAGCATATTCAGGACTCTACTTTCAAACATGTGTTTCTAAAAGGCAGAGTAAGACATCTGCCACCCACCCACTCTCCTGCCTACCAGGACATTCCTCATCTTCCTTTAGCTGGAGTATAAAATTAACCTCCTGCCCACACTCAGTGAAAGGGGCTGGATTTATTTTTTCTAAGCTGCCTTTTTCTTTCCTCTCCCCTACCCCCTGCTATTTCTCCTAATGGTAGAAAAATATAGAATCAGAGACAGATGAAGGTATAAAAGAAAAATATTAATACAAGACTTGTTTCCTTTTAATCGCATGGCAAATTCAGTTACCCATTATACTTTGATCTTGGAGTCCTGGTTTTGTGATCTAACGTGTAATCTACCAACCTGACAGACTTTCCCTCTTTTGCCTCAGTGACTTCATGTTATATGGAACAGGAGTGGAATGGGAAAGATAACACTCTTGATAGTTGCAATAAGGGTTCTCAAACCTCTTTAGCTGGGGGAGGGGGAAGTTCCAGGTCTTAGAAAGCATGACACACAGGAACATACCAGAAGAGAACCATCCAGTAGAGGTATTTTTTTCACCTCATGCAGAGATGCAGGAGTTACTAGTGAAGGGAATCAGAATGAATATGCCATCTACAAAATGTCACTTTGATATAAAAGGGAATAGATGAAAAGGAAACACAGGAAGAGCTGCTCACCCCTTCCCACTTGCCTAAAAACCAGGCATAAATTTCCCTTTGTGAAGGTTTCCTCCTCCTCTTTCCTGTATCAGGAGGAGAACAACCCTCATCAGCAGAGACAAGAAAGTAGGTTCTGAGATGAGTCTGCATAAAGAAATATTATTAAAAAATTCTAATCTTCTATTAGTTTTCCCATATATATACCTTCCCACAGTTTACTTGTCCCTACAAGCCCACACTCTTTTTCCTTTGTTTAATTCCTTCCCCACAATTTATTGCCCTTTGTTAAAATGGTATATTTCTTTTCTGTGTAGCCCCCGTACCCATAAAAATTTAAAACACCAATGAAATTTGTATGCCTTTTTCCTGTTAATCTGTCTTTTGTCAGTTTTATTAACAGACCTAATTCACAGAACCTGAGGGTAAAGGAAAAAATTTTCCTATCTACCGTACACGGGTGAGGAATTGTCATATGGCAACTTCCCTTTCCTGACTCAGGCACAGTTCTCTAGAAGTCATTTAGAAGTCAAATGAAATTTATCCCTTGTTATGGATTTTATTCTTTTAATCAACACACATTTGTTGAGCACCTTCATAATAAGGCTTACTTCTTTTACTTATGTAGTTGACAATCTAGTAGATGGAAATTCTTAGGGTCTATAGAGACTTATAGGTTTACTCCAGTAAAAATTACTATACAAACAGAAGATATCGTGTCATCCATCAACCTGTCTGTCATCTGTCTTTCTATCTGCTTATAGAATGCTGTGTTTGGACATAAAGTGACCCAATTTTATAAAGTACTAATAAATGTTTGACCTTCCTGATCATAAAGTTATTCTATAAAATAAAGTTTTATAGCTAGGAATGGATACTTTTTTTTTTTTTTTGAGACTGAGTGTCATTCTGTCACCCAGGGTGGGGTACAGTGGTGAAATCTCGGCTCACTGCAGCCTCCGCCTCTTCAGTCCAAGTGATTCTCATGCCTCAGCCTCCCAAGTAGCTGGGATTACAGGCAAACAACACCACGCCTGGCTAACTTCTGTATTCTTAGTAGAGACGGGGTTTTGCCATATTGGCCAGGTTGGTCTTGAACTCCTGATCTCAGGTGATCCGTCCACCTCCGCCTCCCAAAGTGCTGGGATTACAGGCATGAACCACCACACCAGGCCAAAGGTAGGAATGGATATTCTAATATCTTGTTGTATTCATCTCTTTTTATGCTGCTGATAAAAACATACCTGAGACTGGGTAATCTATTAAAAAAAAAAACAAAAAAAAACAAAGAGCTGTAATGGACTCACCATTCCATGTGGCTGAGGAGGCCTCACAATCATGGCAGAAGGCAAAAGGCACATCTTACATGGTGGTAGGCAAGAGAGAATAAGAACCAAGTGAAAGGCGACCATCAGATCTCATGAGACTTACTCACTACCACAAGAACAATATGGGGAAAACTACCCCAGGATTCAATTATGTCCTGCTGGGGCCCTCCCACAACACATGAGAATTATGGGAGCTATAATTCAAGATGAGATTTGGGTAGGGACACAGCCAAACCATATCCCTTGTAAAAAGTGCAGGGTGGCAGTTTTGAAACAAATATACAAAACAAACAGATGTATAGGGATTCTACTTCCTAGCAGTTAAGTTAGACCTACTTGGCCTGCCTAATTCAGATAATTTTTAAGGAGGAGAATCCATTTATTAAAAGAGGTAAATGCATTTCTGATTCTCTGGAAAGAGTTTCATTAGAACATTACCTGGCATTATAATTTAATGGCATTTCTGATTCTTCCTCTAATATTTCCAATCCGGATTACTAAACCATTGTTCTCTTTTGGCTAGTGGTTGTCAAATTTGAATGTGTGTTAAAATCACCTGGAGGGCTTGTTAAAACACAGATTGCTGGCTCCTACCCCCAGAATTTCTGATAGGTTAGGAATGGAGCTAAGATTTTACATTTCTGGGTGATGCTGATGCTGCTGATTAAGGTACCACACTTTGAGATCCACTGCTGAAGGTCACAACAAGCCCCAATTATAAGTTTGGATACAATTAGCTCCTTTTTGTGGATGCCTGAGCAGTTTAGCATTCATTTGCAGATTTTCACTTCTACCTAACATTGGGCTCCATGACCTTAAAGCATTGCGAGAACTGAGGGGTAGGGATCTCCCAGAAATATTTGATTTCAGTGTGACTTGTCAAAGCGTCACTTTGCCTAAAAGTACAAACGTATTAGGTGAGTCAAGATCCACTTGACCATAATGGACAATTGGAGAAGTTATTGATGTAATTGACCTCATCTGTCAGCATATTTGTTAGAAGTCAAGAGTTGTTAAATCTAATAGTGCCTCACTGCATTACATGGGAATCTGGGCCTTAACGCTGCATTCCTTAGTGAAGTTCTTTGGCTTGTTAGGAAAGGGCAATAGTAAACATGCATTATACGATGGATATTGGACTGTTTTTGGAGGAGTTACAAGATCACATGCACTAAACATGCATCTCCCTTTTAACTTAGCAGCTGTAATCTATATGATGCATGAAATGCCTCTACCTATGTTACTTGTGGTGCATTTTCTCGAGGTTTTGAGTTTTCACTCAAATTTATTGTATGTCCTTGAGCAAGTTTCTTATTGCCTCCAACTTGACTTCATTTTCCTTCTCTGTTAAAGGGATAATAATACCTGCCGTTAATTAGGGTTGATTTGAAAATGAAATCAAATAGCCTGTAAAATGACTGGTATATAATAGACACTTAATTCTTCTCTTTCTTTTTTTATGTCATTTGCTTAACATTAAAACAAAATAAAATTTAATTGACATTTCCTGATTTCAAACATAATTGGAAAGATTCTTTGGTGTCATGATGTTTCAAAGTTGTTTTCAAGTGTCAGACTAGAGGCTCTCCTAGTTTAAAGATGTAAACTTTAAATTTTGATTCCTTACCCTGTATCATGCTTTCTGCTCCATCTCAACAGAATGACAATGACCAGGGTCTAACTGTCTACAACTACCACAAATTCTTATACCATTTATCATTCTTAAGGTAGCAAGTTTGAAGGTGTGTTATGGTTATGATAGGTACTGATAACTTACCAAGTTCCACTGTGATAAAACCAAGTGTTTACCTTGTCATGAATCATTCAAGCTGTTTGGAATATGTTCTTGTCTTTGATGTGGGTGCTACCTGGAGGCAGAAATATGGAGAATGGTTCTAATTGGGTGAGTTGGGGAAGTATTTGAATTGTGCCCTAATGCCCCAAATCTATAAGAAAGGGACATGACTGAGGGAAGTTCTCTGCTGCTTTGTAAGTTTCCAAGACACTTATTTACTGAGTCCCTTGGGAACCCAATGGGAAGCATCTGCTCGAGGACACTAGATCTTACTTTCCCTCATGTTCCCAGTGGTTATCCCAATGTCCACACAGTAAGGGCTCAATGGTTATTTTTTAATAAAAGAGCTTATTAAAATAGCACAGTGGTCTTGGAATTTCTACACAATCCCAAATGATCCAAGAATCTCATGAAAGGCTGGCAAACAATTTTTTCGAAGACCTCTTCAAAGTTGAGGTAAAGCATGTAACATCCTATAGAGACCAAGGCCTTGTGGAGTTTATTAGTTGATCAGCTCTGTAGTGGACTGAGAGTCTATCCTTATGGTGATTACTGGAGAGCACTGCTGCCTGCTCTGCACCATAGTAACATGGTTGCTGAAGAATCCTCGCTCTTTCGGAACAGAATGTTAGAGCAGGACCTTAGAGGTTGCCCAGGGCAAGCTCCTCATTGTAGAGAGGAGGGAATTCACTTCCCTCATAGGCAGACTGTTTTCTGGCACAGAAATGCCTCCCAGTACCTTTCCCTACCTTGTAATGAACCCAATCATAAGTTCTTTAATTTAGTACAAATAATCATTAGGACAGGCTCTACAGAGGGGACTGTTAATGGTGGTTCTTGACCCTGACAGTTGCTTGTTGCTGAGGCTCACCATGACTGGTAGTTGCAATAGTGCTCCCATTTCCTGAGGCCACTAGCACTGACTTGTTGGCCATGAGATTCCGTCCCTTTTCCCTTCAACAAAGAATCTTTAATTAATAGCATCTAAAGGAAAGCAAGAGAAAAGAAAGCCCTCACTCTTGCCACTAAGGAAAACAAAGAAGCTGATTAAAAATAATGAGACACTTCTAGCTGGATGAAAAGAGGTGTGCCGAGAGCACAGCCCAGGGATACTGGAAGTGGTTGGTACACATTCAGGGCCAGAGAGGTGCTCCGAGTGGATATCAATGAAACAAAAACCATGCAAGTAACCTTTTTAAGGCCATTGTGCCTTATGCAAGCCTCAGATTTTACTGGGTTTTCCTGTTGTTTCTTATTATCAAAATTTCTACACAATCCAAAATGATCCAAGAATCTCATGAAAGGCTGGTAAACAATTTTCTTCGAAGACGTCTTGAAATTGGCAATAAAGCATGGAGCATCCTATAAAGACCAAGACATTGTGGGGTTTATGAGTTGATCAGCTCTGTAGTGGATGCAGTGGCATTTTAATTATCTAAGTATAAAAACAACTTTTCTCCTCTCTGTTTTTTGTGCCTCCTTTATTTCTCCCTTGACCTCCACTCCCACACATGTATGGGGAAGACATTTCAGAATGTCCATGAGCTGGTTGGTTATCTCCATTGAAGTCATTGATTGATGTATTTTTCTTTTTCCTGGCTCTTTTGTGGTATGAGGGGAAGAAGGGGATTACTGGACAGGCTAATTGATCTGACTGCATAAATAATTCTGGCTCCTTAAGGATTAACACCATTTGTTTCCTTAGGGCAGGCAAAAGACTTTTGCATTTACTCATTTGGGGTGGCTTGGTCAGTTAGGTGAGGGTGGAGAATTTCAGGCAGCCATCCCAAACCTGTAACTGGAAATGATATTGTTGCCAATAACAAGGAAAAGCAGGCTAATAACATTTCAATTTTAAAATTTTTGGCCCCATTTTTCTTTCATGGTGAAATGTTATTGAAGTATAACTGCTTGTTGAACACACATTAATCCTGGAATTGGTGTTGAATCCAATCACACATAGCTGAATTTGCTGGGCAGGCTGCACAAGCCTTTTGACATTTGAGGCCAAGTGTTCAAATCACAAAGCTGAAGGTCATGGCATGTATTAGACAGGGAAGAATTAAGAAGATTCATAGCCTCTGCAATTTCTAGCACATTCTTTATAAACCTGTCACCATCACCAATGCATTATTCATCAGATTAGGTGAAGGAAATGTTTGTTTGTTTTTAAATCATACTTCATTATGGAGGATGGTGGAGTCAACTTGTATTGTCAAATGGGAAAGCATCTTATTTCAAACTTGGGCCCTTTCTGTTTCACTAATGAGCCTTGTGTTTTGATTTCTAACATATTGTCGCATATATTTTTAGCTTGATTTTATGCCATTGGACAATCCTATAACTGAAAAACATTTGCATGAACATGGCTCATTAGGTATTTTTAGACCTGCTGTGGCCTTTAGACAAGTGTAACTAAACTGGAGGGGTCTAACCTTGCCGGATTCGGCTCCACGATTCATCATCACTGAAAGTGACTAGAGCAATTAGTGAGTGTCAGCCAGCCCACCTGAGCAAAAGAGCCAGTCTCTAAATGATTTGGAAGTTTGGAGTGAAGGGAAACAATAAGCTTACTTTTACATACGCAAACTCCAAATGTACCAACTTGAATGATCACTTTCTATTTACTCCCAGAAAAATTAAAGGCCTCTTAACTGGGCAGTGTGATGCCAGATATTAGCTCTGCTGCTTGCTTGCTGAGAATGGGGGTAGGGGGGCAGCATTCAGTGTTCAAAACATTCCTGAGGCTTGCTTTCCCTAGAAGAGGTTATAATCTCCCCAGGGAGGCTTTCTTGACAGCTTGAGAGACAGCAGAGTGGAGCCAACTCAGGAATCCTCATGGAAATGTAGGTTAGAACAAACTGCACATCAGGAAATATTCCAGATGCTGCAACATAAAATGTAAAGCCTGAACTTGTTAACTGGAAATTACACCAGGACCACAAAACCTCTGAAATACACATGGCTTCATCAAATTATTCGAAATCCCCTGGGTAAGGTAAAGTTTAAACCAAGGAAATGCAATAGCTACAGTGCTAAACCACAATGCCAATTAATTTTTATTCATTGATTTTTGAAAGCATGTTTTATTTATCACTCCTACATCTTTTACTCCTTTTGTTTAGAGCATGATGCAGAGTTCTTTAAAGATCTGCAAGCTGCTTGAAGCCTTTGCACGCATGTTGGAGACAATTTTCCTTATCTATCTCTATCTGGCTGGTTTTTTTGTTTGTTTGTTTGTTTTGTTTTTCTTCCTTGCTGTGTTCTGGGCATATGCCCTTCAGGCTAATTTCAATCACCCTGACCTTCAGCACATTTAGAAAGCTCATTTGTCCTCACCATCAGCAACAGTGAATTACTCTATTTATGTTTTTCTAACTTCCTCCATCCAGTGGTCTATTTGGAAAACAAAACAGGGCATGTGATCAGGGCGATTCTCCTTATTGAACAGAGCTTTTACCTTTTTGTTATTTCATGTTTGCATTTAGGCAAATGAAGAAGATTTCATTGTTCTAGGGATTGTTGTACTTGACACTATGTTTTGAGTATAAAATCTGGTGGCTCTGTGGACATAAACTCCTAAAGGAAGGCTCCAATATTGCTGATGCGGGATGTTAGCTACCTGGGTAGTTAGCAGAAAGTTACAGAGCTCATAGTCTTTCCCAGGAACGGTGATGGGTGAGTTGGTTAGGGAACGGACATTTGATGAAGTTTATTTGTTGAAAAGTTCATATCCATTGTTTCTGTTGATGAGCTGGGGGCCTTTTTATGCTTGAACTCCCTATCTGGCTTTATATCTTACGTGTCTACATTGCTTATGTTCGGAATCTCTTACTTCTATGCTACACGCGTGTGAAAAAAGGAATACTCAGGTTGCACTTGGAAAGGGTCCATGATCAGAAGTAAAGTGGAGCTGTGTTTGGTGGTGGAGAGCCCATTCATCACCTGGAGAGGGTGAAAAAAATCCAATATACAGGATCATTAATGGATCCCATAACACATAATAATAGCAATTCCATTCCAGCTGGAGAAGATGTGCATCTATCCCACCCTTTGAATATTGTTCATACATACCTTTTAGCATTGTAGGAGGGAACAATAACAGAAAATTGTTAAAAGCACATCTTGTGGGAATGCAGTTTATAAACACCACTTCATTTGCGCTCACAGCACCCCAGTGAGCCACTGCTGGGGACTCTGCTTCTCCAGGACAGGGCAGGTGACAGTAAGGAGAGGGCAGATAACAGTGCTTGGGAAATAACTTGCTTAAGATCATAACTGTGGATCTGTGATAAGAATTGAAATTAGACCTGGTTGCCATATATAAAAGACTGAAAATATGACCAACATTGAATAAACTATAATAACAAACTGCTTAGCAGTTCAGGCACAACCTTCAGATGTTTAGAACTGGAAGGGGTTTTAGAGGTTCTTCAGTTCAGGCCTTTCCTAATAGATGAGGAAACTGACACCCTGGAAAGTTTCATGGTATCTGTGAGCTTTTTGGTGTCCTTAAAACTTGCTCTAGTGCTTAGAAAAGATTATTTAAGGGTTATTTTCATTTTGAATATTAGTATTCAATTTATTAAAATTACAAATTCAAAAACCCAGTTTTCTCTCAAGCCCTTAAATTCAATTTACAAATCTAATTATTCTTTTACTAAATCTAGCAAATTTAGCAATCTCTTTTAAAGGTTTTTTTTTAACAACCTAGTTAATTAAATTGCTCAAATATTTTAAACTGCACTTATAAATTTAATATATTCTATTTTCTCTTTAACTACTAAAATTGTCTAACAAATAGACTTACCCACGTGCTTAAATAACACTCGTCAATCTCATAATTTATAAATATGGTAGATCTTAATTCTTCTGTGTGTTACAATATTATTTAAGAATTTAGAAAAATTCTCACTGCTACCAACTTGAAATTAGTTTTAAAGGTTATTATGCATCATTTTAAACTTGAATCATAGAGATGATATCTTAGATACTCTGCTGAATTCTCTTTAAACAGCACTAATGGTATAATTACAATACCAGTGATCATCAAAATATTCTTAACTCTAACAATAATAATATTATGGGACTAATTTACTTCATTATTTCTGTACTTTATTCTAAATTTCCCTGGGATTAAATAACATTTTCACCTGATAGGAGAAAAAAGAAAGTCATATCAAGGAAAATGGGATCTCTTTCCCAGCATGGGTGAGTTATGGACCCAAAGGAGTAAGAGCAAATTACTTCGTTCTTGCCAAAGTCACTGCCCTATTGATGGGTGTAATCAAAGACTCCAGAATTTATAAGGGGGGTTGGTCTCATATCTCCATCCCCCAATTTAAGTTAAGACAGCAACTGAGTTTCTTGATCTCTCCTTACAAAGGTATAACCATCTCGGGCACATAGCTAAAAGTAGATTGTTTTTCATGTTGTTTTCTTAAGACATGGGATCTTCTCTGGAACACCACACTCTTATGTAATCCTTCCCATCCCTCTTTGGATTGGATAGAGGCTGAGTCTGTATTCTTGACAAGTGTTTCCTTTCTGGCAGGACTATAACGTGCATAGTTATTAGAAGCATTTCCAATTGGATTTGTGTCTGTTGCAGCCTTGGATGGGTTCCCACAAACTAAAATCATGTCCCATCCCTGCCCACAGAGCACACCCTCTCCTCTCTGCCTAGTGCTGTATCCCAGTATCTGTTCCCTTTACTGGTGTAGCTATCAGACTTTTGAAAAATTAGTTACGAGAGAGATAAGACAAACAGAAGCATTTATGCAAATTTGAAGTCTCTAGAGCTAATATGGAAATACGACAGTTTTAAACAGTCTGTTATTGACCACTTTTTCAAACTGGGTAGGGATTACGTTGTGAAAGGCAGTACCTGCCAAGGTTTTTCTGAAGCCAGGCTACCTGAGTTTGCCCCTTCCGCTCCACTTCTTAGTGCTATGTGATCTTACAGAAGTCAATGATACCTGTTTCATCTAAAATGATAAGACTTGCTTTATAATACTATTGTTTGAATTAAATCCACTAGAATGCAAGCTTCATAAAGACATTTTTGAACAAAGCAAGACCCTATCTCTATCAAAAAAAAAAAAAAAAAGCTAGCCAGGTGTGGTGGCACACACCTGCCGTCCCAGCTACTTGAGAGGCTGAGGTATTCGGATCACTTGAACCCAAGAGTTGGAAGCTGCAGTGAGCTCTGATTGTGACACTGCACTGCACTCCAGCCTGGGCAACAGAGCAATAACCTGTCTCAGAAAAAAAAAAAAAAATGACAACAATTTTGTCTGTTTGGTTATTGCTACATTCACAGCATGTAGAGTAGTGCCTGGATATTATATATACTCTGAAACCATTTGCTTTTTTAGCTAAATGTAAAGTGCTTAAAAAGTGGGCGGTAGAAAATGTGCAATAAAAGTTGGTTTTCTATTATGCTTTGGTGACAACCTGCCCATAGTAACTTGCAGATTTCTAATCTTATACAGGTACTTATGTATTAGAAAACAGTCGGCCAGGCGCAGTAGCTCACGCCTGTAATCCCAGCACTTTGGGAGGCCAAGGTGAGTGGATCACCTGAGGTCAGGAGTTCGAGACCAGCCTGGCCAACATGGCGAAACCCCATCTCTACTAAAAGCACAAAAATTAGCCGGGTATGGTGGTAGGTACCTGTAATCCTAGTTACTCAGGAGGCTGAAACAGGAGAATAGCTTGAACCTGGGAGGCGGAGGTTGCTGTGAGCCAAGATTGCGCAACTGCATTCCAGCCTGGGCGACAAGAGTGAGACTCCCTCTCAAAGAATAATAATAATAATAAAAAAGAAAACAGTTGACTAATGATTCTCTTGCCAATAGTTTCAAACCTGTGTACTTATTTGCTATATGTGGTATTATCATCACCTGGAGAAGAACCTTGAGAAAGCTGAATTACACCAACACTTGAGTGCCCAGGTTATTTGTAATTTTCTGGGATTGTAAGTCATCTTTGCTGACTGCTCAGCCTATGTGCAGCTTTCATTTTTCACTAGTTTTTCTTTTTTCTTTCCTTAAGCTTTCTTGTTCCTAATCTTGATTCTCTCTTAGCCTTTTTCCTCTGTTTCCTTTTTTTCTTCAACTTTTAAATGGGAGGCAATCTTTGAAGGTCAATTCTAACCTGCTTATTTTTATATTTCATCTAGCCTTTCTGGCCCATTTTATTGACTCATGTAGCTTTAAGTAAATCTACTTTTATCCCTAACCCTGGCCATCTCCCAAGTCATGGGCTACTGTGTTCCCACACATAACAGCATAACATTTTTTTCACACATTTGAAATATGAGTGATTTTGAAATCCTCTTCTTCCCCCTCCAGAAACCTGATAACATTCAGAGCCTTCTCTGTTCTGCCTTTACAGTGATTTTCATGTCTGCCACTTCCTTCATGCAATCCCCATATGAGTTCTGGCACTTATCTGTCACCACCTGGATAGTGATGGTTTTCTACTTGGTTTCCCACCTTGGGTAGATATCTCCTCCAGTCTACCATACATATCACTGCCAGGATTATATTCTTTATGACAAGGTCAAATAATATTTCTTGGCTGGGCGCGGTGGCTCATGCCTGTAATCCTAACACTTTGGGAGGCAGAGCTGGGCAGATTGTTTGAGTCCTGGGGTTCCAGACCAGCATGGGCAACGTGGCAAAACACTGTCTATGCAAAAAGTACAAAAAATTAGCCAGTTGTGGTGGCATGCACCTGTAGTCCCAGCTACTTGGAAGGCTGAGGTGGGAAGACCACATGTGCCTGGCATGTCAAGGCACAGTGAGCCAAGATTATGCCCCTGCACTCCAGCCTGGGCAACAGAGCAAGACCCAACCTCAAAAGAATATTGTATGCTCAAAAGCCACATAAGTCTCAATCACAGTAAGCCAAGGCACAGTGAGCCCAGATTATGCCCCTGCACTCCAGCCTGGGCAACAGAGCAAGACCCAACCTCAAAAAAATATTGTATGCTCAAAAGCCACATAAGTCTCAATCCTTTTCTTTTCAGTTGTATCCCTCCTTATATCCTTTTCATGTGTCTTTGTTTCTTTATGTGAAACTCAATCTACTCATCATTCTCTTAATATTGTCTTCTTCCACTGTTATAAGCAGAATAATGGTCTCCCAGAGATATCCTAATCCCTGAAACCTGTGAATATGTTAGGTTAGATGGACTTGAAGTTGCTACTCAGCTGACCTTAAAATAGGAAGAGGATCTGGATTTCTCAGGTGGGCCCAGTGCAATCCCAGGGGTCCTTAAAAGTGAAAGAGGAAAGCAGAGGAGAGGAGTTAGAGGGGGATGTTATCGTAGAAGACAATGCAGAGAACTCCATCCACCATTGCTCATTTTGAAGGTGGAGGAAGGGACCATGAGCCAAGGTGTGTGGGCAGCTTCTAGAACCTGGAAAAGGCAAGGAAATAGGGTTATTTTCCTATAGTATCCAAAAAGGAACACAGGCTGCTGACAACTGATTTTGCCCAGTGATGCCTGTATTAGACTTTTAACCTTCAGAACTATAAGATGACGAATTTGTGTTGTAAGGCACCAAGCTTGTAGTAGATGATTTGTTACAGCAGCAGGATGAAACTGATACTCCTACCTTCATGCTTTTTCCTCATGCTGATCATAATGTTGGGAATAATCTTCCTCTTCACAAGGAGTTACCGAAGTCTAATAAAGATGTCAAGGTCCAGTACTAATATCACCTGCTCCAAGACTTCCCAGATTCTTACAGTCAGAATTCATCTCTCACTGTCTCTTGAACATAACTAAAACCTTATGTTCTGTATCAGCACTTTTTTTCTTATTAGATACCTGTGTATGCATGTGTGTGCCTAACCTTGGATTTGAGTGTCCAGGAAGTAGGATTTATATATAATTTGTCTTTGCATCCTTCTGCATTATCTAATTCATAAAACTTTACATTCAAGCCAGTGCTTTTTTAATCAGATTGTAAAAATGCAACACATTGGAAATGGTACTGAGCTTTAGAGTCCTAAATGCCCACAAGATGGTGTTATTTCCTTAAAAAAGTCATTTCTATTATCCCATGAGACTATTTCTCATGGACGCCATTCAAAAATGGAAATTCAATTTTTAGTTGAAAATGAGAAAAGTTTGGATTTCAACAGTCCTGTATTTGCCATCATAATTTACAGATTTTTTCATATTTTATGTAATGAGAATTTCATTGATCATATAAAAAGAGAGGTTGGTATTCACATATATTGAAATAAAAACAATCTCTGCCTCATAGGACTTTTCTAGACAGCACAACTGCATGCTCCCAAGTGCAGTATAGGCCAATGGTGGATTGTGTTTCTTTGAGCATGGTTGTATTACGTAGCATATTTTTGGAATTTCTTTCTGCAAGAAGTGAGGAGAAAATGGGAAAATTGTACCACTTGCTGCAACTTAATTTTACTTTTTCTTGGAATAAAAATGATTAAAGTCTAGGATGCTGTCTCCTAGAGACTCTTTGACAAGGGGTGAAATTCCAGGTCATGGAAATAACTATAAAATTAGTGGGTGAAAACATTTGTGATACCTTGTGACGCTTTCTCAGACAAGCAGGTTTTGAGTGTGTAAGTTCAGAAATTCGTACTCCCTCACAGTTTTTTCTTAAGACGAATTCCTTAAAACATGCCCATAACTCAAGTGCCAGTTGTCTTTGAGCACTGGATGGATAGTTTGTAATTTCTAATGTCCTTTCCTGAGAACCCAGCTGAGGTTACCTGTTCTTTCCTCAATGCTGAATTCATCATGGAACTGTGCTCTGGGAAGATGAGGAAGTGGGAAGTGTGTGGACACACCAAATTAGCTGGTTTCAAAGTGGGAGTGGATTGACAGCTTGAAAGCAGAAATTAAGCTATGAAGGCAGGGTAGAAGATAATTTAGATTCAGCTGCAGTACATGAGGTTTTTGGATTCATCCTCTTAGATATGCAGCATTAATGTTCAAACTAATCCAGAACCTTTATATTTGAAACCTTCCATGCCATAATGAAACTATGACAGGCAAAAAAAAAAAAAAAAAAAGAAGAAAAAATCAGACTTGTTTGAGTAACCTATCAATAACTGTCTCCAAATATTTAAAGAACTTTCAGATAGTGAAGGGAGAAGATGTGTTCTCATCCAGTATCTATTTTAGGGCAAAACTAGGACCTTTGGGCAGATGTTGGGGTAGGGTGGAGGGAATAGAACTCATTCAAGATTACCAAGCACTATCTTCCAACAAGAGCTGTGTAATCATGGAGTGTGTTTCTGATAACGAAAAGCTTTCGCCAAATGGCTAGATGATCACTTTTTAGTGGGAGATTGTTTGAGAAGTAGTATTAGATCACCAATGACCAATGTGATATTTTTTCCTACCAAATCTAAAATTCTGTGATCTTATCAAAAGGATATATAAACAATCCTTTTATGAATTCTTTAAGATTCTCTCAAAGAAATTGAGAAATGTGTCAACTTTTTCCGTAAGGATAACACAAAGTTTAAAATTATTAAAGCAGATATTTACCTGCTTTTACTATGAATTAGATAAATTTCTCAATGTCAAAACCAAGATGGCATTCAGAATGTAATAGTTGAAACTAACTTAGCCCGGTAATGTGTTGGTCGTTTAGGGATTGCCCTATATTAGAGTAATGAATAACTATTGAGAGCATGTGCACGTGAAGACACAGATAAACAGGGATAGGCAAGTACTTTTGACCACTCCCAAGGACAGAGATCACTAGCTCTCTTTTACCACTTTATAGGATTCTCTGTTTGCCTGCACTCTTTGAGAAAATCAAAATCATCCTTCACTTTGGGTAAAATAATGCATTGTTGTAAAAGTTCGATTTCAGTGCTGATTTTTCCTATAAAGGAGAAATTAGTTGTCAAATGTGGACATTCAGTTCCCAGCTATCTATTGTATGAGTTGAAATGAGTTGTCAAATTTGAATATTCAGTGCCTAGCTATCTCAAATATAGAAAGCCGTGATTTCCCTAAGTTGGTAGTGTTATTGTCTGTGTCCTCTGTCTCCTTGAGTTATTACATTCATGTTTAAACGTGGAGGACAGAATTCTCTATTTTTTAAAGTTATGTCACAACTTGGAATGGTTTCCAGCACTAACTACTTTATCACCTGGCCAGCTGCAGCAAATTGCTCTGGGACATTTAATCTTGAAAAGTGATTGCAGTCACATTTTGCCATCATTCCTGAATAGCAATACATGGTGTCATTGAAAACACCTCCTGGCAAAGAAGGTGTGATTTCCACGGGACAATGCTGATGACTTTTTAATTAAGATTCTTGTCTTCAGCCTGCTGCCTTACCAGGTGAGTTAGAAGAAAACTGAGGGTGTGGGAGTGCTTGGGAAACAAGAGAGCCCTTGCTAATTGGAGTTAGAAATAGGAGAAAAGTGGCCAGCAAAGCCTCTGCAGAGAGAAAATAAATATTCGTGCCATGTGGAGGTGGGAGTTGGAGAGGGTGGTAGCTGATATGAAATAATCTATTATTGCACCTTCCTCACTAACAGGACTCTTGTGATATAACAGGAGGCATCAACCTATTCTCATCAAAGAGAATGCAAGTTTTATGAACGGCATTCATTTATCAGACCTGTGTAGGTAAAAACTTCTCCTTATCAGGAGGAAGTATACTTATTAGTTAATACTCGAAGTCAAATACATAGATTTAAGCTTAGACAGCCCATTTATGTTCTATGAGTCTCATTTCCTTCATTTTAAAGTGGGGGTAATAATTTGCCTAATAGCATTGCCTTGCCAAGTTAAAGTAAATGGAATAATGCATGAAAGCTCTTAGCCTAGTATTCTTCATATGGGGAGTAATCAGTAAATAGAAGTAAATAGTATCTTCAGATCCAAA
This sequence comes from Homo sapiens, assembly GCF_000001405.40. NCBI lineage: Eukaryota > Metazoa > Chordata > Mammalia > Primates > Hominidae > Homo > Homo sapiens. The sequence goes on from NC_000008.11 coordinate 35,469,430, forward strand.
GCTAAAGAGCCCATAGATTACCAAAAACATTGTCATCATTTACTGGGACAGCCCATATTGAGTGTCTATGTTTGTGGGGAAAGGGACCGTATAGCCTTGATTTAATAACTTTCTTTGCTTTGGAATACTCACTTAATATACTCTCTGTGCTTTAATTTATTTACCTTTCCAGAGCACGATAATACCAACTGCTCAATTACTTTGCAGAGAAGTAAAAAAGGTAGAGATTATAAATCTATGTAATATTTCCATTTGACTAAAGAAGGGCATTTAAGGAAAACTACAACACATTTCCCCAGAAAGACCTGAATGACGAATATGAGGTTTTCAGCTCAAAATCAGGTCTCATGACTTCATTATTGGATTTGCACCTAACATAGATCATAATTTTTGTATCTTATGAGAGGAACAAATATCAAAATATGATACAGCTTTAGGTATATGTTAGAGGCCCTTTCTTGGTTGTACGGGAATGAAGGAAAGGACACTGGAACTTCTTGCCCTTCTTCAATGTATGCTACATAATTATTAAGCCACTCCTCACCTTTTGAGTACAATTGATGAAGGATGTTGTAAACATAGTGCTGGACAAATCACTGGTCTCAATACATACTTTTTAATTTTGATTTTGAATGACTTTCCAGCTGAATATTAAGTAGAATTATGAACAAACATTCAGCCAGGAGCTAAGAACACAAAGTAAATAAATACAACTAGTAATTGAGGAGACAAATGTATATTTAAATAATTACAGTTCATTTAGGCAGGTACTAATGTAGGTCTGTGTGAAATGGCTTGTAAGCACCTCAGGATGGTGTTGGGGACATTAGAGAAAGACTCCTCTTTTAAATATGGTTTTGAGGCCATAACATAAAATCTTAGGTAATTTATTCATTAACATAACAAACATTTATTGCGTCTCTTCTGCAGGTCATGACACCTTGTTGACCTAGGGGAATTGGCCATGGATCCTGATATTGAGATTATGGTCTAGCAGGGGAAGGAAGATGTACACATGTGTACTTAGTGCAAAGAATGAGCATAGGCCAGGTGTGCTGACTCACGCCTGTAATCTCAGCACTTTGGGAGGCTGAGGTGGGATGATCACCTGAGTCTAAGAGATTGAGACTAGCTTGGGTAACATGGTGAAACCCTATCTCTACAAAAAATGCAAAAAAAAAAAAAAAAAAAATTACCTAGGCATGGTGGTACATGCCTTTAGGCCCATACTTGGGAGGTTGAGGTGGGAGGATCACTTGAGCCCAGGAGATTGAGGCTGCAGTGAGCTGAGATCACACCACTGCACTCCAGCCTGGGCAACAGAGCAAGACTTTCTCAAAATAAATAAATAAATAAATAAATAAATAAATAAATAAATAAATAAAATAAAAAGAATGAGCAGAGTTGGTATGGCACTGACTTGTGAAGCACAGCTTAGCAGCATTGGGTGAGAACACCACCTCCAAGGCCTTACATTTGTATTGTGTGTTTGTCACTTAGGCATTGCATCAACTGTTTGGGGTTGAGTTCCCATTTTGTAACTATAAAAACTAACTCAAAGAGATTTAATTATTAGTCTTAACTTCACACAGCAAGTTATTAGAGATCTCAGCACTCAAACCTGACTTCTCAGTTCTAGTACCCCGGGGCCAGTTCCTCCATCACTGCTGTCTGTTCAACCCCTCCCCTCAATACCGAGCTGTTGCTTGAGAAGGAATATTCTGTGACCTTGTTCTGCAGCTAAAGATGACAGAAACTGTTTAGCCACTAACAACCTTTTCATCTCACATTTATTTCAAGCCCCTAAGATCCAAGTAGTAACTATACCAGGAGATTCCTTGAGCAAATGAATATCACTATTGACTTACTTATGTCACAGAAGGTTTGATTAAAATATTTCACAGGAATAGAGAATTGAGGAATTAGGCAGTGTGCATCCTCCTCTCAGCAAATAGAAGACACTGCATGAAGCTAGCAATACTTTAACAAAGCATTCAGTGAGGTTTTTTTAATAATTAAAGTGAATTATAACACCTTGTAAACCAACGTATAATATTGGAGAAAATAAATGAAAGATTTTTTTCTGTATTAACTCAAGTTCCCCAGTGGACCTTAAAGAAATTAATACCAAAAGAAAAATAGCAAAAGCATCTAAATTTTGCTATAGTGGATTCTATTGCTTTACACCTTTCTCTTGTTAGCTTTTCCTTGTGTTTTTTCTTTGTTTTTCCTCCTTCATGGTTAAGAAAAATAATATTCTAAGATCTAGCAAAGCTATTGTGATGCAGTAGACCACAACCATTTCTTTGTTTCCTTTAATGAATTACACAAACGCATACTGGTAAAGACATCTTTTGCCTGGTGGCTATTATAGAATGTGATGTTTGGTGAGTGTTTAAAGATCCATTGAGTTATTAAAAGAGGAAGCTGCCATTACACTGAGATATATTGATGCCTTATTGTGGTTTATTGCCAACCATGCAATGACTAAATAAATTAAACAAAACAAAATAAGCAGATATCTCAGTGTTTTCTTTGTGAATCAGTACTAGACAGGTAAAACTTAAATTTTCTTAGTTCCTATCTTTAAGAAGTTAAGATGACAAGAACAAACTGAAAGGGACACAGACTACAAGTATATAATATTTAAATGAAGTTGCTACTTATGTAGAAATGAAAGATCAAATCTATTGTAAGAAGGCAAAAGAATCTTGATTTGTATATTTAGAAAAGGAGATCTCATCAGAAGAACACTTATTATTCCCATAGGTAGGAAAACTGTCATGGTGAAGCAGAGTTGTGTAGGGGATGTGGGCATAGGTGGGGAACCTCTACTCACAAGAGGAGAAGGTTTGGTGAGCATCAGTTTAGGAGAATAGGCCACAATAATGGTGTGATGAGTGACTTCTGGAGAAGTGAGTGGGTTGACAGGATGAGTAGAAACTTGATAAGTGGTCTTAACCTGAGATGAATGTTGGAGTGGGAGGAAGGTACAAAAAAAAAGCCTATTCAGAAAAACACTGAGAAAAATGTGAGGCTTTTGATCTTGATGCTGAGTGCCCTGGTAAGCAACCAGGTGAACTATAACCTTGTGTTTTTAGGGGAAATCAAGACTGACAAGAATGATAGCACACTTATCAGAAGGGATATGGGAAATAGAGACCATTCTGGGGGCAAAAAAATAAAATAGTGCATGACATTTCTATCACCATAAAGCCCCAAGGAAAATTAAAGCGAGAAAATACTCTTTGTTCAGAAACCCTGAACGGAGAATCCTGTTGAAGCTCAAAAGAGGAAAAGTGAGTTACTTAAAACCATAGAAGTATTTAGTTGCCAGGATGAATAAAGAATGCAAGCTTCTCACCTTGGACATTGCCATATGTTACTTGGCCTCACATGAAGGGTAGTGAGTAGAGAGTGGGAAAGAATGATAGATGGAAAATAAAGATCCCGGGATGAAAGCGTTTCATCCAAATGTTGGATTTTCCACAGGTGGTCAATGACACCAGGTGGGAGTAACAAAAATAAGTTACAAAGGCACACCAGAGTTGGTCTTATTGGGCTGTCTGAGCAGTAAACTAAGTAAAATAGAATGTGAAAATAATATTCAAGTTGCCAATTGTAGAGTGTAATGTTTCTTTAAATGTGATTACACTGAAAATAGATAACAAAACTTCCAAGAAGCAAATGAGCCAATGACCTCAATTACAAGGGAAGATGCCAACCTCAGTTGACAATGCAGGAGAAATGAGAGATGGTGTAGTATTTGGAAACAGGTCTAGGGAAGTCATCTGGGGATGTCCCAGAGGATGGGGAGGGGAGAATATCAGCACTGAAGAAAAGAGACAGTTAAAAAAGGCTATTGCAAATTAGCGAACTCAGATTTACTCTAGAAGATAAGTTCCATGAGGACAGGAATTTTTGTAAGCTTTATTCACTGCCATATCCACAGCTTTAAGAATAGTGGCTGGCACGTGGTATGCATCCAATAAGTATTTGGTAGGTGGAATGGTGAGCAAATCCCTCACACACTTTTTTCTCATCCACTGCACATTAATTGACACCCATTATTAAAAGATACATTCTTAATATATTTTTTATGTTGAAAGAATTCACTTTACAAGCTCGAGTCCCCTGCAGCTCCAAGAATTATGTGAAGCACATCTAATCATTCACCTTGTTAAGTCAGTGTTCTCAACTGAGGGAACTGAATGGCAGAAGGTTGAAACCACCAGGATGATTACATTATTATATTCCATTTGTTTTGAGGCATTAAGTAAAAATCTAACATATGTGGACACAATTAACAATATAACAGTGATATTTTTGGCTATTTATGGGGTGTGTGTAGATGTGTGTGTCTTTGTGTTGCTATAACAGAATATGTGAGCCTGGCTAATGTATTGACAGAAATGTGTTAATTTATTAACAGAAATTTGTTGGCTCTGAGTTCAAGGGGTTGGCATCTGGTGAGGGCCTTTTTTGCTGTGTCCTCCCATGGCAGAAGGGCAAAGAAAGCAAGAGGACAAGAGGAGGCTGAACTCATAAGGAACCCACTCCTGGAATAACAGCATTAATCTGTTCATGAGGACGGTGCCTTCATGACCCCAACACCTCCCATTAAGTTTACCTCCCAACACCACTGAATTGGAGATCAAGTTTCTAATACAGGACCTTTGGAGGACACATTCACACCATAGCAGTGTGCACATGCACTATAGGATGTTATATCCAGATGTACATCCATGCAATGTGTTCATTAGAGATATTACCAATTGTAATTTTCCCCTTTATATTCTACTCACAGTTTTCCTAGTTGTTTACCACAGTTCTTAACCATGTCTATTTTCTGATCCTTCATATATGCAAAGACAAAAGAATTGTTCCTTTTTGTTTGATACTGTTTTTGTTTTTAATGATTTTCCAACTTATGTAGTTACCTCAGCAGAACATCAGAAGATAATACTTTCTACCACCCAAAATAGAGATAGCGACTGTTGAGAGGTGGACTGTAGAAATATGAGAAAAAGACCATTTGAGATACGATGTATATGATATACATATAATATTATATGTAAGTTATAATTGCTATCGTAGTTGAGTTTGAACACTTTAAATATTCCATAAACTTCTCTATTTTTACTGGCCTATCCTGCAATAAGGGTGAAGCTGTGGGGCTTTCTCTGCCTCAGCAACCTTGGAGGCCCCCTGTGGCGATTGGCACCATCACAGCCTGGCGGGATTGGGGATCCCTGAGTTCTGGATGGAGAGGGTCCCCCTTGACCTGCTTAGAACTGTATGTGAGCAGGAAATAACCTCTCATTGCATGAGGCCATTGAGATTTCATTGGTTGTTGCAGTAGCTAAGATAATAAATTCCCTTGACTAATAAAACTTTCTATAAGGCTTTAGTGAACTGATCCACTTCACAGTGGTGGAAAGGAGGCTCAGCAGAGGAGTGAATCATGCACATCCCCTTAGGTGGGGCATTGGTAATCTGAGTGTCAGTAGGTGAGTGAGGTCATTCATTATGTAAATCACTTAGATCCTGGGAGGGTACATTGTGAAAAGGAAATGGGGGTTGATTTCAGTGGTTCTCTCTGGATGGGTCTCAGAGGCTTTATCTGGGCCTTCAGTATTTAGGAGAATAGCAGTAAATACTCAGGGATAAGGGAAAGAGTGTCTCTGTTTTGTTTTACTTGCTTTGTTTTTCCTTGAACTTGGAGAAAAGTATTAAAGGAGTAGGAGGTGAATTTGGGAGTCCAGACTTGGTACTATCAGTATCAGTCAAATTGAGGGGACCCCAATGAGACAGAGGGATAAAGGCCGAAGGAGAGCCAGGTCTGTGTCTGCTGAATATCCATTTTTCTCCACATTCTGTCCATTTTTGTTAGGCATGCCTACACAGTAGCCAAGTGGAGGCCCAGAAGGGGACCTAAAAACAGCCACCACGGCCACCCAGAGCCTTGCCACCTGCTTGCCTGTTGCTGGCTCTGTCTGGGGACTTGAACTTTGGGCTTCTCTGTTCTTGTGTACTTGATGTGTGTCAACTCCCACCTTCTACAGTCCTCAGGCTTATCTTGTGCCTGTAGTCTTTCCCAGGGATTTCCCAAAGGAACCCAACTATAGCTGTTTTTGCCAGTACTGGCTCCTCTCAATGGGCTTGTGGGAAGAGAATGGGGTGGGAGGTACATGTCAACACCTTTTTCCAGAATTACCCATCCTGAAAACCGTCTGTCTGCTTTGCATTGTGTTTTAACAAAGGGGTGGGGACAAATTGGTTTGGATCCAAATTTTTTGTTTTGAGTTTAAAAACAATTGCAGCATAGATTCATCCTATCAAGACTTTACTTATGACCATAATGACCCATCCCTTTTACTGTTCTGTGCATCTGTGGGAAGTTTGCCACCCGTGTTAAACTCAGAGTAGAATCATTTTTTTTCTACTATGGAACATCTGTGAATCACCAGCTGGCAGATGCTAGTGCCATCATTTTCAACTAATGCTTACTGAGTGCCCACTAGGCTCTTGGTCTGAAATAAACAGTGAAGTTACTAGATTGAAAGCCTTTTGAGGACAGTGTTTTTGTCATCAGTGACTCTATCGTATATTGCACACAAAAAGATCTCAATTAACAACATCTCTCGCTCTGGATTTAAGGCAGTTGTGCTATGTGCAAGCTGGAATAATTCTCTTTGGCTCAGGATTGTTTACTGTCTTCTGCTGTTGGGTTAGGGCCATTATTTCTGCAGTTGCCTTTTAAGAAATGAGCCTTCAGATGACTCTACTGCAAACAAAAGTCTGGGAACTGAGTTAGGCAATGGGCCTTCACAAGTACACTGGAATAGGCAAAATACCACTCCCAACACCCGAGTTATAATCCTGGCTATGCTGTGAGGTCAACTAGACACTTCCCCTCTTTGAGTATTAGTCCATTCATCTAGCTATAAAGATGTATGAAAATTCTTACAAAGTTTTCTTCTGACTCTAATATTTGATGAATCTCTTTCACAGCATTTTCCCAGGGAAGTATTTTATGGTATTGTATATGATACGCCAATAAGGACAAAGGAGATGTGTATCTTTTGTGATTTAGAACATGAACACTCTCTGGCCAACACTCTGAACCTTACCTCCAGGGTCAGAGCAGTAGCGTCTGCTGTTCTCACCACTGCCAATGACAAGTGTCTTCCCTTCGTTTATTTCAGAGCTAAGTTTTCCTCCTTTATCTCGTACCCTGCCTTCTGAAAGGCTACTGTCCTAGATTAGTCTCCAGTGACATTTCAGACCTCTCCTGAAAATTAAGGCAGCTTACCATCTATGGCAGTTCAATCCTGTTTATTTTTCTTCTCAAAGCTCAGGCTGGAAAATAAATGAAGGATTTTGCATACATATTTTTTTCCATTTCTTTCAAGCTTCACAGCCCAGGGCTTGGACGTTGTACTGTGATGCTTTGATCACCAATTCTAACATTAATATTGATTTCCATTCTGCTTCCCCCAGCCTTCTTTGCTCCTAGACTTAGGTTCTTCTCTCTGCATCTTATTCCTTCTGTGATCATTATAGCAGTGCATTCATTTGAATGTTTAGCATCATCTGTCCATTACATTTACCAGGCAGCCCCCTTGTAGGTCCTTCTGGTCTATCTGATGTGCTGTACTTGAAAAGATACTCCTTCTCATCTTCTTAGGTAATTTTCTTTGTGCTTTAAAGGTCATTTGCCTGCTTTCTGTGAGTCATTTCATTTAATTTTGAAATTATTCCATGGCCGAATTTTAACGTGTTCAAGCCTTAGAATGTAGCCCTTTTCTCTTTGATTAGTTTAAGAATTTCCTTTTCATTTCTCATAATAACTTCTAGTTTGAATAATGCTTCCATAAGGCTGAGACTCATAGTATTTTATTTTTCTCTTTTGTCTTTTTTTTTTGTTTGGTCTTTCTTATTCATTACATGTCATTTGGATATTTACTGGCATAGTTTTAAAATCAGCATCACATCATTGAAAATCAACCTCTGGTTTCTTTTTTCACAGAATGATTTTTATGATGCTCACTATTTGAAGATGCAACTGCTGATTATGCTAATTTTTGTAAGAAAGAATTATTCTTGAATTAGTATGTGGAGAAAATTTGCATGAATCCATGCACAGGCTATTCTGACACCCAATCAAAGACAATCATGTGTGGCTACTAAGTAACATGGAAAGGAAAAAAAAATGTTTACAAAAATCAACTGAAACGTCAAAATTCATCTAGAGTCTCGTGGCCCCTGAACTTAAGATCGCATTTTTATTCTGTGATTTTTACCAAATAGCCACTAGTTAACACTCAGTGGTAATATTTGATACATAGCGCAACTTATAAAAAAAATATGTAGAATGTCATGAATGCTTGCTGGTGATCACAACAAACAAAAGAAATGACCACTCTTATTGAGTTTCTATTTATATTTTTTTCTCAAAGCTACTGGTTAAATAGGAAGATAATCTTTAGGCATTATTATTGGTAAATAAAAGTAAATAGAATGGATTTTGAATCCCATGCTAGGGAGCTGATATCACTAATGGAGATGAAGAGAAAGCCTTATATTAATCAATAATTTCATTTTAAGCAAAGAATTGTGTGCAGATTCATAATTCATGCACTGACCAATTCTCTTCCTTCCCATTGTCATTAGATATTGACAGATCTTAATATTCAGAATCTCTATTCCAAAATTAGATAAAACTTCAGATTAATCAACACAGATGGGTTTACCTCTTCAAAAATTTTTTGAATTTTTATTTAGAGTATTCCACAATTTGAAAAAATAATATGTGAGCCCACATCAGAAAGTCAACACAGTGGTTTTAAATATTGATGATGACATTGTTCTTTCAGGTTGGTAACTAAGCAACCTTTAAACTTGATGTCAAAAGTTCCATAGGCTAGATGCACACATATGAAAAGACTTTTTCCTTCAGCAGCTTATAGAAAAAATGACTTTTCTTCATAAAAAGGTTGTGACATTGTACATTAATATCCTAGATGAAAACATATAAGCAAATTTAGCTTTACATATCTATTCTCACTAGGACTCTTACTTCAAAATGCTGTGCTTCCCCAGCCCTTGCTGACTTGGTGCTAAAGTTATTTATTCCTATGAGAACAAAATTTCAACCATAAGACCATGCTTTACTTAAAGAAATATAGCTGTCTCATAAGGAGAAATCAGCATTGAGTCCTGATCTTTAATTTGGGTTTTATTTTAAATGCTTTTCAATATCAGTCTGAAACTGATGGTATTGAAATGTGTTAATAACATTAAACATTCTATGCTTTTTGATCAAGTGTGAGGTATCTGAGGAAGCAAAAAGTCAAGTACAACATTCTTTAACCTGCTTTTAATTAGATCATTAGGGATTTTAGGCTCTATTAGTTGAATTACACTGCAGCTCCTAATTCTTAGCTATTGAGTTTATTTAAATTACATTTCAAACTAGGCATTGTAGAAGAGGGTTTTAGAAAATTTTCTGAGTGAAATAAAGGGCAAGTCTTTGGAGAACATGATGTGTTTTTGGAATGAAAGACTTAGAGAAATTTTGTCTTTGGAGTTCAGAAATATCAACGTAGTTTACAGAAACATCTTCAGTACTGGATTGCAGCATTTTTCTTTTCTAACTGTTAAAAGTTTGCTCATACAGGCTTTGGAGAGCTTTATCCCTGCCATTTGGTGGTGTGGAAACACATAGAACAAGTGAGCCTACTATGTCTCAAGCCTGAGGCAGAAAGTTACACAGAATTTCTAATAAATCGTTAGCCATTAGGAGTCTTTGATTCCTTATGAAGGCAATTTTCTTCTGGTAGAGAAGGAAAACAAAGGAATCAGAAATCAAGATTCCTGATCTCCATATCTGATTAGTGAGACAAAAGTGTCAATCCCATGACTGTGGAGCCCTCTATTAACAAAATGTACTCTATATAAAGGTTTCTCAACTTAAAAATAGATTTGTCCCAGCAATCCCACTATTGTGTATATACCCAAAGGAAAATAGATTGTTTTACCAAAAGACATGTACACATGTATTCATCGCAGCACTGTTCACAATGGCAGCAGCATGGGATCAACCAAGATGCCCATCAACAGTAAACTGGATAAAGAAAATGTGGTGCATATACACCATGGAATAGTACACAGCCGTATAAAAGAATGACATCATGTTGTGTGCAACAACATGGATGTAGCTGGAGGCCATCATTTTAAGTGAACTAATATAGGAATAGAAAACAAAATACCATTTTTCCTCACTTATAAGTGAGAGCTAAATATTGAATACATATGGGAACAATAGACATGAGGGACTGCTTGGTCAGGGAAGGGAGAGAACATAGGTTGGAAGGCTACCTATCAGGTACCATGTTCACTACCTTGGTGATGGCATCATTTGTACACCAAGCCTCAGTGACACACAATTTAACCATATAACAAATCTGCACACATAGCCCCTGAACCTAAAATGAAAATAGTAAAAGAAAAGTGCTTTAAAATGTGGTGATCTAGCGCTCTGTTCTCTGGAATGCACCACTAATGGACTTACTTCTATTGTGTGTTTCCAATGGCAGTCCCTAACAGATCACTCTGAGTTATCAGTGAAGTGTCATAAATATATTCAAGATAATTTTAGTCTCCAGTATTTTACTGTGTTGTATTTCAGTAGCAAACTAGTAATTGAGATACATAATATTGAGCATATCACCTTTCTAGAACATAAATTCCCCTATATTTACTCTTAACAGTATATGGTTCCATTGCCAAACACTGTACCTCTAATGAAAAGAGAAGCTAAAGTCATAAACAGTAATATATGTATTGCCACTTAATACATAAATGAAAAGTCTGCTAACTTAAATTATAAACTAAACAAAACAACCATGATACAATCTGGTCTATCTTGAAGGAAGGCTTTGTTTTATTGTAAGAGTTGTCAGTGAGACTAAGAATTCACACTGGATTTTGAGGATTGTCTTGGTGTTAACATGACTTGGTCCTTTTTCCTTGGTGGAGCTCCTGAGGAGTCCTTATGAGTTTTCCTGGCAGAAAGAGAAGATGATATGTTTTTTCATTGTTCACTCCTACTTGTTATTGCAAAACAAAACAATAATCATTATTGAACAACTTTTTTTAATTGCTATATGTGAGAGTCTGTTCTATGTTTTTAGGATATATCTACAATAAGAATTTACAAAAGTTTATGTTCTTTTGAGGCTTACATTCTAGCAAGTATGGGATAGAAAAAACATAATAGCTAAGCAAATTATAGAGATGATAAGTGCTATGAGACAAACAAATCGGGCAAGATAAAGGAGATCAGGAATGGTTACTGTTCATATGGAATAATAACTCTAGACCCTTGGTCTGATTACCACAATGATAAAGTTTCCCTTCACTGAGATGAGGAAGAATTTGGTACAGTCTGTTTGGATGGAGGTGGAGGATAAGAAGTTCATTTCTGGATATGGATGGCTTAAGATGACAATTAGATCTCCAAGTGGAGAAATGCCAAGTGGAGGTGCAGAAGAGTGTCTAAACATCTGCAGTTTGTGAACTGAGAACCTGAGATGTTAACAGGTTCCAGCAAAGTGTCTCTGTGGCAAAATCTTTTAGTTGATTCTGTGGATGATATAATCTTGGTTGAAGCCAATTGACTTTATTTGCTTTCTAACACATAAAGCTGAGCACATATTTTATTGGACAAACATATCCTACCAGAAGAGGGGATTGACCTTTAACATTGAATAAAGTGCTGACTGCCCATCTGATGAGGCAGAGAATTTAGAGAGCAGAAGGCAGAGTTGTAATGTCATCCCTGTTCTTATCAGAGCTAAGGCAGCGTGTATTAGTGCAATATAAAATGACAAAGGTGGAGGTTGCAGTGAGCCATGATCATGCCACTGCACTCCAGCCTGGTGGCGGAGTAAGATCCTGTCTCAGAAAAGAAAGAAAAGAAAACAGAAAATGACCACAAAAAACTAAAATCAAAACAATCAAAACAGAAACCCCACCTTATAGAACAGACTTGTACCAGGTCTTCAGCCCCTACATGCTTAACACAACATTTCCATTGACTTTCTGTATTTTGTAGTATTGAACTTTAGAATAAATTCTCTAAATGCTTCCCTCGCTGTTACATCTTTGTCAACCTTTGAGTTCAGATGTAAAGTAGAGATTACTCTTAAAAGGTGTAAAATTGAAAAAGGGTTAAAACAAAAGACATTGAAGACTAAATCCTATCATCTTGTTAATTAATGGTTTCCATTAAAAAGTTACCTTGTTAGTATCCACATGCATATTTAATAACTGGATTTTGCAATGTGGATTGAGTTTTATATTCTCTATTTTTATTTAACTTTATAATATGCTGGAGTTTTCACTGGGTGGGTTTTTTGTTTGTTTTGGTGTTTAATATCCCACTCTCCAACACCCTCTGCTTTTCAAGATCACTAACAGCCTGATGATTTAGTTATCCAGACATTTATGTATGGCGGTGGGTATATATTAGAGAGTCAAAAAGATTCCCTGAAATTGCATGTGAAGTGTGAGAGAAATATATAGATAGATAGATGATAGATAGTGTGTACCTGGATATGTAATTTATATTCCTCTTTGAACTTTCTTGAAGTAGGGTCAAACTATATAAATTTCTTGTAGCTAGACTGAATAGCGAACATCTCTCCAGGTCTATGGATCAGAAGTAATCCTTTTAATACCCACATCATATTTCCTGTTATTAATTTACCATGATTTTCTAAATCGTTCCCTTATGGATGGATTTGTCCTTTTTCCTCCTGACTGTAATGCTCATAAAGCATTTTATGCAGTATCTGACACAAAGTAAGCACACAAAAAATGCTAGGTATTACTATTGATAAACTTGACTAAGTTGAAAAGCACTAGAGCCAAAATTTGGGCACATTTCTGTCTGTCTCCGAAGCCTACGTGCTGACATTGTTGTTCTAACTCTCCTCCTTCCTCTGCTCTGCCAGCTCCCTCTCTTCCTACTCCTCTTTTTCTAATTGTTTAAGTCACTTTGCCACACTTTCTAGTCACTTTGCCACAGTTGACGAACCACTGAAAATCCTCTTATATGGATCTGTGAATTGAAATCTATTGTCTAAATGAGGCCTGTTAATAATATTTCATTAATTTGACCAACATTTAAGTATTTACTTTGGTCTAGATTCAATAATAGGTTCTAGGAAACAGACACAGATGCTGACCTCATGAAACTTAGAGACTACAAATCAAATCAAATATTAAGAAATCTAAAAATGAATAATTTGCAAGGTAACTACAATTACTTATATCAGTGTGTCATTAAAGAGATCTTTTTTTTTTTTTTTTTTTTTTTTTTGAGATGAAGTCTTGCTCTCGTCCCCCAGGCTGGAGAGTGATAGCGCGATCTCAGCTCACTGCAACTTCTGCCTCCTGGATTCAAGCGATTCTCCTGCCGTGGCCCCCCGAGTAGCTGGGATTACAGGCGCCTGCCACCACGCCCGGCTAATTTTTGTATTTTTAGTAGAGAGGAGGTTTCACCATGTTGGCCAGGCTGGTCTAGAACTCTTGACTTCAGGTGCTCCACCTGCCTGGGCCTCCCAAAGTGCTGGGATTACAGGCGTGAGCCACTGCACCTGGCCCCATTTTTTTTTTAAGAGGTGCTGTTGTTCATTCTCACATGAATTAGAGAGACTCTGGGCATTGGGAGTTTTGAATCTTGGTGGACAGGCCTCCAAACCTCAGATTTATATGGTTACAGCACAGGGTGATACAGAATTTACTCTAAGCATTGTGGACAAATTAGATTCTGAAAAACTCTTCCTTCCTGGTTCACAGTGACATCTGAAATGAACTAGTGCTGTCTACTGATGGTGACCAAATTTTATGAATTTGCATATCTAACTTGCCATAAATAGTTCAGAATAGTTTATCTTTTTACCTTTGCAGTCACCAGCAGGAGGTGTGTGTGAGAGAGATCAGTCATGTTCTGTATATTTCATACATTGCTAGCAAGCAAGTCTTCCTGAAGCATACTATAGATTAGGTCATTCATTTTGGTGGCTTTAGTTAAGGAAATTTAGCTTGAAAGGCAAAAACTGATTTCAGGACATAGAACGTTTTAATGTGTTTGACCACTTCTACATAGTAGTATGGTTCTTTCTCCAAAACTGGACTCTCTACTAATGGAGCAACCCAAGAATTTGTATCTCTCAATTTATTATAACAGATAAGTGTCAAGGCACAAAGGAATTGAAGGGCTTTTTTCTACCCACCCCTAATCTCCATGGGGCCGAGAGGGTATTGATTTTAAAATACCATTTACAAGAGCAATGGTTGAATCAATATATTAACTCAGGATGAGTCTCAATAACAGATAAAAATGTTTTAATTATTTTTTTCTTTAGGCAGTCACTTAGGCTGCTTTTCTGACATTAGAAGCTTAGAATGTGGTTAACACAGGGCTGCTGGAATGAAGATTCTAAGCAGGAAATTTGTGCTGCATTCAAATGTGAGGAGATGAGGGGCTTCTGAACTGGCAGATCAATTGGCTGCCTCTAGAGACCTACTTTCAATTGACAACATAATCATATCTGGATGATGACCCTTAAGGGAAGGCTGAGGTCCCTTATCTCTGCCTGTAGTGAATTAAGCGTTATTTATATTCAATCACCAAGAAATCAATGCCAAGCTCCTTGTCCAAAGCCCATTAAGGGGGAAGAAGCAAAGAAAAAAATTAAGAAGGGAAAAGAGAAACAACAACAGTAGCCCCACATAACCTCTCTATTGTATTTTTGTCAGAACCTTTACTAAGCAGCCAAAGCCTAGAGTTGGCTATACTCACTGTCTAGGTTTCCACTGGGGCCAGCTGGGCAGCTACTCAAGCCAGAATCTTTAGTTATTCTCATTTTCTCTTTTGCTCACCCCACACCAATCTATCAGCATGTCTTATTATCCTCTAATATATCCCTATTTCCTTTATTATCTCCATGCCTAACCAGTCTCCTCGCTCCCACATGGCACCACTGAAGGCCATTATTTGCCTCATGTGAAAGTGATCTTCTTAGAAGGTAAATAGTGTCACACCACTCCTCTGCTAAGACCCTTCCATGGCTTCCCACTGACATGTTATGAAAATTGCAGATACCAGGAGGAAATACCAAGTAAAATAGGTATTTCACAGACCGAGACATAGCATGACTTGGGCAAAGGATCCTGGTGCTCTTTAAGACTCTCTTTGACTTAATATCATGGATCTTATTCCAACAATAAAATCTAAAATGAATTGAATGCATACTATCTGCGGCCGCTATACCAAGCACTTCATATCTCTTGCTTGATGCTTAGAATAACCCTTTGGAGATGGCATTGTTATCACCATCTTCAATGGAGGGACTTAGAATGAATGACAAAGTCTAGACAAATTATTCAATATTGATGTAACAAGCAGAGCCAAGATTCTAACCCAGGATTTCTAACTCCAGTTCTCAATATTTTAACACACTAATAAATATATTTGCCTTAAGTAAATAGCTTTCTTTTAAAAATTGTTTTATTTTTACTGAGGCAGAGATGTATGGTAGCAACACTCTAACTCACTAGCATAATACTTTATATAATTTCATTGGATCGCTCTCCCCTACAGTAGGAGGAACCCAAGAACTCAGGAGAGGCAAACCTTTAGAAGCAGAACACAAAGAAAGCAGGACAGGCAAGACAGTAGTTGGTGGCATAATTAAAGACCATGCCATCTACTTCAGTATTTGGCCTCAAGTTCATTCTGCTGCTGAAGACCATACCAGTAATAATTGTTCCTACATCTGCAGGACTCAGCTAATATTTGTTTCTAGAATACTGTCAGTATAACATCTCTGCGAGATGGGCAAGATGACTGGCATATATATCCCTTAAATGTATTCATATTTTCAGATTCCAGAATGTTAGGAAGAATCCTGGCTTATATCCTTAGTACGTGCTACATACGGAGTATCTCATTTAATCTCCATAACATTTTTAGATTGGTAATTATTATTCCATGATATGGTGGTGCAAACTGAAGCACAGACAAGTGTTATGTAATTTTAAATCCCAGAGGCTTTATGAATATCCAGTGTATTAATATACCTTGCTGCTTCGTGGCACAACTCGGCAAAATACCCGCGGTACCCCAGTAGCACAAGCAGTGTGAGGCAGTGAAAATAACATAGGTTTTGAAGTCAGACTCTGCTTGTCAATCCTGGTTCCCCCTTTTGCTAGCAGTGAGACCCTGAGCAAAGTGTTAATTTTCCTGAGGTTAATTTCTTGATCTATAAAATGGAGATGATTGGAACCTAAGATCTGTCATAAGAATCAAATGAAATAACATATGTAAAACCATGGTAGACCTAGGGGAGATGATCGAAGAATGTTTCTTCCAGATGGTCCCCATTGTTTGCACTAGTGTTGCAGGTATGAGTGGAACAGGAACTCCCAGGTTCTGGCCCCTCCTACAGATCACACCTTTGCTTTTCTGCAGCTTGCGGATCACATGGGGTCTAGCTGACTATTTCCTAATGCTTTAAATGTCACACTGCTTTTTTTTCTAGGCAGTAATTTACCTTTGACAGTTATGGATTATTATTCTGCTTTGATTCATATCAGGGTTCCCATATAAGGAGAGAGTGGCATATCAATGAGGAGTGCTGCTGTTTTAAATATGGGAAATATTTTCAGTAATTTCCTAATTAGCATGAGTAGATATAAATGCCATTTTGGGGGGCTTTGTGAGGAAAGCACGTTCTAATTCCTGTTATGCATACGTATGGCTAAATTCCCTTTGCAATAGTAATTCATCCAACACATGCTGTCTAATGGGATCCATCCTCTAAGCACATAATAAGGTGCCCAGAGTGATGGCATTAAGCTCAATGAAGTTCAATACTAATACCGATGCTGATGGAGAGGGGCCCAAGGAAGGGTTCAGTCTGAGCCTTTTCTTCTGAAAAATGTTAAAATGATCTTCGATCTTTTCTACTCCATAGGACACTTAGGAGGATTTGAACCTTTAAAAATTGAAACTTAGAGTCAAGTCATAATTTTTTAATTATTATTAACTAGGTTTTATTTTCATCCTTATGTCTGACTGGTTTGGTCCATGAGATCAAAGCCTGTGCTAGCCAGACTGTCTATGATTTGTCACGAGGGAACCAGGTAAGGAAATATGATTAAATAATATGTCTATCTTAACTAGGAAAAAATGCAAAGTGAGTACATGCTTCCCATGGATTAGGTATCATTATTGCCCATATGAAAAGTGTCACACATTTCTATTTTCATCCTAAGGAAAAGTTATTTGGAGTGGCTACTCCGTATATTAGTATTTTTGAAATAGAAGAAGCCTTTTCTTCTAATGCATCCTCTGAACCATTAAGGAAACCCAGGCTAGGAGATGAGAACTGGCTTTCCCAGGGTCATACAACTAACTGCATGTGAGATGGGATTCTCAGTTTTAAGGCTCCCAGGACAGGGCTCAGGCTAGACAGTGACAGAATCCCAGGCCATACTATCCAACCCCCCAGGTCACTAAGGCATAACTAAGATTTGCTAGATAATTTTTACTGAGCTCAAAGCCTAAGTAATTTTAGTCTGGTTACTCTACTTACGAGGAAAAAATCCTCAGTCTTTGGAACCTAACCATGGCTGCTGATCTTGTAATGAGTCACAGCATTCCTGATGAATGCCTCATGAAATTGAGATGATATTGCATGACGGTTAGTTCTTTGTGTCAATATGGCTGGTACTCAGGGCCCAGCTATTTGGTCTGACATTATTCTAGGTGTTTCTGTGAAGGTGTGGTTTTGGGTGAGATTAACATTTAAATCAGTGGACTCTGAGTACAGATTACCCCTCATAATATGAAAGGACCTCATCCAATCAGTTGGAACAAAAACTCACCTCCTTTGAGCAAGCAGGAATTCTGCCAGCTGACTTCCTCTGGACTCAGAGTGAAGCTCTTCCCTGGATCCCCAGCCTGCCTATCTTCCTTGCGATTTTAGACATATCTAGCCCTTCACAAGTACATGAGCCAATTCCTTAAAATCAATCTCTCTGTCTCTCTCTCTCTCTGTACACACACACACACACACACACACACACCCCACAGACTGTTAGTTTTAGTTCTCTGGAGAATCCTGCTCATACAGATTTTAGTACTAACAAGTGCAATGCTGCTATAACAAATACCTAAAAATGCGGAGTGGCTTTGGAACTGAGTGAGGGATATAGGTAGAAAGAGTTTTAAGACATGCTAGATAAAACCTGCATTGCCTTGAAGAGACTGTTGCTAGAAACGTGGACATAAAAGGAGCTTCTGATGACAACTTAGATGGAAATGAGGAACATCATAGTGGACGTGGGAGGACAGGTGATCCTTGTTGTTAAACGGCAAAGGACTTGATTGACTTGTTTTCTAGTGGTTTGTGGAAGGTACAATTTATGAGTGATATAAACTTAGATATTTGTTTGAAAAGATGTCCAAGAAAAGTATTTAAAGTGTGGTCTGGTTTCTCCTTACTGCTTACAAGTAAAATATGAAAGGAGAGAGATAAATGAGGAATTGATAAGCAAAAATCAGAACATGAAGATTTGGAAAATTCTCAGCCTATCTATATTGCAAAAAATTGAGAAAATGTGTACTGGAGAGCATACCAAAGGTGGTGCTGAGCAACCGTTTGCTAAAGAGATTGTGGGTGTAACCCATGGATACAATCAGCCATCTCAGCAGAGGACAGTAGAGATGCACTGTGCCAGCAGAAACACTGCTACCTGGGACTAAAGGTTACAGAGATGGGACAAAATGAAGGAAGACTGGTAGATTTCTTGGATTCTAAAGGATGGGACAATAGAGCTGTCCAGCTGTGAACATGGGTTATCTTTCAAGAAAAGGACAGAATGACCCAGAAGGTGATTTGGAAATCAGCAGGGGTGCCACTGCCAACATGAGCCTGGAGGTCACAAGTTTGGAAGTGGAGACTGTCTCCTTCTGGGCTTTAGCAGTCCGGGTTGCCTCTGAGGGCCTTGGGGACTGGGCTGCTTTCCAGTGTTGCAAGGGTAATGCTTCTAACTCAAGGGGCTGGAAGGCAGGGTTGCCACCTGGTGGCCCTGAGGATACAGCATTAAACCAAGGAGGGTGATCCTTAACATTGAATTGTGTTTTCTCTGCTGTGTTTCAGACTTGTTTTATATGATCATATTCTGCTTTCCTGTTTGGCTCTCATGAAATGAGAATGTCTGTCTTATGCATATCCTACCATTATATTTTGGAAGCAGATAACTTACCTGGTTTCACAGATTGGCGATGGGACAAGGATTTTGCCTTAGGATGAATCACACTTCAGTTCTCAACCACACTTGATTCAGATGATATTTAGAGATTTGACATTTGGAGTTGATGATGGAATGAGTTTGGGTTACTAAGTTGGAGATGAATGGATTTTGCATGTGACAAGAACTTGAGTTTGGGGGCGGGCCGTATAAGGCAGAGTATTATGGGCTGAATTATCTCCCCCCAATTTTTTTTTTTTTTTGAGAGGGAATCTCACTGTGTCACCTAGGCTGGAGTGCAGTGGCGTGATCTCTGCTCACTGCAGCCTCTGCCTTCCAGGTTCAAGCAATTCTCTTGCTTCAGCCTCCCAAGTAGCTGGGACTACAAGTCCGTGCTGCCACATCCCGGCTAATTGTTGTATTTTTGGTAGAGATGGGGTTTCACTATTTTAGCCAGGCTGGTCTTGAACCCCTGACCTCAGGTGATCCACCTGCCTCAGCCTCCCAAAGTGCTAGGATTACAAGTATGAGCCACTGTGCCTGGCCACCCAGAAAGTTCTAACACCCTAACACCCGGCCACCCCCAAATTCATATGTTGAAGTTCTAACACCCAGTGTCTCAGAATGTGATTGTGTTTTCAGACAGGGCATTTAAGAAGGTGATTAAGTTAACATGAGTCCATCAGGGTGGTTTTCCTTAATCTCTCCTTAATCTAATCTTACTGATGTCCTTATACGAATAGAAATTTGGACACAGAAACACTAGGGATGTGCAGACACAGAGGAAAAGCCAAGTGAGGACACGCAGGAAAAATAAATTTGCCAATACCTTGATCTTGGACTTTCAGCCTCCAGAACTGTGAGAAACTAAGTATCTGTTGTTTAAGCCACCCAGTCTGTGGTATCATGTTATGTCAGCCCTAGCAAACTAATACACTTGGCAGTTTTCCAATGATATTATTCTGAAATGTTGACTTATTAAGGAGCCCATTGTATTGGTGCTGTCTACTTCTACAAAACATGTAGCTTTGGTTTATTGCAAACGTTTAAACATTATAGCCTAGGGTATTCCATCTACTTTGAAATAATGAGACATGATCTGAGACAAGCCCATCAAAGATTTATGTTCAGTTATAATAACATTCAACTTTGGTAGATTTTGTGTTATTTATTTTTTGGTCGAAGATGATTTTGTAGATTCTATGCTTAGTAAATATCATCCACTAAAAAGAGAGAGATCACTATTCATATACAAATCTTGATTTTTATTTAAACATAATCCAGAGGAAAGGATACATTATGAAGATATTACGTTTGTTGTAATATTTTGTGAATAAAATTGTTGGTTGTTTTTTGTAACCAGGGATTTCCTTATTTAGCAATTTCCTTTCCTCTCTTTTGGTAATCACCAAAAACAAAAGTACAGAAATGTCTTCTTTTGGTGTATTAACAATTTTGGAGCGGGGCACTATGGCTCATGCCTGTAATCCCAGCACTTTGGGAGGCTGAGGTGGGAGGATTGCTTGAGGCCAGGAATTCGAGACCAGTCTGGGCAACATAGCAAGACCCCATCTCTACAACTTTTTTTAAAATTATCCATCTCTACAAAAATGTTTTTAAAAATTAGCCAGATGTACTGGTGCATGCTTGTAGTCTCAGCTACTTCAGAGGCTGATCACTTGAGCCCAGAAGTTCAAGCCTACAGCGAGCTGTGATTAAGCCACTGCACTCCAGCCTGGGTGACAGAGCAAGACCCTATCTCTTATAAAAAAAAAAATTAAAAAAGAATTTCGGGCCTTCATGGAAGAGAACTTTCAATATAGCTTTTATATATCAAACCTGAAATAAAGACCTGAAGGATCTTTGATGGTAATATATTTAAGCATACTATGTAATGCCTTAGATTGGTCTGTCAGGTACAGTAGACATGGATTAAATGTTTCTGGTGTTTCAGAGGCTTCATCTTAAACATTACTATTTTACAAGCCTCTGGAAGAGCCAGTACTGTCAGAAGCTACTAGAGGGTTTTGAGCTGTTTGTTATTTCATCAAATGGCTTCAGGTTGTCATCTAATTTGACCTATCAGGAATAGTTTTTTAATTTTTATTTTTAATTTTTTACCAAAATTTTCTTTAACTATTTCTGGTCTTTTCTTTTTTTCATTTTCATCCACTCACCTATGGAATTCCTTTTCATCATTCCTAGTTTGCTTTTTTTTTCTTCTTCACTGTGTACTTAAAATAATTGAATTGGTAAAAATTGGCTGCAATGTAAGCATGAATAGTCTTGGGTTATATGCCTATTTTTTACTACCTGAACTTCGCTGCTTTAATATTACTTATTAAGGGTTTACCATTGTTTTTTATTTGCTTGTTTATATTCAGGTAATTGGGGCTGCTGAGTGAATTGTAAAAGTGGAATAGGTATCAAAAAAGGACGTCCTTCCAGGAGGTATCTCTTCATGATCTTTGATGACTTTGTGAACATGAAATAAAAATGCTCTGTTTTAGAGGATGTGTGATTATTTATTTGCCATGTATTTTTTTTAAATAAGCATAACCTGAACTAGGGAGATATTGGCAATTAATGTAATGATTTACATGATAGACTTGGCTTTAAACAATAGGCCAATGGGTGATAAATTAGATTATACCTGGCTTACACAAGAAATGCCATTATTTAAAGAAATTCCAATGCTAGATTACTACATCACCATTTTCTTTCATATTAACTAATTTTTCAAACTGAAATTGTTATATGGCCATTTACATAAGATGAGAGACTCCTGCATTATTATCCTTGGTAGTAACGTAACATACTCAAAAATATACTCCAAGGAGTAGGCAACACTTTAGAGTGTGTGTGTGTGTGTAGGGATCCACGACTGGAAATACTTGTTACTGGTTTGCAGCATCTAGGAGTAGTGCTCTTTACAGATTGACAAAGTGGTACTTTGTTATACATGTATCCTTTGTTTTGATTAATTTTCCTCCTAGTATGCCATGTCCTGCATCTTGTATTTTAAACTGCATTTTCTTATTTATTCTACTCTTAGACCTTTAGTTTCCAGAAACTGACCAGCTATCAAACACATATATTAAATATTATGCAATTAGCTTATGTGAGAATAGTTATTGAGTCCCTTCTTCCTTAGCTTTTCCTTTTGCCCATTTTCTTCTCATCACCTGTGTAACCACATAAAAGCAAAGAGTATGATTTGACTCGCTTTTGAAAGGTGGCTTTGCATGGAGCAGTTCTCCATAAGTGATAGTCTCAAATGTTTCACTTACTAATTTTATTTACCTTCCATTGTTTTCAGAACATCACTTTTCTTCTTTTTTTTTTTTTCCCTGCCTTTCCTAGGGTCCAAATGTGAGTCTATATTTCAGTGCCATTATTTCCTTAAGCAAAGAATGAGCTCCAAGTTTAGGTCAAATGCAACAGATAGCTATGTTATTACTCTACAGCTAATAATCACTAAGCTCTGAGGGAGAGCTTAGTGATTTATTTCTCTTATCTTTCATCTGTTTTCTTTTTATTTTAACTGTGACATGATGTAAGTCAGAAGAATAATTTTGTCAGTGGGGTATACTGCATCTGTCAGAGCATTTTGAGAAGGAAAATATATAAAGAGGGAAATATAAAGTTGCTACTTGCATTTTCATCCTTAATGAGGAAAAGCTAAAGTTGGCCATCAGTGATTGAGAACTTGGGTTCTCCAAAGCTGTTGTATGTATGACAAATGTGTAAGGGCAAGAAGGATTTTTCCTCTTCCTCTGAAAGAGGAAGTCTGCTATTATTAACCGACAGTAGACAGATTAACAGGATAAAAAACATGTAAATTTATTAAAGTAAATATAAGCACAGGAGCCACAAAATATGAGACTCAAAGAAGGGCCAGATGGTTGAGGCTTAAATGGGCTATTCATAGGGAGAAGGAAATGAAGAATGTAAGCAATTGTGAGGGGTAGTAAATGATTTTCGGGAGAAATAAATGGGCCCAAGGAGAAGATACTAGTCTGTAAATTGTTCTCTTAGAAAACTGGCCACAATGGGCAAGTCATGGGAAGGTGAGGGGCAGAACTGCACTGCAAACAAAGATTGTCTTATTATGCAAGCAAGGTCTCCTAGGTAATCTTTCAGAGCTGCTCAAAAGAATAGATAAAAAGTCTGGGTGTGGTGAAGGCTTTGTCTCTTCTCTGTTTAATCTTGGTTATCCCATGAAATTCCTAGGGTGGGGATCGTAAGACAATTGCATTTCTTTTGGAGGAAGTTTTCCTCAGTTCGACAAGGAAACTTGCAGAGAGAGTGCTTTGGGAGGAGAGAAAATGGTTAAAAAGTCTTTGATTTGAGGCAGCTTCTAAGACCTTCCAGTTTTCTTTAATTTAATAGTTCTCAGCATGCCTAAGCACTTTACTTTGGGGCGGCATTCTCTGTACCCCAACAACAATTTAAATTTGTTCTTATTCATACTTTAATTTCACTAACAATTAAGAGTTGCTTCAGTAAAGTCTGTGACCAAAAAAAAAAAAAAAAAAAAAAACACACCAAAAAACAAAAACAAAAAAATTCAACAGTTTGCCTTCTAGTCAAGCATCTGTTCCTAGTCTTGAAAATAGGAAATGTGTTATCCATCTCACTGTGAGGAAGTATCTGGGTTGTGTGTGTTATGAAATGTTGTGTCAAAGTGGGTCTGGAAGCCAGTTGCTTTAAAACTTGATAGCATTTTCTTATGTTGTTGGTCATGTCTTTGTAATTGATAAATTTGCCTTTCTAGCTGGCAGTTAATTTAAAGATGGCTTTAGGTTGTTTCTACCTCAAAGCAAAACAAAAAAGCAAGCAAAAAAATCCATGCTCCCAAATGGAATTAATGAAAAAGAGTTGTTGGTGTTACAAATATGAAATAATAATATTGAATATTGAATATTTGGGACTTTTCAAATTAAACAGAATATTATTGTGTTTTTCTATATGAAGTTTGTTTTGTAGAATGCTTTAAAAATGGGTTTCAATGGAGACTTTCTTTTCTTTCTTTAATACTCTATTCTCCGTATTTCCATGAATAAGACCTTGCATTTCTAGGTTATACTAGAATATACCATGGGCAAAGTTACTAAAATTGATAGGTAAATTTTTTTAAGCAAAGGAAACATATATGAAAACAGTCCAAAGTTAATTTGATTTTTAGTTATTTTGTTTTAAAATAACCAATATTTGGATACACCGGGAGAGGACTTAAGCAACTTTCCACCAGTAGATAGTTCTATTTAATACAGTAGATCCCAACTGAAAAGTCAAGCTCTCAAAGTGATCTTTCTTATCCTCTCTTTTTTGTCTATTCTGAATTTTTATTGTTGCACTTCAGCTGTCTCTTTCTCTCTTAAACTCTAAAGAAATATACAAACTACCTTTTCTGTGAAATTATTAGCACTTAGTATTATAAAGTTAAAATGATGCTATTTCTGATAATAAAGTATCTGATTAAGTATTTGGTGTCTCTTCAGAAATGCTCCTTAGACTTTAATCCAAAATGTTTCTAAATAACATGAAATAAGTTATTAAACACACTGTTCTCTAATAATATTTTACATTATAATGAAATTTTATTTACATATTAGGATTATTTCCCTTGATAATAGAGGTACGATATAATAGCTTGTTCCTAGAACTTCTAGAAACTTTACTTCTGCTACAATATTTTTTGTTACTCCTCGAAAAATCCTATAAGAATGCCAAGTAGTATTATATTCATTTTACAGATAGAAAATCAATAATCTCTAGAAAGAATTGATTTCCTAAGAATTACAAATAGTGACCATGATGAAAAGCAGCACTCCCCATTCAACTACTTGCTATTCAAATCATTCGTATACCCTGGCAGGATTCTAATTCTGAAAGCTGTGCCTTGCATAAGTTGAGTCAGTGTTTGGAATATTTATTCAGACACAATTGTCCAGAATAATTCTGACAGTCGCCATCTATAACATGAAAATATATTCGTTATATTTTTTGTGTGTGATTTTAGTTCTTTATCTTTCCAATAGTATTTTAATTCTATCGTGTGAAAAAGGACTTTTATTTGCTCCGCTTTAATTATACTTTTGTTTTTTTAACTATTTCATTATAAGAGTCTCTAAAGGAGACCCTTTAGAACATGACTCTGGCATTTATTCTAGCCTATATTTTAGATTTTCTTCTCCACAGGGTGGCCTCTAAGGCCTTTGGATTTTGGGTAAAGGAATGGTACTCAGGGGATAGAAAAATTCCCTCCCAGGGGACCGATCCAGTGAGGGTCAGGATTCTGGCCCAGGGAAAGAAAAGTAGTGACTGAGTTGAGACTGGGAGCTTGACAGCCACAGTGTTTGCCAAGCAATGGTTGGAAGTGTATTTTTAATCACGGGGCAAAGAGAGAGACCGAGGACTCCGTACTTGCCATGGATGCTGTCATACTTCAGAACAGCAGCACAGGAATGAGATAAGGAAAGTATGTCAAAATATCTTTTTTCTAGCAAAATTTTGGAGTGTAAGCATTTGTATTTGGTGGGAAGAGGTCTTTTTATACCACATAGGAAGAGAGCCTTGATTTAGAGCAGGGTGTCCAATCTTTTAGCTTCCCTGGGCCACATTGGAAGAAGAAGGATTGTCTTGGGCCACACATAAAATACACTAGTGAAAGCTGATGAACAACAACAACAACAAAAAAAAAAAAAAAAAAAAAAAGCAAAAAAATCTCATAATGTGTTAAGAAAGTTTACAAATTTGTGTTGGGCCCCATTCAAAGCTGTCCTGCAGGTTGTGGGTTGTACAAGCTTGATGTAGAGATCAGCCTTAAAGCTAATTTCTGCCTGACTTATAGGAAGGTGAAGGTTTACCATATTTCCATTCTGGTGCCCCTGTCTGTGCCTCTCAGAGACTAGTTCTCAGTTTACCTGGGTTCAACAAGGATAAAGACAGTAGAAATCTAATTTCACAAGTGTGTGCAAAAATTTCATTGAAATACTAAGTAATAGCAGTAAAAACCCTATTTTTTGATCCTCCTATGAAAGAAGAGATTTCTTATTAATAAAAGGTGTTAATATCTAACCACTACTAATAGAAGTTATCCTTTCAACAATTATTTAAGGTCAAGTACCAGTGTAAGTTCTAAAGATACAATGCTGAAAAAAGGGGCCAAAAGATATGTATTCCCTTCTTTCAGGCAACTTTACGTGGTGGCAAAAGGGGAAGATATTAATCCACCTCATCATAGTGGGGAATGTTTAATTGCAAACTGGAATTCGGTTTTAGAACAATAATTGTGGTTCTTTGAGAACAATAACCAATAGGGCTGACTTAGACTGAGGGTTCAGTCTAAACTGCTTTGGATAGTTTTCCCCAAGGTAATCCTTCAGGTGCAATCTAAAGGAGGAGTAGAAACAGAGCAGGTGAGGTTGGGGTAGAAGAGGTTGCACACAGAGATAGGTAAGTATCTGTGAGTAGGGGATGGAGGAAGACTGGAAAGAGAGGAGCTAGAGTCATGCTGAATTGCTGAGGTCAATTTAAGGAATGTGGTCTTCATCTAAGGACTTTTGGAAGCCAGTAAAGGGTTTGTAAGCAGAAAAGATCTTTCTGGCTGTAGTATAGAGAACAGTTTGTTGTGGGTGTCATAACTGATGGGACAGACCGTTGGAAAAGCTATCACAGTGGCCAGGGAAAAGAGAATGCTAATTTACATTAAAGTGGAGCAAGATGGAAAGAGATAAATAACTCAGAAAATAGTTTGCTAGGCTAACGGTGGAACTCAGGGATGGGGCAGTAATGGAGGGTTAGGAGAGAAGGAAGGGAGTCACGCGTCACTCCTACTTATGTAATTTTTAAAAACAGTTCTATTAAGATACCACTTACATGCCATAAGATTTCCCACTTTTAAGTGTACAACTCAATAAATTTTAGTATATTTTTAGAACTGTACTGCCATCACCAAAGTCTAATTTTAAAACATTTTCAACACCCTAGAAAGAAATCCTATGCTCATTTGCAGCTACTCCCCATTACCATCCCTAGCCCTACAAAGCAGCTATTCTACAGATTTGCCTTTTCTGGACATTTCATATAAATGGAATCATACATGGTTTTTTTAAACAATCTGGTTTCTTTCATGCAGCATAATGTTTGAGGCACACGTGTAGGGGAGAAAAAAGTCTTTTCCTCACCCATCCTACATTCATGACTGAGGCCCCTATAACAAAGATAGATTAACAAAAGAAAAGCATACATATTTATTTAATATACCTTTTATATGACCCAGAAGCCCTCATAGGGAATGAAGACCCCAATAAATGGTTAAATTTGTGTATTTTTATGCTAGGTTTGATGAAGAAGTAGATAGTCATGGAGAAATAGAATTGGACAAAAGAGGATGATCTAATGGCCATGTACTAGGGAATACTTAGCAAGGTCCATTTGTTCAGGATTTTCTCTGGGTCTCTCCCTGTGTCTTCAGAGATTAGGATGTTCCTTTCTTCTGGGTAAGGGAAGGCACCTCTGGAATGAGGGTCTTATGACCCTCAGAAAGTCAGAAAAGCTTTCCTAGGTTATTAGACCTGCTTCAGGGACAAGACTAGGAGAAAGTGAGGGTGAGAAAGTGAGGGTGACCTCCCTACTGCTGTTTTCTCAAATGCCAGTGCAGCATGTCACGAACCCCATCACATTTATTCTGTGGCCCTCTAGCCAATTTGAAACCTGATGGTTTCTTTATTTGAGGTGTAGCGCCAGAAGAGAAGCAGGGTTGGCAACAGCAAGGGAGAAATGATGCGTTAGATTTTGGACATGTCAAGTGTGAGATGTCTTTTGGACAGCCAATGGAAATATCTAATTTTTACAAATGGTAATGGAAGCATGGAGCATGGATGAAAAAAAAAAAAGACGGGGGAATAATTATGGCCTAGGTCTGTGCCTTGTAGAACTCACAACATTTTAATGGTTGTATAAAGGATAAATTGGAAGGAAACCGAGAAAAGGGTGTCCATTGAGATAAGAGGAAAATCGGCTGGGCATGGTGGCTCACACCTGTAATCCAAGATCTTTGGGAGGCTGAGGCAGGTGGATCACCTGAGGTCAGGAGTTTGAGACCAGCCTGACCAACATGGAGAAACCCCGTCTCTGCTAAAAATACAAAATTAGCCAGATGTAGTGGCACATGCCTGTAATCGCAGCTACTCATGAGGCTGAGGCAGGAGAATCGCCTGAACCCAGGAGGCAGAGGTTGCAGTGGGATGAGATTGCACCATTGCACTCCAGCCTGGGCAACAAGAGCAAAACTCCATCTCAAAACAAAACAAAACAAAAAAAAAAAAAAAAAAAAAAAAAAAGCGGGGGAGAGTCAGGAGCAAAGTGAAGAGAATATTTCAAGGAAAAAGGAACTGTTAAAGGTCATATCTGTCAAATGATACAGACATGTCTACTAAGTCAGGGGCTGAAAGTTTCCATTGGTATTATCATCTTGGATGCCATTTTTGACCTGGGTGGGAGCTGTGTTGCTTGGAGTAGGTTGGTTGGAGCAGATTGGAGTATATTAAAGACTGGGTGACAAACCCAGTGAAAAGATGCAAAACCATCCTTCTGTGAAGAAGAGAGATATGTGCAATGTAAATCTGAATGATGTTTTTAAAAACATGGTAGCAATTTGACCATAGCTGAATGTTGACTAGAAGGATCAATACAGGAAACATGCAAAGTTATATATAGGAAAGAGATGGCAAACATGATGGGTGAGCATTGTGGAGGAGTGGGATCAAAGGCATACTTGGAGGAACAGGAAACTGGATGCTCCTCCAGTGTACTGGGAAGGAAAATGCAGGACTGGGTAGAGATATGGGTAGATTTATGTTGGTTTTAGGAATTATCATTAGCCATATTGATACATTTGGATGGATATGGCTGGAGGTTGGCTGAATTTCGTCATCAGGCATCAGCACAGAGCCATGGTGATTGTGTATAAAGGATCCACAAACCCGGATTTCTTGGCTCAAAACTCATAATCGCTAAAGGAAATGTGTGATTTACACCATAGTTGGCAACATTTTTATTTTTCAGAAATTACCCTGTGTATTTTTATTACTTTTATTCCTAGGATCTTTTTTCCCTATTAGATCCTGTTCCTCAACATTTGCTTCCAAGCATTCAGCAATGCTTTGAAACTTTTCTTGCTTGAAAATGGAACCCAACCAATTCAGTATAAAGCAGAATGTGAATAACACTGCAGTAAGCAACTCTACCATTTGAATCAGCACTTGGCTCCTTCACACCCCTTAACTTTAATCATGACAATTGATCTGCAAATCAAGTTGAGGGAAGAGCTTGGGGATTGGTTCAGATGAATAGCTTCAATAAATGAAATGTTTCTCTAGCTAAGAATAAACACCACACCACAGGGGCAATTATGATCAGGGCAAGATTCAGTTTTATTTTTTACTATCCTCCTGCCAGTTTGCAAGTCCATGCATTAGCAAACATTTTAGACCTAAGAGCTGGTAGGCACCTACATGAAGTCGATAATTACACTTAAGAGAAAACTCAACTTTAGCCATCCTTTGTGGAAGATTGAGTATTAGCCTTGCTATCATTTAGTTCTCCCTCTTGGTTGTTTATTTCTTTGATTCATCATAACTTAACTGACCGAATGACAGAAATTTCCCCACCCAACAAACCACATGTGATTCAGTGACTGTACTGAGTGTACAAAGATCATTTGTTGGGGAAACTTTGTTCTCTGGAGTGAACACTTTTAAACAAATGTGGCAAATATATTTTAATTATGTCTGTGCTGGCATCATTTAGCCAGAGGAAACATTTTTTTGAGGAGCCATTTAATCTCCCTTTGAAAGTTTTGGGTTTAATGTAGAAAAGCTTTATGAGAAGAGTAGCTTAGAGGGAGGAATAGGGCCCAGGACAAGCTCCAGGAGCACTGCAAGCTGTTTATAAGCAGCATGGAACAGACCTGTCTTCATTCTCAAGCAGGGCATTAATAATATGGAACAGTTAATGCCTTCTATTGCTTCTCAGCTATTGCTCATTAGTTGGAGCATTGCATGATATTGAAAAACATCCATGAATCATGCAGACACAAACATTTCATTCTCTCATCCCCTACCCTTACAATGTTTTATTAATGCTTATACTGGAAATGCAAAATATCTGACACTCTAATTGGATTCTGTGCAAGTGAAACTATCAAATTGGGAATAGTAAACATCTTGCACCACTCAAACCCTAAACAGTATTGAACAACAACAAAAACAAATTATCACCCTCACCTTTCATTTTAAATAATTGATTTCATATTTGAATGACATTAAGCCATGTATTCTGATAGTATTAATTAGTTTTCAAGGAAATATGTCTTTGCCTCTTGTCTTAGTCTATTTTCTGAATAAGAAAATAAATTTATTTCTTATAGTTCTGGAGACTGGGAAGTCCAAGAGCATAGTGCTAGCATCTGTTGAGGGCCTTCCTACTGCATCATAACATGGTGGAGGGCATTATATGGCGAGAGGGAGAAAGCCAGAGAGAGCTTGCTTTTATAGTAAAGCCACTCCCATGATAAGGAACCCACTGTCCTGATAGTGACACTAACCCATTCATGAGGGCAGAGAGATGTTTTTAACCCATTAACTTTTGGGGGCTACATTTAACCTGTAATGCCTTTTATTGACTCTATTAGGCTTATAAGATGTTAAGTACTTCTATTAAACCATTCATGTTCCTATTCAACTGTATATTTATGTGACCCAATGAATGAAATATTTTATTCTCTGTGGAAGTAATCCCTGACATCTTTCTTTTCTGAACTTCTCACAACACTGTCTGTAAACCATATTTATGCTACTCGTCACATTATAGTTTAACCCACTGAGGTTTTTGACCTTGCCTACTAGGCTGCGGGTATCTTGGGCTGGTTATTATCCTCATATTTAGCACAGAGCCTTGTATATCACGGCTGCGTGATAAATGATTGGTGATTGATTGAATGCATGTGTATGAACGGATGACTTAAAGCAAAAGATCAGGCTGAATTCACTGGATATTTTCCACATTTAGGGGCAAGGGAGAATGACAAGTATGACATTTTAAAATGTTTTAGTTAAAAATAAGATCCAAAACCTTTCTAATAGGGGTTTGGAAATTGTTAAAATTCAAAGGAAATAGGAGGAAAGTAGCATTTAGAGTACCATGATTCTTGGTACTGCACCTCTGGGTGCTTTCCCATGAGCTCTGTGAGGTCAGGGGACATGTCTGACTTGTTTGCCAGTGGTTAGCACAGCACTTGTTACATAGTAGTTGCTCAATAAATACCTCATGTCTGACTGACCAAAGGCTGTCTGCCCAGAGAGTCAGCCATGAAACTACTCTGGAAACACTGACACGGTTCAGAAAACGTGATTACCAAGGCATTCGAAATAATGCCATCTATCTAGAAAGGCTTAGTGTCAGAAAAAACTTTTCCAGAGAACTTTGTCACTTCCAGGTGCTGCCTGACCAAGGTTGAAAGCAAAGAGTCCCCACCAGTTGGCCTCCCACATGTTTGTGCCCTAGTTGTAGCTTTTGTACTGATGGTGGCTTTCCTTTATGTTTCTATACTTGAAGGCATAAGGCCGGGGAAAGAAAGCTTTCAAATTCAGATCACTATGGGCAGAGCCCCTGAGTGGAGCAGTGGGGCTCTGTGAGGAAGATAGCTATAAGCTCCTCTTGGAGGGAAATGCCTCTCAAGTCACCCACAGTCAAAGCTTAGCTGAAGATGTCTCAGCTTTTGAAATCTCCGTGCAAGGGCAGAAGGCAGATGTTATAAAACAAATAAGTCAGAAAGCCTCCAAAGTTCTGAGTAGTTTGTATCTTTTAAAAAAAGAAGAAACAAAAATTTAAAATCATGACTGTTACCATTCAGAATTGATATAAAGGATTTGCATTCAGTTACCCCACTCTTACCATCATTAGAATGTACTTCATAAATATAAAATTCCCATGAGCCTTACAAAGTTCCTGCTCTGGTAGTTTACCTCTGAGCAAATACTACTTTGTGCTTTATTTGATGTGTTAACAAATAAAACTTTGTGTGTTGAAGAAAGTGATCTGTGTTAATTGATATGTTTTCCCCTAACTTCGGCATTAAACAAATGTGAGAGAGATGATTATTTGTGATAACTTGCCCTCCGCTTAATATTTAAAGTTTGAGTATTTTTAAATTGTACATAAATAAAATATGAATTTATAAGACAAGAGACTACAAAAGGGATGATGCATTGTTTTCAGCTGGCAAGAGAGACTGCTACTACCAGTGTTTTACGAGCATATTAATCCTCATTGGTACATATAATGTGTTGGTCTCCCATAGCCAATTATAAACATGTTTTATGGGAAGTTATCCCTCAATTTCTGCAGAGTCTCACTAAGGTAAGCATATCATGGCAGAGCCTACCGAAAGCACTCAGAGGGCTGGATAAACAGTCCAATGGTGGGTGAACTTAGAGATGAGGGATGCCTATAACGTTTATCCTTCTTATAAGCCAAAGCTCTTTTCCTGTAAAGAGTAGGTGCTATTCAGATCTAAGCAGAGTTGTCACACATGCGTGTGGCAGGATCAAATTTCAGGACTGCCATTACCATCCTGGTTATCCCAGATGACCATGGGAGCTCCCTGGACTTCAGTCCTGCCAATTCTTCCTAACTAAAATTATTTCAAATAAAATATCTCAAATGGATTTGAGTTCTTTCTAAGGCTGTGTACTAAGGATTTTGCATGGATTCTCTTCGTTTTTTTGTTTGTTTGTTTTCTTTTTTGAGATGGAATCTTGCTCTGTTGCCCAGGCTAGAGTGCAGTGGTGCGATCTTGGCTCACTGCAACCTCTGCCTCCCAGGTTCAAGCGATTCCCCTGCCTCCGCCTCCTGAGTAGCTGGGACTACAGGTGCACACCACCATGCCCGGCTAATTTTTTTTTTTTTGTATTTTTAGTAGAGACGGGGTTTCACCATGTTGGCCAGGATGGTCTCAATCTCCTGACCTCGTGATCTGCCCACCTCAGCCTCTTAAAGTGCTGGGATTACAGGCGTGAGCCACCGCGCCCAGCCTATATGGACTCTCTTATTTCATCCTCACAGAAAGGATGATCCTGTTATTTTCATTTTTCTTAATAGGCAAGGAAACTATGCTCAAGCTCCTTGCTACTCAAAGTGTGGTCCATAGACCAGGAGCATGAATATCACTTTGGAATTTGTTAAAAATACAAAATCAGTTGTAGAAGTACAAATCAGTTATCCCCAGAACAACGGATTCAAAACCTGAATTTTTACAAGATACCTGGGTGACTTGTAGCCTTGCCTAAATTCTCTCAGCTAAGAACATGGCAGAGCAGGGACTCAAAGTGTGTGGCTGGCACTAGAAATCTGACTTGGGACAGTGATCTCCCAGAGATCACATAGTCGGTGTATTAGTCCGTTTTCATGCCGCTGATAAAGAGATACCTGAGACTGAGTAATTTATAAAGAAAAAGAGGTTTAATGGATTCACAGTTCCACGTAGCTGGGGAGGCCTCACAATCATGGTGGCAGGCAAGAGAGAATGAGAGCCGCGTCAAAGGGAAAACCCCCTATAAAGCCATCAGATCTCCTGAGACTTACTCACTAGCATGAGAGCAGTATGGGGGAAACCACCCCCATGATTCAATTATCTCCCACCAGGTCCCTCCCACAGCATGTGGGAATTATGGGAGTTACAATTCAAGATGAGATTTGGGTGGGGACACAGCCAAACCATATCAGTTGGCAAGTGTCAGGGAAAGGATATGACCCTGTGCTCAGGACTGTGAATATTTCACTCTGTTTTATTCACATTCTCTCAAGAAGGAAGGAATGGAGGGTAATTAGTAGTGTAAGTTTTTGTTAATTAAAATGGTTAAACACTATGCTGGTGGCTTCCTTAATAGAAAGGGAGTTAGAATTTTAATTCCCACTCCTGGTGTTGCTCCCTCTGAATCATCGTCATTGAAGAGTGTGTATTAAAAGAGCCTCCCTGTGTCTGGTGCTGTCTTAACATCTAAAGAAAGAGAATGGGACAGTCAAAAAGAACATTAATTATAGTTACCTGCTCAACATGCTAGCTGAGTGCCCGGCACAGTGCTTATTAGCATTTAAAATATACGACTTAAACTTCCAGAAACAATCCTATAAAGCAGAAAGTATTATCACTCACGCTTTTAACCCTTGAAATGGTTGCCAGGTTTGGCTGACCTTAATTAACTATAGGCCTGGAAGGGTGGGTGAGAGGTAAAAAGATTATGAAGATGTGAGGTATTCTATGCAGGAGAAAGTATGAGGACAATGCTTAGAAGGACAGAGTGCCACATACTCACGGGGGTTTGATGAGAGTGAAGCAAAAACCATTGATGACTTCTCACTTAATTATGGCACCAGCTGGATACCTGGGTAAATCCTGGATCAGCCCTGACCTGCCGTGTGACCTTAGGCAAGCTGTTTGGGCTCTCTGTTTTGATCTTTGTAATTTGAAAAAATGACAGCCTCATAGCTATGTGAGGCTAATTAAAAGAGTTAATATCTCTGAGTGCTTAGACATTGCCTCTCATGGGTGCTATGCAGTTGTTAGCTCTTAGTTTTCAATCCTCTTTGGGAATACCCAGAAGTATTAGATACAGCCTTCTTAAAACCTTCAAGCTAATAACTTGCTTGTGAATGGTGGAGAGGTCCTGAGGTGTAATGTGAGGAATGCATTGTAAAAGAGCAAAGGAAGAGAAGATAAGGAAGGCCGAGGTTTTACCACCAGGCTTAATCACCTTATTGGAGGTGCTTAGACTCCATTCAAAGCCTCTAGTTTGTTGGCTCCTTTGTTCTTTCTGGCAACTCTAATAGAGTCCCAGATTTTTGTATGCATCAGCATTATCTGGGGAACAGTGTAGAGTGCATCTTCCTGAGCCTTTTTCTAAAATGTTTGATGTGTGTAGTCTGGTGTAGAACTCAGGCATCTGAATTCTGCTGAGTTCCGCATCTGTTCATGGTGGTTCTAGATGACTCCTCTTCTCTCATGGTGAAACAGAATCCACCCTCCCCTCTTACCATATGGCTCCCTGTGTCCACGTTCAAGTTTCCTCTGCAGATGAAGAGACAACTATGCCAAACACTCATGTGTAGCCCCCCAAAACAGCCACTGTTCAAGACGAGGTAAAGTATTCATGGAAACTTCATATGACTTGAGTCAAATTACTTGCAAACACTAAAAGAGTATACTTGGATTGTTTGTAGCACAAAGGATAAGTATGAGAGGTGATGTATACCCCATACCCTGATGTGATTATTATACATCACATGCCTGTATCAAAATCTCACGTAATCAAGAAATATATACACCTACTCTGTACCCACAAAAATCAAAAATTAAAGAGAAATACTTGTAAATTATGATGACCTGTTTTCTAAATTTTGTACATTTTTATAATTTTGGGATAAATGTGGCAAGGCTTAATGCAGTAATCCCCAAAATTATCCCAAAATAAATGGTCCCCCAAATTATGGGATTACTTTGGAGATACGAAAAAGAAAATAGGTCTTAGTACAATTGAATGGCCACTCTTCTTGCCTGGCTTGAAGAAACTAAATCAGTTCTTGAAAAAATAGCTTGAGGCTCATGCAGCTTTGGAAACTCCTGACAGTAGAAAGGCTAGCATTGAGCATCAGATGTGAGTGGAATTAATTTGAGGCCAGGTCTGTGGTAAGGGTGTAGATGATCAAGATAGGATTGGGAGGTTTGTGGCAAGGGTTTATGTAAATAATAAACTCAAAGATGTGGATACTAGGAGGGTGAGCAAAAGCAATTGCAGTGAGTGGGGAAATGCCTGAGATGGCAGGAAGCAGATGGAAAACATCAGCATTACTGCAAAATTACCAGTATGTTTGAGTTCCTCCAACTTTTCATTAGGGGCTGTCGAGATGGTTTTATTTTTAAACCGAAGCCTATTTCCCCGCTTTGAGATACACTAAGTCAGGAAAGTGATTTTGCACAGTGGTTGGCTCTGGAGCCGGACTGCCTTTGATCAGACTCTAGCTTTCCTGCTCCCTACTGGGTGAATTAAGCAGGTTGCTTAACCTCTCTGTGCTATTTCCTAACAACCTTAGAGGGTTATTGTGATAATGAAATAATACACCGAAATATTTCACATTGTACTTGACACTGAGAAATTCCTTGACGTGTGTTTAGCTATTGTCATTATTTTCAATTATTTTTCTTGCTTTTAAGCTTGAAGTGGTGGGAAAAAGCCCTGATTCAGATGATCTAGACGATATTTATTATTTGATGGAAAGTAGGTTATAAATTCTGTAGTTCAGTGAGGATATTAGAAACCCAGGTACTTTTGATCTTAATATTCGGTGATCCTCAATGTGTTGACTATACATACAAGCTGGCTTCACTCATGGAGGCAAGATAGCTGCGGTAGCTTCTGCCATCACATTCAGACACAACAGTGTTCAGAAGAGAAAAATAAACACTTTTCTTCTTGGATACATCTTTTTAAGTCCCAGAGTCCCCCAATATACTGTCATTCACATTTCAGTGGTCAGAATGGTTTCTTCTGCCTATTACTTGTATGGCAAATGGAATTATCCTGATTGGCATATGAAATTGCAGGGGCTTGATAAAGAATGTACTAGATAGAGCAGCTCCCTTTAAAAGGAGGAAGAAATTCAGCAACAGTAGTATTCACTAGAGGACCAGGTATAATCATTCAGTGTCAGAGACAAAGAATTTGAGGACTGAAGATTTAAACAGTTAGCCTGAGGTCACAGAGTTAGGGAATGATTAGGCAGTGTTTGAACTGAAGTATTTCGGAATCTAAAGTCACTGTACCTTGCAACATGATTCATGGACTTTTTGCTTTGGGTTGGGACATATATCTAGGAGTCTGAGAGCACTGATTGAATACTTTTAGGGAATGTAATAAAAGGAAGGATTCAGA
Source organism: Homo sapiens (assembly GCF_000001405.40). Lineage (NCBI taxonomy): Eukaryota > Metazoa > Chordata > Mammalia > Primates > Hominidae > Homo > Homo sapiens. The sequence continues at coordinate 35,506,758 of NC_000008.11, forward strand.
ACAGGACAGCTGTGTCCAGCATTCACCAGTGATTGTGTAGGCATCTAAGGACTGCGTGGAAAAGCCCTGTGAATCTCAAGTGGGACAGACGTGGCTTGGTGGGTCAAGACTTTTGGAAAAGGGCAAGAGGGCTGTCAAACTCGAGGAGCAAATGATACCGGCCATGTTGCTTTAATGATTTATTTCATAATTTTCTGGCTTTTAAAAATTATGTTTGACAAACAAATCTACCTTCATTGAAGGTGTTTTCTTAGAGGTAAGTTCTTTTTGCAGGCCTCCATCAGGGCTTTTCTTTTTTTTTTTTTTTTTTTTTTTTGAGACGGAGTCTCGCTCTGTCGCCCAGGCTGGAGTGCAGTGGCGGGATCTCGGCTCACTGCAAGCTCCGCCTCCCGGGTTCACGCCATTCTCCTGCCTCAGCCTCCCAAGTAGCTGGGACTACAGGCGCCCGCCACTACGCCCGGCTAAATTTTTGTATTTTTAGTAGAGACGGGGTTTCACCGTTTTAGCCAGGATGGTCTCGATTTCCTGACCTCGTGATCCGCCCGCCTCGGCCTCCCAAAGTGCTGGGATTACAGGCGTGAGCCACCGCGCCGGCCCAGGGCTTTTCTTATCAGTTCCTCTACACAGACCCACGATATGGCTGAAATACTGTGGTTATTGGTGCCATTAGAGGCAGTTTATCTTTACCCTGTAAGTAAGAATCACTTCATGGCAAAGGTCCTAGAGGCAATGACAACACAGCGTGGTGGATAGAGAAATTTTCGTGGGTCTTGGTTATTGATAAAAGGAGAGTAAACAGGTGAAGTCATGGAGATAGAGAGCAGAAGGATGGTTACCAAAGGCTGGGAAGAGTAGTGGGGTGATGGGGGAGGTAAAGGGGAGGTGGGGATGGTTAATGGGTAAAAAAAATAGAATGTGCAAATAAGGCCTAGTATTTGATAGCACAATAGTAACTATATAGTTAATAATTTAATTGTACATTTTAAAATAACTGTAAGAGTATAATTGGATTGTTTGTACCCTAAGGATAAATGCTTGAGGGGATGGATACCCCATTTTCTATGATGTGATTATTACACAGTACATTCCTGGATCAAAACATCTCATGTTCCCTGTAAGTATACATACCTACTATATGCCATAAAAATTAAAAATTATTTTTTTAAAAAAATTAAGAGGAAAAAAAGCATACCAAGAAACCTTGCTTTTGGAGCTGAGTAGGTTGCAAGGGCTGTGGTTTAGTTGGGACCATGCTGGACCTGGAGTTGGAAGCCCTCTCACTGTCACACATTGGTCCTATCATGACAGTCATGGCACTTAAATTTTCTTGTTCAGGAAAATGAATGTAATAACAACAATCCCAAGGCTGTTGCACAAAATGAAGGGGTGAATATATGTGGAAGTGCTTTGAAAGTCCAAAAGCTCCCTCTAGGAACTTCTTGGCACTCTGATATTCCGTTACTTCACTGTTTGGATTTCAGTGCATTCTTCATACAGTGACCTTGGGGAGTCTTTTGTTTGTTTTGTTTAAGTCTATGATTGTTTTCAGATACAGCTGGGAAGAAAAGTTAAAATTCTGACCTAGGTCTAGATTATTTTAATGTTTTAAATTATCCTCATCTGCTGAGGGCCTGACATTTTGTCTTTATGAGAGATCACTGGGAGTTTCCTAAGAAGAAAGACTGTATTTCTCTTCAGAGACTAGTGAGAGACAAAGGCAGGGATCACTTGCATCAAGCTACCGCCTTTGAATCTTTTCTCATAATTGCTAAATGGGCAAGTCCAGAGTGAGCCCTCTAAAAAGACAAATTGTACATTTTTTGAAGCACTGCTGGGAGGTAGAAAGTGACCTCATATCTCTTCCAGCTTTCTCTTCAAAAAAGAAGATTTCAGAGAGTGAAGTGGCAGAGTGGCAGAAAACAAATTTGGATAGATTGGCAGGTGGCACCAGGGCAGGGACTATGCCTTTTGGAATGCCAGCTAAGCACTAAGCCCTTTAATTACACACACTGGTGATAAGCTCGGCAGAGCTGAGAGGGAGAGCACTGGAAAATAAAGATGTAGAGCTTCGTTTGCAGTCTAGAAATGAACTGGAGGTATTTGGCAGAATTCTAGCATCTTTAGAAAAGGAAATGTAGCAGTGTGCATGCCTCAGGTTTGATTTAGTGAGCATTTTGTCAAAACTTAAATAGTTTGAATTTATTATTAATAGCTAAGGTCTAAGGTAAATGAAAAATTACTTATTTTCTTTGATTCTTGCTATGACTCTTCAAGGTTGATTTTGGAAACTTAATAGATAAGGAGGAGAGGGAGGCTTGAGGAGGCTAAGGAACTTTAATTGTGTGCCCGGGGGGCCAAGTGTTCCCTTTCCCCAGTATTTTCTACTATGTCATAGAATAAAGGTCTGTACTCAGAAATTGTGTAGACACGGAGAAATAGTATATGGTGGGGTACAGGGCCAGAGGGAGTATCAGAATCACAGGAATAGCACGAGTTATTCATTTCCTGTGCACCAATCAAAGAAAATAGGTTTACTATTGTAGCAAAGTAGTAGAGATAAGGGCAAGAGGTCAGGCTTCAGCTCTCCATGGGATGTAGGGGTACATGCCAGGACCAAGAAGCAGCAAGGGAGGAAAGGGTACAAATTGCTAGAGCCCTGCAGTCAGGAAGAGAGCACAGGGTCAAATATAGATCCCTGTACAAATTTTTAGCTTATCTTGCTGGGAGAACAAGAATCTCCTCTCCTCTCTTCTCTTCTCTCCTTCTTTTCTTTCTGAGACCCTGGGCCATACTACATGCTGAATTTCTTCCCCTGCATTGGATACTTTTCCCATCCTTTCTCACTGTGAGCATATAGGAAACAGAACAAAACAGAAACAGTGGGGTCTTCTTATTCTCTTCTTACCACAACACAGAATACTTCTGTGACCTCAGATATTCGTGGGTTTTTCCCCACACCAAGCAACTTTCTGGCAGATTCTCCAGCAGACACTTGGTGTCCTGTAATTCAGATCCCACAGGTTGAAGGCTTAGTTCCACACAATTGTCTCCACTTCAGATGCCAACTGAAAGCCTGACTATATCCTGGGGTTCTCACAACCCCTCCTCAAGTTTGATTAATTTGCTAGGATGAATCACAGAGCTTAAGGAAACCCTTACTTAGGTTTGCTGGTTATTATAAAGACTATTAGAAATGATACAGGTGAATGCCAGATGGCCATGATATGGGGGAGGGGCTGCAGAGCTTTCGTGCCCTCTTTGGGTGCACCATCATTCAAGAACCTCCAGTGTCCAGCAACCTGGAGGCTACCAGAATCCAGTCCTTTGGGGTTTTAATGGAAACTTCATTACTAGGCATTTTTCATTACATCCTTGGCTAATGGTGATTCACTCAACCTTCATTCCCTCTCTCCTCCCCCTTACCTGGAGTTCAGGAGGTGGAGCTGAAAGTCACAACATTCTGTTGAAGCCTTGGTCTTGGTCTTTCCAGTGACCAGCCCCCACCCTGGAGCTACCTAGGGGGTAGCAGTTACCAGTCATCTTTTTTATATCCAAAAAAAAAAAAAAAAAAAAAACACTTTGGAGATTCCCAGGATATTAGGAGTTGTGTGCCAAGAAAAGGGAACAAAGACCAAATATGTATTTCACAGTATCACACACATCGTTGCCTATGTTGAAATAGATATTATCAGTTGTTGCATGTGTTTGCACCTGTGATCAGTTATCACCTGCTGCCTCAACTTTTTTTAGCGACAATAAGGCTTCATTGCTGAGGTTGTAATAAATAGCCTCTTACCACCTCTGCCTCATGAGGTGGCCCTGAGACCAAGAAATATTTGATTCCACCATATCCTCACCAGTTAGCTCAGGATGCACTGGGAAGCTCAGTACAAACAGCCTTATTCAACATCTCAGCTTGGCCAGACAAGTCAGGCCTGCTGTCTATAAGTTCGAGTCAATCCACTTGATTTTCTAAGGAGGAAGCTTTCTACATTTTTTTGTCCTGGGTAGTATACACAAGTGAAGCAAAAGCTCCCTGCTGCCTTCACTTGCCAGGAAAATGGATGTTTTCAGAGATGACACATATAAATCAATGTCTGGTATTTATTTAATGTCACACCTAAATTATTAATTCACTCTTGACAGGAACAAATGTACAGTAAAATTTACTAATTTGGACTAATTGAGGGAAAGGCCAATTATATAGCAAAGCCTCCATTAATTGGCCTCCAACTAAGAGGACCTCAATTAATCATTTTGTTGTTGTTGGTCTTCCCTCAAGTATAAGAGATTTGCATCTCTTAGGAAAATCAAGCTTTCAGGGACTTTCCTCTTCAAAAGAGATTTCTAGATTATACCTTAAGATCTATGTAAGAGCAGTTCTTCTTTCACTGATTCTTCCCATACTTAGCACCATGATGGGCTGTGAAATCCTGAGATGCCAAGAAAATACTGAAATAAGGCCTTGTGTAAATACAATGAACATGATTTCTGGCTAACCTGTGGTAATTTAGGACCAGTATATAAAATCATGTTAATAATTCTGTGTGCACTCTGAAATAAGCATTTTATGTGATTTAGGTCTTAATTTTTATAGCTGGTGCAGTGGTGTGTTTCTATAGTCCTAGCCACTTAGGAGGCTCAGGTGGGAGGATCTCTTGAGCCCAGGAATTCAAGGCCAGCCTGACCAATGTAGAGAGTTCCCACCTCTAAGATTAAAAAAAAAAAAAAAAAAAAAGGTCTTAATTTTCACAATCCCCTTCCAGGAGGAAGTTGTATGTCTATTCCTATGTTAAATAGAAGAAAACAAAGGTCGAGAGGAGTTAAGTAAATTGATGAAGGCCTCACAATAATAAGTGGTAGGAAGGATCTAATCCAGGGTTATCCAATCTTTTGGCTTTTCTGGGCCACATTGAAAGAAGAAGAATTGTCTTGGGCCACACAAAAAATAGATTAACAATAGCTGATGAGCTAAAAAAAAAATTAAAAAAAAAAACCCTCAAAGTTTTAAGAAAGTTTATGAATTTGTGTTGGGCTACGTTCAAAGCCGTCCTGGGCTGCATGTAGCCACATGGAGTAGGTTGGATGTGCTTGATCTAAACTCAAGCTGTCTGACTCTAAAACTGATATACTTAACCTTGACCAGGACCTTCTGAGTGCCTGGCTATTCGAAGGTGGAGATGGTCTTGACAGGCAATGGTTGCCTCCACATCAGATCTGGTCTAGCAGAAGATGGGTGATATGTTAGTAGGATTCAAAAATTGAAATGATGTTGAGATATTTAAATTGTATTCCACCTCTAAGATACTGAGGTACTATGGTTCTAACCAGAATACACCCCCAATCAAAACACCTCACTTCGTTAGACTATCAACTAATGGAGGTTATACTACAGTAAAACACATTAAAAGTATAAAGCATAAGTTCAAAAGTTTACTTTTCCCTTTCATATACTAATGCAAGTAAGGTTAAGGGTTATCTGAGCTGGATGCAGTGGCTCATGCCTGTAATCCCAGCACTTTGGTGGGCAGAGGCAAAAGGATTACTTGAGGTCAAGAGTTCAAGACAAGCCTGAGCAACATGGTGAGACCCTGTCTCTACAAGACATTATAAAATTAGCCAGGCACGTGCTTATATAGTCTTAGCTACTCAGGAGGCTGAGGCAGGAGGATCTCTTGAGTCTGAGAGTTCAAGGCTAATAGTGAGCCATATATATATATATATATATATATATATATATATATATATATATCTGCATAGATTATATATTCAGATATGTATGTATATATATATATATATATATATATATATATCTGAATAGATTACTAAATGGAGATCCTTGGCTACCATGTAGAATGGAGGTGTCTGACATTCTTTGAAAACAGAGGTCTTTATCTAGCTTCAACAGTCTGCTCCTCCCCTGGTCTTGCATACATTTTAAGTTTGCTTGGTGAACTTACCCGTTTTAGAAAATACAGAGATGTATCATTCTAAGGTATTATAATATATAATTAGTAGCTATACATTAAGGAGGTTTTGTTATAAAAATTTATAAATCAAATTATGGAGATGAGGTTGTAGAAGTGTTTGTGGAGTATAGGGTCCCACAAATGGGGTCTCACTATATTACCCAAACTGGCCTTGACCTCCGGACCTCAAGCAATCTGCCTACCTCAGCCTCCCAATGTGCTGGGATTACAGATGTGAGCCACCATGCCTGGCTTTGCCCCTTTATTCTCATTTCTTCCTCTTCTCTGTAGCTTCCTACCTGCCCTCTCACGCCTTCCCTCCACACTCCCATGCACACCTTGCAGCACACTTGCTTTCTTTGGTTTTTCTAGTATTCCAGACAGGCTCCCACCTCTGGGACTTCGCACTTGCTATTCTGGGTTTGACATGTTCTTCCCAAAATAACCATGTGCATTGCTTCCTCATCTCCTTTGCCCTTTGCCTTCTTGGACCCTCCTTTTTTTTTTTTTTTTTTCCCCTGAGACAGAGTCTTGCTCTATCACCGAGGCTGAAGTGCAATGGTGCAGTCTCGGCTCACTGCAACCTCCACCTCCCAGGTTCAAGTGATTCTCCTGCCTCAGCATCCCAAGTAGCTGGGATTACAGGCACGTGCCACCATGCCTGGCTGATTTTTTTGCATTTAGTAGAGGCAGGGTTTCATCATGTTGGTCAGGCTGGTCTCAAACTCCTGACCTCAGTTGATCCACCTGCCTCTGCCTCCCAAGGTGCTGGGATTACAGGAGTGAGCCACCATGCCCGGCCGGGCCCTTCCTCAACAAGCTATTCTAAGTTGCAATTCTCTCTCATCCAACATTCCTAGTTCTTCTCCCCTGCTTTATTTTTCCCTACAGCACTTACTTGTCATCTAACATACCATAGACTTGTTAAAAATGAGTTCCTTGTTCCTTCCAAGAATGTGAGCTACTTGAGGGGCAAGGATTTTGTCTCCTTTTTTTGCTGAATGTTCCAAACTCTGATCACAGAGTCTTGTATGGAGAAAGCACCAAAGATATTGTTGAATGGGAATGATGTGTGTATAATGGTTGTTTACCCATTAAACAGGTTCTTTTAAAATCCATGAAAAGTTTGCTTTCTAAAACCAAATGATGCAGTAAACTGGCAATTTTGTTTACATCCCTTATTTGTTTAACATTTTTAAGCTATTGCAAACATACACTTCACCAATAGATTTTCTAGAATTCCAGCTAACTAAATTAGAATCAATTGGTGATCATTATGCACACAAGCCATGTAAGAAAACCATTGGTGAAAAGGATGGAAAAGTCCTCCAAGTGAAGAAAAAGATTTAATGAAGTTGTTGAATGTGGCATTTCAAGGCAGAACCCTTCTACCTGGCGTGACCCTCAGCTGAGTCCATTTTGCATTTCTGCAGCCACGTGAATACTTGACATGCAGAATCCCTATGCAGGAAAGCATAGCTGAGCAGTTCATGTGCAACACTGCCAACCCAGATTGCTAGTGTGCAACCTTCTCTCCCTCATTAACTTGCTGCAAACCCTGTCAGCCTCCCATGCCATCACATACCCATCTGCCAGACTCTTACACAACTAGGGAGTGAGCAAATGAGGGCTTTTGAGAGAAAACTTTAAAAGAACCATTATCAGGAATGCCAAGTGATCTATCTCTGCATGGGAGAGCAGATGGAAGTTGCTGCAACCAACCAGGAAGAGTCAAAGCCCAGCGCATTTCTAGGCTGGCTTGTGTACAACATTCCAATCAAAGCAGATAATCTCGCAGTTGCTAGAAATTAGGTAACGATAGAAAATGGCCTTTTAGTCTTTATATCCTGACCCAAGAGATGCTACTAACAAAGTATAGCTTTGAACATTGCTTTATGTTGTTTGAATTTAGCATTTCTCTGGCTTTTTGTGTCTGAAAATATTTTCTCTTTCCTTAGTGGCAATTCAAACAAAAAGAAATCAACATTTTAAAATTCACATAAGCAGGAGTTAGTTTACAGTTGGAGACTTTGAGCACACTGCTTTTGTGTGATAATATTTGAAATTTATTTCCACAAGTTATTGCACATTCATTTTTGGAGTTTTCATTGCAGAAAATTGCCAGAAGGAATGGATTTTGTCTTCTTCAGCTGGCAGAACAATTTTCCACCTGTCGCCCAAATATTTGATGAGAAGGATTATGTTGCCGGCTCTGAAAGTTTATACTGTGGATCCTTTGAAAGTGAAAGGGTCTAATGAAACTACTACCTGATATCAGAGTCCAGCTTGCTAAACTGTCTATGAAGCTGTGGATGGATTTCCGGTGGTTAGGGCAATTTCTGAAAGACTAGCTTCAGTGACACAAACACACTCACATAGTTCTGAACCTGCAGCATGGCAAATGATGTTCTTCACCTTTATGTTGTAACTGTTTTCTTGTATTCGGCAAAACTTTTGTGGCCTTACCAAAGATCTGAATTAATTGCCTGAAATTATTGTTGTTCATCTTCTTGGTAAATGGAACCAAAAACAGCATTAGTGCATGGGTATAGATGAAATTGCCATTTGATTTCAGGTTCAAGTGATTTACTGTCTCCATTGAGTTTAATATTTCTCTCTAGTTTATTTAGGTATATAGACAGCATAGTAAATACAATCAACAAAATACAGATTTAGGGCTGGGTGTGGTGGCTCACGCCTGTAATCCCAGCACTTTGGGAGACCGAGGTGGGCGAATCACTTGAGGTCAGGAGTTCGAGACCAGCCTGGCCAACATGGTGAAACCTCGTCTCTACTAAAAATACAAAAATTAGCTGGATGTGGTGGTGTGCACCTGTAATCCCAGCTACTTGGGAGGCTGAGGCAGGAGAATCACTTGAACCTGGGAGGTGGAAGTTGCAGTGAGCCAAGATCGTGCCACTGCACTGCAGCCTGGGCAACAAAATGAGACTCTGTCTCAAAAAACAAACAAAAACAGATTTTAAAAGTCCATATGTAAGGGCGGCAACCTTTTAAACTGTCAGAATCAATATAAAACTATTTTTTCCTTGTTTCTCTGACTGCTTTATGGATATAATAAGTAATAATAATATTGCTGCTATCAAAAGAATTTTTCTGAAGTGTAGACTTTACCATGCCATAATAAGACCCCTTCAGCTGACTCAGAGAAGGGGCTAAAATTCTTGGACTGGCATTCGTGTCCCTGGATAATGACACCCTGACTTAGTTTTTCTATCTTAGTTTTTCCTACCCCATCAACTGTTCAAGCCCGTCAAACTGAACTATTGTCTCCTGCCAGTTCCTGTCTCATTACCTAATTCCTATGCTTTTTTTTATGTCATTTATCATCCTACTTATTTATCACACTTAAATATTGCCTACCCATTGTGAGCCAGCACAAATTCCACTTTCTTGAAAAAGGCTTTCATGATATATGCAGCAAGAAATAATGTCTTATTTTCCAGTCTTGGACCACTTCATAGACATTGTTTATGGAATTTTTCATGTTATATTTTTGATTCCCATCAGTTGCATGCAAATCTGGAATAAAACAGATTTGATCATGAAGAGCATTTTGTTGTGTTGTTGTTAATGTGGAAATAACAGCCTTGCTCCAAACTGAATTGCCTGTTTTTCTCCTGAAAATCTGTTCTGGTTTGCACCAGACGTTTGTACTTCTCACAGCTCGTAAGTGTCACCTGGCTTGTCATTTGGTGGTGGTCCACCACTAGCACAGCCACGGCAGTATGTTGAGGGCTTTGACAATCTGCTAGAAGCCACTGTGTTGATCGTAATCTTTCCTACATCATGCCATCAATAGATGGAAGCCAAACAGCCTTTGTACTGGATTTGCTCAAGACGTAGAATGAAAAAACTGATAGTAAATTTTCCAACTTTCCTCCTAACACTTTCTCTACTATCTCTCCCAAATTCATCTACCCAGATCTCCCCCTTCAACCTCAGTCTCTGGGTTCCTTCTTCCTTCCTGTATCCAGCACAAGCCCTACAGATACCTTTATTTGCTTATTTTGTGCTTCCCAAGAAGAGCTTTACCATTCTGGGTAATTGGCAGTGTCCAAGTGTATGAGGAATCCCAGGTTGAACATGCCACGTCTTATTTTACTTCAGTGTCATTTTTACTTGAAAACACAGAGCCTTTGTTTTTGTTAACTAGATATATCATAAAGCAATAATCTAAATTTGCCTGAACTTTAAGTTGAAATGGGTAAGACAAACGTCTTATTTGAGGTCATGCTGTTCTCTTCATTGACATTCTTAAAAACCTGCATTCATTCATTCATTTCTGCTGTTACAATCATTTTGGTACAAGAGTTTTTAAAGCACTGATTGAAGACTTTGATGTTGTCCAGCCTTTTGGTAGTTGAGAGTTTCTTCCCTCTCTTTCATCCTTTCCAAGATCCTCCCTTTAGGCCTCCCCTCCCCAAAGCCACATATACTGCCCCATTTTCAGACACGTGCCTCTCTTTAACTTTTCTAAGACATCTGGAATGTGTAGAGAGTACCTAGACTGTCATTCAATCGTGTTCAAAGAATTTGGGAACCAGGCATATGGGTGGAAAAACTAGAAAGGGTAGGAACCAATTATCCTTGCTGGTGGGATGGCCTGAAACAAAGCAAATCTTAACATGAAGAACAACGGAAAATAGGCAATATTTTTGTCATGGTTTCCTTTTGCTCTTAAAGGGAGGAAAGTGAGACTGGGGATGGACCCATAATTAGTAGGGTATAGTTTACCTATTAGTATGTAGACCTATGCTGTTCTGGAGCCAGAAAAGATTTAAAAGAGAGATCACTATCCTCTTGATGTTAGTGTGGAGTCCTCGATGCCATGAGCTTGCAGAGCAGTTGAGGTGAGTGCCCAATTTTCAGAGTTTCATAAAGCATAATGCAAAGTATGAATTACTCACCCAATGCATTTCTTTGACTTGGCTGGAGCTTTTTAAATTCAGCAGGGTTATACTGGTAATGATGGATGTCTGAGTTTGTTCAGTGCTGCCATAACAAAGTACCATGGACTGGGTAGCTTACAAACAACAGAAATTTATTTCTTGTAGTTCTGGAGCTTGGGAAGTCCAAGATCAAAGTGCTAGCAGTTTCAGTGTCTGGTGCAGGACCACTTCCTCATAGACAGCTGTCTTCTAACTGTAACATCACATAGTGGAAGGAACAAGGGATCTCACAGGTGCCCCTTTCATAAGGGCACTAGTCTCATTCATGAAGGCAGAGCACTTCCCGGAGGCCCCCATCCCCTCTTATTATCACCTTTGGGATTAAGATTTCAACATGAATTTTGGGGGGGGCATAAACATTGTTGCAATGGATTAATCAGAGATGTGGAAAACTTTTTGCCTGAGAACTTTTTAAAATACTGAAAAAAAAAGCACTTGTGTATCTTTAACCTTGACAACAATTATTTATTATCAAGTAGCACTGTTTTTCATATCCACTAATGTATTTTTAACAAGAGAAATAAGCATTATTGATAACATTAAAGTGCCTTTTCTTTCACACCTCTTTCCACTTTCTTTTCCTTCCCCATTTTCTTAAAAGCAGCTCCTCTCAGTGATTTAATATCCTTCCATTTTATTTATATATCTTAGCATACTTCTATGTACTTGTAATACATATTGCATTGCTTTATGACTATGATTTATAAAAATTTATGAAAATAGAACCCTACAGAATATATCCTTCTGCAACATTTTTTTATGCAACATAAATTGAATTTACATATGTTGGTAAATATGATGGTAGATAGATCGATGGTCCCTTCTTACTGCAGTATAGTATTCTATTCTGCAAATATGTCATCTTTGATTTATTAGATCTACTATTGGTAGACAGGTATATTGATTTCAGTTTTTCTCTGGAAAACATGTAGAACATATTTATGCATGTTTTCTTTGGCTCATGTTCTGATAGAAATTTCTATAGGTCTCCAATTATTAAAAGCTTTAGGAAGAACAGTTATTTAAATAATGCTGTTTGGCAGACAGAATCCTTTACAACATGGACTCTCTAGGAAGACGTGGTCAAAGGAATTGGGTATCACTGATGTAGTAGTGCACCTCTCTGCCTCTGAACAGGGCTAAATTTAACTCATCTTAGAAATTCTCTTTACCTTTAGAAAGAATACTAGAGTAGGAGTCCACAGATCCCTTTGGTTACATATTTGTGTCTCAGATCACAAGAGGTGGGGAATTTTTAACAACATTTGACCTAAAATCCTAGTTCTATAATTGAAGCCTCATTCCCTCTTGCTTTCTCCAGAAGTAATGAAGAACAGCTACAAACTTGCTTCTACTCTTAAAATAACTTCTTCTAATCCCATACGATGATTTAAAGTACTTTTTTTTCCTTTAGCCTGCATGAGTCTAGTCTCTTTAGCCTTTTTTCTGGGGTTTCCTCTTTTAGGTCATTTGTATAGTTCTAATCAATTCTTTTTCAGATTTATCTATATCTTGTTTAGTTTTTAGGGCTTAAAACTAAAATAATATGATCTTATAATGGTCTTTCTTGTATGGGGCTGACATGATTACCTCCCAGTTTTTATATATGACTTTCTGTACTTATGCATACATATGTATATATCTATCCCTTTATTCAGGAAATATATATTATGTCCCATCTGCTTAGCAGGCCTCATACATTTATAACATACCCACATGCGCATAAGCAGTACCGAGTAGCTGGTTTATATTTAGTATGTGGCCCACTAGTTTGACCAGATATGCCTCTTGATATGTTGTACAAAGGCATATTGGCTATATAGGTATTTATTTAGTAGAATGATTAAGAGCACAGGGTGGGGGATTATTTAAAGTATACCAAAAGGTATATAAAGAATGTTCATAGCAGAATTATTTCAAATAGCAAAACAAAGTAAACAACCTAAATATCCATTGACAGATTGAATAAGTAAATCACGATATTTTCACATAATAGTAGAATACTATAATGAAAATGCAAAAACTCAAAATACATGCATTGACAAAGGTGAACTGTAAAAACAACATTGAGTTCAGAAAAGCAATCAGAAGAATATGAATGGCTAAGAAACATGGAAAAAAAAAGTTCAACATCCTTAGCCTTGAGGGAAATCAAAACTGTACTGAGATACTACTTCACACCCACTAGGATGGCTATAATCAAAAAGACAGATGATAATAAGTGTTTGCAAGGATGTGGAGAAAGTGGAACCCTCATACATTGCTGGTGGAAATGTAGAATGGTACAGGCACTTTGGAAGAGACTTTGGCTCTTCTTCAAAGTTAACCATAGAGCTGCCATATGACCCCCCCAATTTTACACCTAGGTTATACTCTACCCAAGAGAAATGAAACACATGTTCATGTAAAATCTCGTTCATGAAGAGACATAGCAGAATTATCCCTAATAGATAAAATGTCCCAAATGCCTATCCACTGATGAATGAAAAAGCCAAGAGTAGAATAGCCAGACACGAAATATTATTTGTCAATATAAAGAAATGAAGCATCAAGATATGCTACAACATCGATAAACCTTGAAAATACTATGCTAAGTGAAAGAGGCCAGTCGCAAATGGTCACATTTTATGGTTCCATTTATATGAAATACCCAAGGTAGGCAAATCCATAGAGACAGAAAATAGATTGATGGTTGCCAAGGGCTGGAATAAGGAAGAGTGGGGAACAACTGTTAATGGGTTCAGGATTTCTTTTGGGGGTGATGAAAATGTTCTAAATTTAGATTGTGGTGGTAGTTGTACAGCTCTGTGACTATATTAGAACCATTGAATTGTACATTTTAAATCGGTGAATTATATGGTATGTGGGTTATATATCAGATGTTTTTATAAGATGCAATCAGAAGAATGTATGTATTCTGCTGCAGGTTTTATAAAGTTCAAAACCAATCAGCTAAACAGTATGTTGTCTAGGGTAGTATGTATACCCATGTGATAAAACCATGAACATATAAAGGAGGGAGAGATCTGAAAAAGAAAGAAAAAAAATCCAACCCAAAGTGGTGGTCATTACCATTAAGTTTCACATGAGGTTCATTATAGAACCACTGTGCTGGGGAAGTCCCATTTTCTTAGACTGAGTGATGGATTTATTGTCCTGCTTTGTTTCTAATATTTACAATTCATTTCTAATTTTAATAAATGCTTATTACTAAAAGTTTTGTTTGTATAAAATACTTCATAATGAAATTCCATACAGCCTTCTCTTTTGTTTTGAAGGAGATGGAGCAATTGACATTAGTGGAACAGTGTATGTTTATATTGTTCCTTTTTCACTCAAGAGACTGCTAGGGATAGACAAAGGGTGATGTCATGGAGAGACTGTTCATTGCTTTCTAAGCCTAGTACATTAATGAGTCTTTGGTTGTACAAATATGAAATGTTTTGGATTAGAAAAAAAGAGGGGATGCATTTTTTTTCTAAAAATGTAAAGTTTTTAAAAACTTTTTTGAAAGGGAGGAGGCAGAGGAGGAATAGACGAGCATGAGAGGTGAGAGAAAATAACAAAGAAGAAGACGAGTGGGCATATTACTTTTATGAAAATGAATATCTGATACTCTATGTAAATGATGTTTTCCTACCACTTAAATGGCTCCCAGTACTAAGGATGTTAAATTAATCCTGCTATTCAACAAAGACTTTGTGTAATAAGTAAGTCAGGACATTTTGATGTTTATATTTTTAGGAAATCATGAAAAGGACCATGTTTTAAGAGTGGTTGATGTGTGACAGAGAAACAGTGTCTCAAATAACATAGAAAGATAATTGATTAACTAATGTAGAAGTGCATAAATTAAAAACAAAAACAAAACAGGAGTCCTCAAAATGCTGAGGCCTCTAGGCTTCTGCCTTGTTAAGCACTCTGTTGAGGTTACAAGCAGTTAGTTGATCCTAATGCTGTAATTTCCAGCCCTGTGATGGATTGTTTGGTGGGAATTTCAATTGAATCTTAAAAGATCATATGACCCTGGGTTAGAAGATTATTCTTCCTTCCGAAGTGTTCCTAGTGACCTCTTTTATTTGTGTTTCTATTTTTAGATACCCACTTTTCAAAATTGTTAAAAGGTTACATGATATTTTAAGTAGCTGCTCTAAGGTTGTTACACGCTTAGCTAAATTGGTTCTCATCAGCATTAGCACCTTAATGAACACATTCTCTATAGCCCAGCCTTAATCAGAACGTTTTCATAAATTAGAGCAATGATCAGCTATCAGGCTTTATGTGCCTCCCTCAGATACTGAACTTAACATCCCCGGAGGAACAGTCCAAACCACATGGTTGTTTGTGCATCCAAAGTCTTAGATTTCATAACACCATGCTCCCCATCAACAAACATGACACACAACACCCACTGCCCATCCTACTATCTTCATAAAATATCTGGTGATTCTAAAATTAACATTTATATTTTTTTATTTTACTCTGGGAGTATTTTCGGGATAAATTCTGTTACAATGCTTTAGATAACTGGTGTCATCCTTGGATGTCTAAAATCTGATTTGGGGAATCACTGTTCTAATCAGTTGTGCACCCACTTAGCAGTAATCTGATCTAAACTCAATTCTCCTAGTCTTTGATGAGCTCTCATGTGAAGCCAAATCTAAATTCCCTCAAAGATAAATGTTTCATTTGCCCTTTTTCTGATCAGAGGAGCCCTCACAGAACTCCAAGGGTTTATGAAGATGATTACAATGAGCTTGTGATTTCAATCAATTGCTGAAATGCCTTGGGATATTTTTACCCTGTGAACTGTTTTTGCAAAGAGAGGAAGTTTCATCTAGAAGAAAAATCATTTAAGGCAACTTTGGGTTTAAGTGTCAGATTTTTTCACTGGAATCTCCATGCTTTATGGTAGAAAGAACTCTTAAGAGCTGTGTTTCTAGAACACTAACCTCAATTGTACTATTAACTACTTCAGTGAACCTAGACAAATTATAAGTATCTAAGAAGATACTCATCTTGTTTATAAAATGTGAAACTGGATGATCTCTACTATCTCTTCTAAGCCTTAATATGTAATGATTCCAAAAGTAGATTTGGACCCCTCTCTTCCTTTCTGCTTTTTCCATAATAAAGACATCCCTAATATTCATCTAAAGTTTTTTTCTTAAGCACTGTTTTCCTCAACCCACAACATAATATGATTTGTACCTTGCTCTGAAAACTTGCTTGAATAGCCTGATAACAGTATTTGCCAATCAATGATTATCTTTGATATCTAACAATATAATGAAGCCTATTGCATGGATCTAGATGTATTTCTTTCTTCAACTGTGTGATTTAGGAACTATTTTTTTTTTAAATAATTACAGTGGTGCCATTGTATTAGTTTTTTTTTTTTTTTTGAGACTGGGTCTTGTTCTGTCACCTAGACTGAGTGCAGTGGTGCACTCATGGCTCACTGCAGCCTCAATATCCAGGACCAAAGTGATCCTCCTAACTCAGCCTCTCAGGTGGCTAGAACTACAGGCACACACCACCACGTCTAGCTAACTTTTTATTTTTTGTAGAGATTGGGGTGTTACTATGTTGCCCAGGCTGGTCTCGAATTCCTGGACATAAGCGTTCTTCCCACTTCGACCTCCCAAAGTGCTAGGATTACAGGCATGAGCCACCATGCCTGGCCTGTTGTATTAGTTAATCTGCAACATTAATTCACAATTTTAAAAAGCAACTATGCAAAGATACCCTGGTATAAGTAGATAATTTTCAAGAAATGGCAGACCTGATTATTCCCTTGAAGGTCATGAGGATAAAATCTAGTTGAAGTTTCAGAGCAACCTAAAATTCCATTTGTATCCTCTGAAATTAGTAATGTGCTCTTTTTTTTTTTTTTTTTTTTGATGGTTAAAAAAATTTGGGTTTTATTGTTTTTGCTAAATAATACTAAAAAAAAAATTTCATTTTGAAGGCAGGGCTTGAATTATTTAATTTGATCCATTTATTTAATTAAAAAAAAAAGGAAGGGGAAAGAGATCATGGCCAAAAAAATAGTAGTTAACCCCCACCCCACCCCCAAAGCTCTAGCCAGTCATGTGAGCATCACCCACATCCCACTCAGTGCCTGATATTCGGATGGTGGCATACTCTGCCCCAGGAGACTGCCTGAAGGCACGGGGCAATGGGTGCCAATTTTAGCTCTCAGCAGGTTAGTCAACCAGACAAACTGGTGGGCTAAAGTCCAGAAATTCTTTCCAGGTTTTCTGCTCATTGGCTGAGCACATACAAACTGTCATAAGCCTGTAAAATTTAAGGGGAGTTGGGGTGGGGCGTAAGAGCAAAAGGACAGCAGGAGAAGAGAAATTACGGGTCACCCAAGTTTTTCCTGGGCTAGTGGCTCTGGATATAGATTTAAAGAGAGGTCAGAGTAAATGGACTCCAGGTTTCTTATCAAAGAAAACTATCCCTCAATGAGGAGCTGAGATGTGCCATGCAAGAGAGTTCTTCCTGCAGAGGCACAGGAGAAAGGGCAGCTGACTCTCTCATGTGGAGAGAGTGGCGAGGAAGGTCTTCTAGTACCATGAAGTAAGACAGGCAGAGGGAGAATCCTGAGGTTTGGGCCAAATGTGAGACTGGTACACACACAGTTAAAGACTAAAAAGCCATCAGGAACCCTCAAAGCCAAATTCTATCTGCACACTGGCTCTACAAAGTTCGCAGCAAGAATCTCTTGCACCAAGTCAAGTTAGTGGCCTGGCTATGATGGATGGTGGAGAGGGCAATACATTTTTATTTTCAGAGGGATGAGGTGGGAAGAACAGCCATGATCTAGTAAAAAGAGACCTGCAAGAAGCAGAAAATATTTAGAGAACATTTTAATATATATTTTCATATATATATTTAAAGTTAAGAAAAATAAAACTAATTCAAGCCATGCCCTGTGCAAAAAAAAAAAAAAAGAAAAAAGAAAAAAGAAAAAAAAAGGAAAAGAAAACAAAAATTTAAAGTGAGACGTTTGCTGCTCTGGTCTCAACTTAAGAATCACAGTCAGCTTGTTACTTTTATTTTGGAAGAAAAGATGTAAAAGTTTCTTTCAATCATTCAGAAGGCAAGTGTAGCCACTTATAAAAACAGAATGGCAGGAACAAACTAGGAAAGGAAAGTCAGAAGTAAAGGGCAGAGTGGGAAAATAATTTTCAAAAATAAAATTAACAAGGTGACTGTTCCAGAAGAGGGCTGTGAAAAGGACATGGTGGACCGAAGTCTGTTAGTCAAGTAATGATTCAACTTTTAAATTATTCTCTTGTTCTTTTTTGTTGGGTGTTTTGTTTGTTCAAGTCTAAGATTTGGAAATGCTGACCCTTTGTTAAGAGCCAACAGGACATATAGGATCCCTTCCCTCCCCCGGCCTGCCTCCGCTGAAGCCACCACCAGCGCCTCCTTGGCTGGATGCTGGAAGAGTCCTCCATGTGTACGGACTCAGGATGACAGGGCAGCCTCCTTCTGTGGTTGCTGGGCTTGTGAACGTTGCAGTATCTTTTGGCTTTCCACGTCTCTAAAATGTTTTTCAACTATTTTGCGTACATGGCTCAGTGCACTCCCCTCTTTGCCTTTACAGTTTTCCACTTGATATGGGGGTGTAATAACAACTTCTTCCATGACTACGATGTTTTTTTCTTGCCATTTACAGTCTTTAATGGTCTTGTGAATGGTCTGGAAGAGCTGCTGGCCCTCTAGAGAGACACCAGCACTGATTGCATAGGCCTGGCTCAGCTTCTCCTCCTTCTCTGTCCGTGCTTTGCTGGCAAGCTTACTAACATTGAGTGAAGCTAGGGGAGGAGGGGTTTCTGTTCGGTCATTAATTATTTCCACTTCTGAAACATACTGTAAGTTTATGAGCAAGATGTCTGCATGGTTGGGCTTTCCACTGGAAGAGGGACATTTTAAAGCCAGCATTTTGGATTGGTAGTCAAAGGCTACCACCTCGCCCTGCAGCCGCTGCTCCTGGCACGTCCGGCACGACACCTGGCTCCCAACGCTGAAGTACTCGCCCGGAGGAGCCGCCATCTTGGGAGTGCCGTAATGTGCTCTTTTAACTAACTTTTTTGTTTTAATTATACAGAAAAGCAATGTGTTACTTCAAAGGCATTTAGTCATAGTAAAATCCAGTTTAGCTATTAAAAAAGAAAATTTTCTTTTCTCTCCCTGCACTGGAGTGTTCATAAAGAGTCTACAAATATGGTCCCTTATTTTGTGTGTGTCCCAAATATAACTGGTGTAATTATCTTCATATTTGTCTCACTAAGCATTACATTCTTCTGCGATTCACTGCAGTGTGACACTGGCCCAGCAGTGAAATCATTCTCTGTGATACAAAGGGAAAAAACATGATTCTGTTCTAGTAGTTTTACGTTTAAGTCTATGGTTACCAATTGAGAACATTGCTTTGATGTATAATTAATCTCACTGAAATCTGGTGTTTTCTACTTTCTCATAGAAAACTAGTAATCTGCATTTGCGACAGGCCCAGACATTCCACCAAACCCAGGGTCCACATTTATCTTGAAGGCTTGCATTGTTCCCTGCAGTCCTGGGGAGAGCAGCACACTCTCCAGAAAGCGGCTCCCTGAGTCCTTGGACACTGCAGCTATAATAATAGTGGGAACTCACCTCATCCATCTCGCCTGTTCTCCACACAGTCACTGCCTCAAAAGCATTTAGTACCTTGAAAGCCAGGCAGATTCCTAGATCAGTGGCCTCTTCCACCTGAGTTGTTGTAGTTGTCATAATCGTTTTATCTGGGATTTGTGTGGGTTAGAGGTAGGGACTACATTCACAGGGTAAAATGGAAGACCTGTGAATTGTTTCTTTTTTTTCTTTTTGTTTTTTTGTTTCTGCAATGCTAACATTTTAATCTCTTCAAAATTATTTCCAAGCACTTTAAATATTGAGAGATAAAGAGTTCATTGTTTTCCGCATCTTGAGAAAATCTATTTTCTGCCATCTAAGAAATGAGATCAATTAACCAGGAGGGATACATGCTTATCTCATATATGCTAGTTTCCTCCGAGTATTCAAATGCCTCCCCTCATTAAAAAAAAAATGGCCTAGAAATACCCAGTGTGTTTCAGTAAGTGTCATCCTTTGATATATCTGATCTTTGGGTACCCTCTGTGACTCCATCTTCTGCAGGCACACGGTCTTCCTCCTTGACCCTGTCTATAATGAATGTGTAAATGACTGTTTGTATCCATCATGGGTCAAAACTTTCTGTGCCTTTGCTTCTGCTCTCATCACATTTTATAAGGGGGTTCTCTATGTAATGGAATGTCACTTAGAGAAAAGATTTTTTAAAAAATGACACGTATCGCTTGTACTCTGATACATCAAATGGTAAAAACTGTAGGCAGGCTTTTTGGTTATTTTTTTTTTTTCTCCTTGTTCCAAACTGAGACTTTTATGATTTTCCCTAATCCTTTTACCTTCAAGTACTTCCAGATTGATTTCCTTGTCTGGCCAGTGCTGTATACAGCAGGTGATCCAGTAGGGATTGTTTTTATTTGAATTATTTTTATGTGATAATAATCATTGTATTCCAGAGCTCCTTCCTGAAAGATGGGCATCTGTCGCAGTCAGTTCAGACCACTATAACAAAAATTCTGTAGACCGAGTGGCTTAAACAAGAGAAACTTATTGCTCAAAGTTCTTAGGGCTAAGAAGTCCATGACAAAAGTACTGGAAGATTCTGTGTCTGGTGAGAGCCAGCTTCCTTGTTAGCAGATGGCTGTTTCTTCTTTGTGCTCTCACATTAGGGAGAGCAGAATGAAAAGAAGCTCTCCTGTTTCTCCTGTTTTCTTTTTTTTTCTTTTTGACTCTCACTCTGTCACCCAGGCTGGAGTGCAGTGGCATGATCTCGACTCACTGCAACCTCTGCTTCCTGGGTTCAAGCGATTCTCCTGTCTCAGCCTTCTCAGTATCTAGGACTACAGGCATATACTACCACAACCAACTAATTTTTATATTTTTAGTAGAGATGGGATTTCACCATATTGGCCAGACTGGTCTCAAACTCCTGACCTCAGGTGATCTGCCCTCAATGTACTGGGATTACAGGCGTGAGCCACCACTCTTGGCCTCTCCTGTTTCTTCTAAGGGTACTAGTCCTGTTCATATGGTCACTACTCTCATAACCTAATTAATTTATAAGGGCCCCACCTCCTAACAGCAGCGAATTGAGCATCAGAATTTCAACATTTTAATTTGGCAGTGGGAAGGGGAAGGATACAATATTTAATCATTAACAATGCCCAGTTAAGTTTATCATGAATTCTAGAAACAGCTGGTTTTTTTTTTTTTTTTTTTTTTATACTTTAAGTTTTAGGGTACATGTGCACATTGTGCAGGTTAGTTACATATGTATACATGTGCCATGCTGGTGTGCTGCACCCACTAACTCGTCATCTAGCATTAGGTATATCTCCCAATGCTATCCCTCCCCGCTCCCCCCACCCCACCACAGTCCCCAGAGTGTGATATTCCCCTTCCTGTGTCCATGTGATCTCATTGTTCAATTCTCACCTATGAGTGAGAATATGCAGTGTTTGGTTTTTTGTTCTTGCGATAGTTTACTGAGAATGATGATTTCCAATTTCATCCATGTCCCTACAAAGGACACAAACTCATCATTTTTTATGGCTGCATAGTACTCTGTGGTGTATATGTGCCACATTTTCTTAATCCAGTCTATCATTGTTGGACATTTGGGTTGGTTCCAAGTCTTTGCTATTGTGAATAATGCCGCAATAAACATACGTGTGCATGTGTCTTTATAGCAGCATGATTTATAGTCATTTGGGTATATACCCAGTAATGGGATGGCTGGGTCAAATGGTATTTCTAGTTCTAGATCCCTGAGGAATCGCCACACTGACTTCCACAATGGTTGAACTAGTTTACAGTCCCACCAACAGTGTAAAAGTGTTCTTATTTCTCCACATCCTCTCCAGCACCTGTTGTTTCCTGACTTTTTAATGATTGCCATTCTAACTGGTGTGAGATGGTATCTCATTGTGGTTTTGATTTGCATTTCTCTGATGGCCAGTGATGATGAGCATTTTTTCATGTGTTTTTTTGGCTGCATAAATGTCTTCTTTTGAGAAGTGTCTGTTCATGTCCTTCGCCCACTTTTTGATGGGGTTGTTTGTTTTTTTCTTGTAAATTTGTTTGAGTTCATTGTAGATTCTGGATATTAGCCCTTTGTCAGATGAGTAGGTTGCGAAAATTTTCTCCCATTTTGTAGGTTGCCTGTTCACTCTGATGGTAGTTTCTTTTGCTGTGCAGAAGCTCTTTAGTTTAATTAGATCCCATTTGTCAATTTTGGCTTTTGTTGCCATTGCTTTTGGTGTTTTGGACATGAAGTCCTTGCCCATGCCTACGTCCTGAATGGTAATGCCTAGGTTTTCTTCTAGGGTTTTTATGGTTTTAGGTCTAACGTTTAAGTCTTTAATCCATCTTGAATTGATTTTTGTGTAAGGTGTAAGGAAGGGATCCAGTTTCAGCTTTCTACATATGGCTAGCCAGTTTTCCCAGCACCATTTATTAAATAGGGAATCCTTTCCCCATTGCTTGTTTTTCTCAGGTTTGTCAAAGATCAGATAGTTGTAGATATGCGGCGTTATTTCTGAGGGCTCTGTTCTGTTCCATTGATCTATATCTCTGTTTTGGTACCAGTACTATGCTGTTTTGGTTACTGTAGACTTGTAGTATAGTTTGAAGTCAGGTAGTGTGATGCCTCCAGCTTTGTTCTTTTGGCTTAGGATTGACTTGGCGATGCGGGCTCTTTTTTGGTTCCATATGAACTTTAAAGTAGTTTTTTCCAATTCTGTGAAGAAAGTCATTGGTAGCTTGATGGGGATGGCATTGAATCTGTAAATTACCTTGGGCAGTATGGCCATTTTCATGATATTGATTCTTCCTACCCATGAGCATGGAATGTTCTTCCATTTGTTTGTATCCTCTTTTATTTCCTTGAGCAGTGGTTTGTAGTTCTCCTTGAAGAGGTCCTTCACATCCCTTGTAAGTTGGATTCCTAGGTATTTTATTCTCTTTGAAGCAATTGTGAATGGGAGTTCACTCATGATTTGGCTGTTTGTCTGTTGTTGGTGTATAAGAATGCTTGTGATTTTTGTACATTGATTTTGTATCCTGAGACTTTGCTGAAGTTGCTTATCAGCTTAAGGAGATTTTGGGCTGAGACAATGGGGTTTTCTATATATACAATCATGTCATCTGCAAACAGGGACAATTTGACTTCCTCTTTTCCTAATTGAATACCCTTTATTTCCTTCTCCTGCCTGATTGCCCTGGCCAGAACTTCCAACACTATGTTGAATAGGAGTGGTGAGAGAGGGCATCCCTGTCTTGTGCTAGTTTTCAAAGGGAATGCTTCCAGTTTTTGTCCATTCAATATGATATTGGCTGTGGGTTTGTCATAGATAGCTCTTATTATTTTGAAATATGTCCCATCAATACCTAATTTATTGAGAGTTTTTAGCATGAAGGGTTGTTGAATTTTGTCAAAGGCTTTTTCTGCATCTATTGAGATAATCATGTGGTTTTTGTCTTTGGCTCTGTTTATATGCTGGATTACATTTATTGATTTGCGTATATTGAACCAGCCTTGCATCCCAGGGATGAAGCCCACTTGATCATGGTGGATAAGCTTTTTGATGTGCTGCTGGATTCGTTTTGCCAGTATTTTATTGAGGATTTTTGCATCAATGTTCATCAAGGATATTGGTCTAAAATTCTCTTTTTTGGTTGTGTCTCTGCCCGGCTTTGGTATCAGAATGATGCTGGCCTCATAAAATGAGTTAGGGAGGATTCCCTCTTTTTCTATTGATTGGAATAGTTTCAGAAGGAATGGTACCAGTTCCTCCTTGTACCTCTGGTAGAATTCGGCTGTGAATCCATCTGGTCCTGGACTCTTTTTGGTTGGTAAACTATTGATTATTGCCACAATTTCAGCTCCTGTTATTGGTCTATTCAGAGATTCAACTTCTTCCTGGTTTAGTCTTGGGAGAGTGTATGTGTCAAGGAATTTATCCATTTCTTCTAGATTTTCTAGTTTATTTGCATAGAGGTGTTTGTAATATTCTCTGATGGTAGTTTGTATTTCTGTGGGATTGGTGGTGATATCCCCTTTATCATTTTTTATTGTGTCTATTTGATTCTTCTCTCTTTTTTTCTTTATTAGTCTTGCTAGTGGTCTATCAATTTTGTTGATCCTTTCAAAAAACCAGCTCCTGGATTCATTGATTTTTTGAAGGTTTTTTGTGTCTCTATTTCCTTCAGTTCTGCTCTGATTTTAGTTATTTCTTGCCTTCTGCTAGCTTTTGAATGTGTTTGCTCTTGCTTTTCTAGTTCTTTTAATTGTGATGTTAGGGTGTCAATTTTGGATCTTTCCTGCTTTCTCTTGTGGGCATTTAGTGCTATAAATTTCCCTCTACACACTGCTTTGAATGCTTCCCAGAGATTCTGGTATGTTGTGTCTTTGTTCTCGTTGGTTTCAAAGAACATCTTTATTTCTGCCTTCATTTCGTTATGTACCCAGTAGTCATTCAGGAGCAGGTTGTTCAGTTTCCATGTAGTTGAGCGGCTTTGAGTGAGATTCTTAATCCTGAGTTCTAGTTTGATTGCACTGTGGTCTGAGAGATAGTTTGTTATAATTTCTGTTCTTTTACATTTGCTGAGGAGAGCTTTACTTCCAACTATGTGGTCAATTTTGGAATAGGTGTGGTGTGGTGCTGAAAAAAATGTATATTCTGTTGATTTGGGGTGGAGAGTTCTGTAGATGTCTATTAGGTCCACTTGGTGCAGAGCTGAGTTCAATTCCTGGGTATCCTTGTTGACTTTCTGTCTCGTTGATCTGTCTAATGTTGACAGTGGGGTGTTAAAGTCTCCCATTATTAATGTGTGGGAGTCTAAGTCTCTTTGTAGGTCACTCAGGACTTGCTTTATGAATCTGGGTGCTCCTGTATTGGGTGCATATATATTTAGGATAGTTAGCTCTTCTTGTTGAATTGATCCCTTTACCATTATGTAATGGCCTTCTTTGTCTCTTTTGATCTTTGTTGGTTTAAAGTCTGTTTTATCAGAGACTAGGATTGCAACCCCTGCCTTTTTTTGTTTTCCATTTGCTTGGTAGATCTTCCTCCATCCTTTTATTTTGAGCCTATATGTGTCTCTGCACGTGAGATGGGTTTCCTGAATACAGCACACTGATGGGTCTTGACTCTTTATCCAATTTGCCAGTCTGTGTCTTTTAATTGGAGCATTTAGTCCATTTACATTTAAAGTTAATATTGTTATGTGTGAATTTGATCTTGTCATTATGATGTTAGCTGGTTATTTTGCTCGTTAGTTGATGCAGTTTCTTCCTAGTCTCGATGGTCTTTACATTTTGGCATGATTTTGCAGCGGCTGGTACCGGTTGTTCCTTTCCATGTTTAGCGCTTCCTTCAGGAGGTCTTTTAGGGCAGGCCTGGTGGTGACAAAATCTCTCAGCATTTGCTTGTCTGTGAAGTATTTTATTTCTCCTTCACTTATGAAGCTTAGTTTGGCTGGATATGAAATTCTGGGCTGAAAATTCTTTTCTTTAAGAATGTTGAATATTGGCCCCCACTCTCTTCTGGCTTGTAGGGTTTCTGCCGAGAGATCCGCTGTTAGTCTGATGGGCTTCCCTTTGAGGGTAACCTGACCTTTCTCTCTGGCTGCCCTTAACATTTTTTCCTTCATTTCAACTTTGGTGAATCTGACAATTATGTGTCTTGGAGTTGCTCTTCTCGAGGAGTATCTTTGTGGCGTTCTCTGTATTTCCTGAATCTGAACGTTGGCCTGCCTTGCTAGATTGGGGAAGTTCTCCTGGATAATATCCTGCAGAGTGTTTTCCAACTTGGTTCCATTCTCCCCATCACTTTCAGGTACACCAATCAGACATAGATTTGGTCTTTTCACATAGTCCCATATTTCTTGGAGGCTTTGCTCATTTCTTTTTATTCTTTTTTCTCTAAACTTCCCTTCTCGCTTCATTTCATTCATTTCATCTTCCATTGCTGATACCCTTTCTTCCAGTTGATCGCATCGGCTCCTGAGGCTTCTGCATTCTTCACATAGTTCTCGAGCCTTGGTTTTCAGCTCCATCAGCTCCTTTAAGCACTTCTCTGTATTGGTTATTCTAGTTATACATTCTTCTAAATTTTTTTCAAAGTTTTCAACTTCTTTGCCTTTGGTTTGAATGTCCTCCCGTAGCTCAGAGTAATTTGATCGTCTGAAGCCTTCTTCTCTCAGTTCGTCAAAGTCATTCTCCATCCAGCTTTGTTCCGTTGCTGGTGAGGAACTGCGTTCCTTTGGAGGAGGAGAGGCGCTCTGCATTTTAGAGTTTCCAGTTTTTCTGTTCTGTTTTTTCCCCATCTTTGTGGTTTTATCTACTTTTGGTCTTTGATGCTGGTAATGTACAAATGGGTTTTCGGTATGGATGTCCTTTCTGTTTGTTAGTTTTCCTTCTAACAGACAGGACCCTCAGCTGCAGGTCTGTTGGAATACCCTGCCGTGTGAGGGGTCAGTGTGCCCCTGCTGGGGGGTGCCTCCCAGTTAGGCTGCTCGGGGGTCAGGGGTCAGGGACCCACTTGAGGAGGCAGTCTGCCAGTTCTCAGATCTCCAGCTGCGTGCTGGGAGAACCACTGCTCTCTTCAAAGCTGTCATACAAGGACACTTAAGTCTGCAGAGGTTACTGCTGTCTTTTTGTTTGTCTGTGCCCTGCCCCCAGAGGTGGAGCCTACAGAGGCAGGCAGGCCTCCTTGAGCTGTGGTGGGCTCCACCCAATTCGAGCTTCCTGGCTGCTTTGTTTACCTAAGCAAGCCTGGACAATGGCGGGCGCCCCTCCCCCAGCCTCGCTGCCACCTTGCAGTTTGATCTCAGACTGCTGTGCTAGCAATCAGCGAGATTCCGTGGGCGTAGGACCCTCCGAGCCAGGTGTGGGATATAATCTCGTGGTTCGCCGTTTTTTTAGCCGGTCTGAAAAGCACAATATTCGGGTGGGAGTAACCCGATTTTCCAAGTGCGTCCATCACCCCTTTCTTTGACTCGCAAAGGGGACTCCCTGACCCCTTGCGCTTCCCAAGTGAGGCAATGCCTCGCCATGCTTCGGCTTGCGCACGGTGCGCGCACCCACTGGCCTGCACCCACTGTCTGGCACTCCCTAGTGAGATAAACCCGGTACCTCAGATGGAAATGTAGAAATCACCCGTCTTCTGCGTCGCTCACGCTGGGAACTGTAGACCGGAGCTGTTCCTATTCGGCCATCTTGGCTCCTCCCGCCACAACTGGTTGTTTTTATAGTTGATATCATATATCATCATTTGTCAATGGAAAAAAGTCATTTGTAGGTCTCAGTTTTCTTTTGTAGTTTTTTATCGCTGGAATTGTATAATATTATAGGGAGGAAATGGTAATGTAGCATATATCTAGAGTTTTTTTGATGAGCAACTCGTAATGCTGTTTGTCAGCTTTCTCTGACACTGTTGTGCCATTGTTTCCATCCTACTGTCAACTTTAAACACTGTCTAAACACAGATTTTAATGTTTTTTAATGACATGATATTGTCTTCATATGTGGGTACTAAGTGTGCTTATTTCTAATTTGCAGTTATGATGTTAAATTCTAACACTAATGTGACATCCACTATAAACACTGTCACTGGTCTCCTGTTTGAGAAACCTTGTGTTGATGGTTCTAGATGTACTTAAAGATCAATTCAAAATAAGTTACGTTTACTCTGGTCTTCTGCTTGAGAAACTTTGGGTTGATGGTTCTACATTTACTTCAAGATCAATTCAAAATAGCTCTGTTTACTCATTTATATAAAATGGTATCCAAAAAGTATTCAGGGCCATTTTTAAGTAAAGGTACCACAGAATAGGTCCTTCCTGGGATATACAGTGTCTTTTCTCTAATTTAATATTTGAAATGCTCAAAGATACTACATTTGATCAGGAAAGCCCTGTAGTCAAACTTGTTTTAATATATATTTGGGCTACAAAAAAAGATTGAGAGTTACGAGAAAATATATACATATATATAGTGTAATGATATCAACATCCATTTTTTTCTTTCCCTTTCTGTGCCTACTTACCTAACATGAAAGTTTTGAAACTCTCTGAACTCCCACATATTTGCTCTAGATGTTACCTCTGTTAGGGAATGTCTCATTCCTCTTAGGGCACACTGACCCATTTGATTGATGGTTTAATATCTTCCCCCAAAGTACCAAGTAATATTGGTTGTTTCTTTTAATTTCAAAACCTGTACAGTAGTAATACAGGTCATTACCCATCTCCTGACCCAGACCCTGGGTGCCAACAAAATTAAGTGCTTGCTATAAGCCATGGATACCTGGAAGCTATCAACCTATTGATGATAAATAGCAAACTATAATGGCCTAGCAATATGCACGTGATTGTCTGATTCCTATTCATTTGTACATGGAGGAAGGGTGCTGAGATAACTAAATAATTAAATCACATAATGCAATTAAACTTACTCTATTACAGTGCTCTTCTCCCCGTCGTTCTTCTTGCTGACAGTATGCATACCAGGCTTCACCTCAGTACAATTAAGCTGATTAGGTAGTACTAAACAGCTCAGATATGTAATAGGCTTTTTGTTGTTGTTGTTGTTGCTGTTTTTTTTTTTAATTTTTTTTTTAAGCTCCGTAAGTCAAATGCCAAAATCTTGAGGTACAACAGCAGATCTTCCAGTGATGTACATAAAGCTCTTTACCAAACACACTACGGCAAAGGCAGGTAGCCTTAACCTTTCAAGAGCATCCAGGTCTCTAGAACTGGTTACTGGGTTGTAATGTTAGATATTGCTTTGGAAGGAAAAAAAATACGTAAAATATTCAGGCATTTCCTAGAGTGCCATTGTGTAGACTGGGCTCTTGCTCTAGCAGTTTCTCCCTCACAGACAAAAAGTAATAATAATCTACAGGATGCAACTCTTTCTCTGCTTCCTCCTTCTCCATCCATCCCTTAATTTTTCCTTAATTAATAATAATATGCTAACAATATCCTATTATAGACTGACTGCCTATTATATGCCTACAATATCCAACTTTATTTGCATGTAGCTATTGAATGCACACAACAACCTTGTGGTTCGATATTCTCTTTCTACCTGGAAGAATATAGAAGCTAAGGTAGGTTAAATATCTTGCCTAAGATCACACAGCTAAATAGTAAGAAAGCCTGAATTTGAATCTAGCTCTGTCTTAACTCCAAAGCCCACATTTCTTTCCCTGTAGCAGATTGCCTCTTGATAAAAAATATCAGGAGGAACAATATTTTGTGCTTCAAATACAACTTGGTATAAATCTGTTTCTGACTGTGTCTAGCATCTTCTCCAAGAGGATAAGGAAATTAAGCCCCCTCTGTTGTACAAGTTTCACATCCCAATCAGGATAACTGTCAAATCAAATCAGGGCGCAGCTTCTTTGCTGGACACTATTACCATGTGGTGTATTGTCAATCTTGACTAAATACCACATCCGAGCAGGCTCAACTCAATCTGTGTATTAGGAAAAATAACAAAGGAATTAAAGGATTTCATATAAGCATCAAAACTTCATCCTCATATCAATGTCTTAGGCGATTTCCAGAAGAAGGACTTTGTTGTAAAAAGAAGGTCATCTCATTAAGAAACTGAAAACAAATCCCATGTCTTTTCCTTTTCTTTATGAATCCTCCACATAAAGCATTAATTTCTATTTTTATTTTTTAAAGATGTATGTTCTTCCCTGCACAAGACCTGCTTTTGTCAACAGATACCCTTTCTGGTCAAAATTCTTTTGCATTTGGGATAGTGAAACTCATCTCTTGATTGCTGTAATCCAAAATTCTTTTAAAAATATGGTCACGAATGAATTAATGAATTGGAAGAAATAACATAAAAAGCAAGGTGTGGCTGGGCACGGTGGCTCCTGCCTGTAATCCCAGCACTTTGGGAGGCTGAGGTGGGCTGATCATGCAGTCAGGAGTTTGAGACCAGCCTGGCCAATATGGTGAAACCCCGTCTCTAATAAAAATACAAAATTTAGCCGGGTGTAGTGGCACGCACCTGTAGTCCCAGCTACTCGGGAGGCTGAGGCAGGAGAATCACTTGAACAGGGGAGGCGAAGGTTGCAATGAGCTGAGATCGTGCCACTGCACTCCAGTCTGGGTGACAGAGCGAGACTCTATCTCTAAACAAAACAAAACAAACAACAACAACAAAAAAGGTGTTATTGGTATCATTTAAGACCTTGATGATAAGACAATGAAATATATACATTCAAATTATGTTTTCTTTTTAGATATTATAGAGCCACATTCTCCTTAAAACTGTGTAAAACATAAAACTTAAATGATAAAAATATGAATAAACAATTCAGAAGGTAAACAAAAATAGTAGAAAAATATGATTTAATATTTAATTTTGCTAGTAATCAGCAAGTGTATACTAAGCAATTAATATTATTTTTATCCAATAACTAACAAATATCTCAGAGATTATGTTCAAAGCTGGTGAGGATGAGGAAAATTGCTAAGCTTCTATAATGCTGCTGCCTGAGTCAATTTGCATACTCCTTTTGAAAATAAATTTAGGGCAGGATACGGTGGCTCATGCCTATAATTCTAACATTTTGGGAGGCCAAGGTGAGAGGATCATTTGGCACCAGGAGTTCAAGACCATCCTGGGCAACAGAGAGAAAACATGTCTCCATAAAAAGTGAAAATAATTATCTGGGCATGGTGTCACACATCTGTAGTACCAGGTACTAAGGAGGCTGGGATAGGAGGACCACTTGACCCTGGAATTGGAGGCTGCAGTAAACTATGATGGCACTACTGCACTCCAGCCTGGAAAAGATCTTGTCTCAAAATAAATAAATAAAATAAGTAAATAAATAAAAATAAAATAATAAATAAGTAAATATT
This sequence comes from Homo sapiens, assembly GCF_000001405.40. Classification (NCBI taxonomy): domain Eukaryota; kingdom Metazoa; phylum Chordata; class Mammalia; order Primates; family Hominidae; genus Homo; species Homo sapiens. Next base: position 35,537,731 of record NC_000008.11, read on the forward strand.
TTATTTATACATATAATTAAATAAATACAAATTAAAATATTAAAAATTTAAAAAGATATCTGCTAATGCATCATTTGCACTCAGTACATTTTATTGCAAAGAGGATGGTCACAGGATTTTTTCACAGCTTCATTTATTTTTATTTTTATTTTTTAAAAAATTTATTCAACAAACACATGTAGAGTCTCAGAGCTATTTAACCATTGGTAATATAAATAATGAAGGGTCTCACATCCTTTGCTTTCATGGAACCTATAGTCTAGATATACATGATATCCATGAATAGTTACATACATGAATAGTTGGGCATTGGTATACATGAATGGTTGCTTAGTTGTACAAAGTATTATGGAAGAACAAAGAAGAGGAATGTAACCAACCTAGGATTTGGGGGACTCTGGTAGGCTTACATAAGATGTGTCAGCTAAGCTGAATCTAAAGGAGGAGAATCGGCTATAAGCAAAAGAGGGGGGACATTCGTATCATGGGGCAGAAGGAAAAGCATGCGTGTGATCTCCAGGTGAAGAGAGTTTAGATTCCTAAAAGAATTGAGTGGCAGTCCCTATAGCTTCTAGGTGGTGAAGTGATTAGGCACTGAAGCTAGTGGTAAATACAGGGCCCACGTCATGAAAGGCCTGGTCAGTCGTGATTTAAAAAAAAATAATTATATATATATATATATATATATATATATATATATATATATATATGAATTTTATTCAAAAGACGGAGGAATTTTATCCAAAGGATTAAGAATTTAAAGACAGAATGACATGTTTGAATTTGAATTTTGGAAAGAGCATTCTGCTTTGCAGTGTGTAGGAGGGATTAAAGGAGGGTAGGCAGAAGAGAAAAAGGATCCATTGTAGTCATGTAGGGGAATGATGGTGGTGATTCAGACAAGCATAGGAAGAATGGAGATGAAGAGCAATTGCTGAATTTGAAGGATATTTAGGAGAGGGAATCAATGGGGTTTAGTGATGAATTCGATATAGGGGCTGAATGGGAGAAAAGTAGGTGATACCCAAGTTCTAACTTAGGGAACCTGGTGAATACTAGAGCTATTACAAGCTTTATGGGATGTAGGCCAAAAAACAGTCTTGGGGCCAAGCAATAAGTCTGTTTGAAGCATAAAAGTTTGAGGGGTCTTTAGGACATTTAAGTAACTATATTTAGAGGCAATTTTATGTGTAGAATTGAAGCTTCAGAGGGACAACTGTACTAAAGATATAAATTTTGGTGTAATATAGATATGTGCAGAATTATAGTATCAATATAAAGTGAAAATTTTGATATAACTAAATGTTCAATAGTAAAGAAATAGATCAACACTGACACACCTGCAATCATTAGAATTAGTTTTATGAGGAGGTAATACCATGAAAAAATGAGATAATATATTACAAATATATGTGTGTTCTATGTATACAAAACCAAAATATTAAGTATACATCAGAAACAGATACTAGAATGAATCATATCAAATTATTAATAGTATTGGTCTTTGGGAATTTGGTGACAATGGGTAGGAATATTTTTAACATGTGTTTGTATTTTTCTATAATTTAGTATAAACCATAATTTTCCATATAAAATATATCATAAAATGTTAACTATATTTTCCCTTTTACTATATTGAACTATAGAATGTTTACAAGTTACAAGATCACTATAAAAGATACTTTCCAAGATTTTAGAGGGTAAAATTTCTCAATAGATAATAACACAAAAGTTAGTTGTCAATTTAATATTTCATGTTCCACCAAAACAAAATGGGCGTGATGAAAAAATGCTGTTCTGGATGTCAGTGCAAAGAGGTTTTTATCCTGTGCCTGTGACTTAGAACTCGTTGACAAGTTGTTTAGCCTCTGAGAGCCTGGATGACTTCTAAGATAGGAGAGTCGGTTCGGATTTTCTCTAAGGTGATCTTCTGCCCTATTTTGCCTGTGTCCACATCACATACAAAAAATTCCGTCGAATCATGTTCCAGTCAAATCAGCCTATATTTACATTTTGAGATATGCAGCTAAGTGGCCACAGGCTAGGATTTTATGTGACCTGACATCTAACAGGAGTGTATTTCTTTCAAAGAGAATTTAATGTTGTTTGTTCCTTACAGTTTCGTTTTCCCTCTTTTGTTTCGTCTTTTTGTCATAAAAAGATTGAAAATACTTGCTGTATTAGTGTGCAGAACATAAAACATAAAGCTCTTCCTGAAAGGTAATTTTCCAAGAGTGAAAAATATGAGAATGGTGTTTGATTGTTTGGTTTTCTGTCATTCAATGTTGCATTAAAACAACCATTTTTCCATAACTATGAATGGCCTCACTCTTGAAAACTGTCAGTTACAAATGAAAAGCGATAACACTTTGAAAGCAAAACCTTTCCCAAATCCCACTAGGTTTTCAGATGAATTTGAAAATTAGTCAGTGGGACATATTCATACACAAATGTATCCATTGTTGGGGGAGGAATTAAACAATTTATAAACTCCATCTCCATATTCTCAGCAAGATATTCTTTTTTACATCTTAAAATGAATAATTGTTATAAATCTTATAATCTTATTCTTTTTCATTTTTTTCCTAAATACATTTATATTTTGTTTTTCCCTGATACGTGGATTTTAATACAATAAAGTTAGAGACCATGAAGTGAAAGCTAAAATTGCCATAGTTTATGAAGCCCTTTATATTCTTTCACAAAGCAGAGGGGTGTGTGTGTGTGTGTGTGTGTGTGTGTGTGTGTGTGTTTCCTGGTTATGTGTTTATTCTAGAAACCTAAAAATAGAGAAAAAGCAAAAAACTTAATACAAACTTAAATTACTAACATTGTGTGACCCAGAGAAAAATACCTGGACTAAATTTGACATCTTACTTCAAAGTCTCTTTGAATAAACTGTTATGGGAACAGGTGTCTCAGGTTAAATCACTGTATGTTTCCATTAGGGGACAAAGCTGTATCTGCCATCATAACTGGTGTAGAATCTCTGGCTTAGATCCAATTTGAGAGGCCAGTTTTGGAGACAACTTAAGTGAAAGCTAAAATGATGGTTACAAGTTAACAATCAAAGAAAAACAAAACTTTTCTTTGTGGCCCTCTTGGGAAATAAGTCACCTGTGTTAGTGTGGCTGAAAGAATAACTGTCCTGTGTATTAGGACCAGCATGGGTTCTCTTGCATTCAAAGAATGCACAGCTGAACTGGTCTTAGGGCCCATGCTGTAAACCAAGACAGCTTTCTTTCTATAATCTAGTGGTTACTCTGTGTCTGCATCTCTGAAAGTTCCTAGTTCAAGGCACACAGAAAGGAGAGGTGTTAGAATTGCTAAGGGACAAACTTTAAAAAAATTAAATTTAACCGAGTTGAATTGAGCAAAGAACTGTTCACGAATCAAGCAGTCCTTGAACCAAAATAGGTTTAGAGAGACTCCAGGCTGCCACGTGGTCAAAGACGATTTATGGACAGAAAAGGAAAGTGACGTTTAGAAAACGGAAGTGAAGTTCAGAAACAGCCAGATCAGTTACAGCTCAATGTTTATCTTATTGAACACGATGTGAACCATCGGCTTTAGGCACAATTTAAAATATGTCAGGAGGCAGCTTTAGTCTAAACTTAATTTAACAGACCCACATAAGACCAATGGTTTAATAAAATCTCAAACTCTTTAAAATGTGCATTCTAATGAAGATGATATTTAGCTCTACCTAACTTTTCAAATTCCTTTCCATGTACCCATGGCATGTAATATTTCAGCCATCCCACATTTCCTAAGATTTCTCTCTTACCTTTTAATCTCTGCACATGGCATGCCCGCTGTTGGGCTACCTTCTCCAACTTGCCCAGTTGGTCAGCACATTTATCCAGACTGTGATGAGGGGTAATCTTCCCTGTGATGCCTGCCATAAACCCTCCCAGGGACAGTTAGGCTCTCTCCTCTGTACCCAATGACACTTTGCATATACTTCCAATTTAAGCATGCTTGTCATAGATTTGTTATTATTTATCTCTATTTTTAGTCTGTGAGCTCCTGGCAGAAAGTAAATATGTCTTAGTCATCTTTGAATCCCTAGTACCTAGAACATTGTCTAATCTTAGTAGGCATGCACATGCGTCTATTTAAAAAAAAATACATTGAATGTATTAAACTGATAAATTGGAGAATAATGAACGTGCTTTTGTAGAGTCTACTGAAATCTGAAGTTCTTTAAGGAACTAAGAATGGCTCTTTGATTTCTTTGAATGTGTCTTAAGCACTCTTTCCCATCTTTCATTCTGCAGGATTTAAGATCTGCTCGATAAAGTAATATCTTAGTCATATATAAGATTGGCACAGGTGAGGTGAATGATGCAAACGCAATGATATAAAACGCTTCCATTTTTATTACAGGTTAGGAAGAAAGAATAGTTTTCAAGTTAAAAATAAACAAGAAACTTTTACTGGGGCCTGGGGAAAGAGTCTGTGTTTCATAAATTGCATTAAATATTTGGTATGTAAAATTCCGGCTGCTGTTCTGCATTAAATGGGCGAAATGCATCCCGTATCTAATTAAGTAACCATATGGAGACAAGTCACATTTACATAAATGAAGGCAGAAAGCCTGGCTCTATTGTATTCTCTTTTAGATTATGTAACTTGGTTTTCCTGCTATGGCTTTCTGCTCTGACTTGCACATTGCCGTGGACCAATACACTCACAGAAAATGAATGGAAGTTAAAGAGCTAATTCTAAGGAGCATTACTCTATTTACATATTGCAGTGAGAAGGACTCTGGAATATTATGAAATCTCCTATGTTTATTAACTACTTGCCTATTAAAGCCAATAGTTTTGGGACCTGGCCAACAGGAAACCCATTGTCTATTAGCCTGCTTTGCAAGATAGCTATGTGCCTGGTGTACAGTGTAACCATTTCACTGAATGTTTATTGAATAAGTGCTTCACAGCATGTATTCTGAATTTTTCACCTAACAGAATTTTACTAATATAGCTACAGGGAGCAAATGATAAAGAAGTGTTATAAGCAACGGTCCATATCACTAGGACTCTGAGATGAAAATGATAATAGCAATCAGAAAATCAAAATATAAATGTTAGGATAATAAGTTTGGGGATGGAAATCATAGGGATGATAATTGTAATTCTTTCCTTTTTATGCTTTTGTTTGTCCACCCAGTGATGATGCTGAAGGTTGTGGTCATGGTGCCACATGATATGTATGTAACATTTAACCATTTACTCTATTTTTACATATATTTTAACATCACAAAACACCAACAGATTTTAGTCATCCATTTTTGTGTATGAGAAAAATGGAACATCAGGGTTAAGTTATTCACCCAAGGTCACAGAGTTAACACAGACCTTGTCAGGTTATTTGATTCTCATGTAAAGTTCTTTAGTTTTAGCAGATTTAGTCTTTGCTTTTTGGTATGGTCCCTGTTTACACTTTGAAACAAATACCAGTATAGTGAAAAGAAAAGCATACTTTGGAGACAGAAAAAGCATACTTTGGAGACAGAAAAGGAGAAAAAAAGTGATATGTATTTCAAAGTAATGTCCTCTCAAGAAAAAAGTATACAAATAATTTAGAACGTCTCAAAATCTCTTGATGCTCAAATTCACTTAAACAATAATCCAATGGATCAGGATTTTATGAATCCCAATTTTGGATGACTGTGGGCCCCGGTGTGCCCAATTGCATTACAAATACAACACATCAAATGATAAAATATTGGCAGTTTATTATGCTTAACCCTATTAGAATGGCAGTGCCTTTCGCCCAGTTGTTTTTCTTGCTAATGTTCACCACGTCCTTATATTTTAATTGGAATTTTAGTTGTTAAATATTCCTGCTTTAAAAGAAACATTTATTTCTAAATGAAACACAGAAAAATTCTTATTATTTTATTCTCAATTATTCTTTGACTTCTTTATTTCTGACTTTGGTGAGGATGTCTAGTCAGTTAAATATAGTTGGTAGAACACTAGTTCTCTCAAAAATATTTATTTTCTCAGGGCCTTCTCTGGGAGGGGTTCCTAACACACCCATCCTGATCTGGAATCGCAGTCCAGCTCACAGGTTAACCAAATGATCTTTAAGGTAAATGTCATTCTTATTGTAAGTGAAGAAGTGACTCACAGATAATGTGTGTTTTTATACCATCTTTTGGTTTTATGAACTACACACTATTACCCTGCGACAGGCACTCACTAAATTAGAGTATCAGACTTATAAGAATCCATTCCTCTGAAACAAAATGGAATTCTGAGGTGGCTGGAGTCAGAGACCTGCATTCAAGTTCTGAGCCCACCACTTACTGTCAGTGCAGCCTTAGGCAAGGCAGATAATTAAAGCATCTCCTCAGATGCACAGTGACACCCACCTTGGAGAGTTTCTGTGTCTCTTAAATGACCGAATCCGTGTAGAAGGCTTATTACCACAATCTGTAGCTACTTGGTAAACGGCAGCTCTTATTTTGACTTTCTGCTAACGGAGTTTCCACATTCCTTAGCCTACCAAGGCTCTTTCCTGAACAGCTGATGGCATTAGGATTTAATTAAGTGAAGCTTGGAGTGCTGGCTTTGTGTAAGAAGGAAGATGCAGCTGTATCAGTGAGGAACGTTTTCTGCCACAAATAACAGAAAATCTATCAGTAGCGTTAAATAAGTAGGGATTGTTTAAAAAAAAAAGCTGTAATATGTTATCTGGGGGTGGATGATCCTGGTGTTAGTTAAAGCTCTCAGTGATGTCTGTGCTGGGACTTCCGGGTTCCTGTTGGACTTTTCCTCCCAAACTTCACCAGGTAAGGCAGGAACAAACAGGAAAAAGGACAGTACCAACCACACCTATTCTTTCGTTTTCGTTTTTTTTTTTTTTTTTTTTTTTTTGAGACAGAGTCTCAGTCTTTCACTCAGGCTGGAGTGCAATAGTGTGATCACGGCTCACGGCAACCTCTGCCTTCCGGGTACAAGTGATTTTCCAGCCTCAGCCTCCTGAGTAGCTGGGATTACAGGCATGTGCCACCACACCTGGCTAATTTTTGTATTTTTAGTAGAGACGGGGTTTCACCATGTTGGCCAGGCTAGTCTCAAACTCCTGACCTCAGGTGATCTGCCCACCTCTGCCTCCCAGAGTGCTGGGATTACAGGCATGAGCCACAGCACCTGGTCACACCTATTCTTTATATCAGGCAGATACAAGCTTTCACAGAAGCTTCTGTTTACGACTCATGTGCTAAACCAGTGTCACCTGACCATGCTGAACTGCAAGAAGGTCATCAGAGTCTGTGATTTTTCCAGCCTCTGCTGTGAATGTGGTGTGGAAGGAGGCAGATGGCTGGATCAGTCACCAGCCATTTGTCCTACCAGAATTTAAAACTTTTCTTTGAGTTGTAAAGTGGAGTTGTGGCATATGTGTTGAGATTATGAATAAATTTATCTTGAAGGAAAAAAAGCATTCATGCAGTCTTGCATAAAACTATTTATTAAAGTAAATGACCTCCTCCCACCCTGTCCCAAAGAATAGAATCTGTCAGCAATTTATAAGCCCCTTAAAAGTTTCCACTTCAGTTCCTGTTCCTCTTTCTTCCCTATCCTTCCCTTTTACTGAAAGAATTGACAGTTTCCTGAAGAATTCAGTTCAAAACTACTAGGCAGGGCTGAGCATGGTTGGCAAGTATGGGTTGGAGAGGGGGAGAGAGGTGAGTCATTGCCCTGTGGGATGAGGAAGGGGTGTCCTCCTGGAGAGGCAGCCTGCTGAGGGGATTAAGCCCTTTTGCTGGAGGGCAGCCACCTACTGGGCAGGGCTTTGCTGCACCAGGAATGAGAGCCTGACCCAGTGTGGAACTTGGAGTGTGGGAAGGCAGGGCGGGCTACAGGGATAGGCAGTCACTACTCCCAGCACTTCGCTATACAAAGCCAAAAAAAAAAAAGATTCTTATTTTCACCTACCTCATTTTTTAGACGGATGCAAATAAACAGTGATATGTATACAAATATATACCTACAATCCCTCACCTTCCCACTGCCACTCTAGTAAATCATTTTCCTTCTTTTCTTATTTTCATGGATCCCAACAATTTTTGTATTTATGTAATAATAAAAATGTAATATTACATTCCACCCTTTTTCTCATCCTCTGAACGTTAACTGATTCTTTTTTCTTTATTTATTTTTGAAATAGGGTCTGTCTCTCTCTGTCACCCAGGCTGGAGTGCCAGTGGTGTGATCTTGACTCACTGCAGCCTCTACCCCCTGAGCTCAAGCGAGCCTCCCACTTCAGCCTCCCAAGTAGCTGGGACTACACGCATGCATCCAGCTAATTTTTTTATTTTTAAATTTTTTTGCAGAGAAGAGGGTCTCACTGTGTTGTCCAAGCTGTTCTCAAACTCCTGGGCTCAAGTGATCCTCTCGCCTTTGCCTCCCAAAGTGCTGGAATTACAGACATGAGTTGTGCCTGGCCTAAGATTGACTGATCCTTAAGGGGGATCCTCGGGTAGCTAGGACAGTTACCCTCAGGCTTGTCCATTCCACTCTCCTGCTTTCTTTCAGATGCAGGCTGAACGTGCTGCTTATCTAAAGGACATTTATTAAAATGGGAGGAGGGGAACTTAATTGCTTTTAGATCTCTCTGTATTTTGTGAGTTGAATGGTTAAAACTTGATCTATTACATGATCTAGTCCCTTTATTTATCTGGCATTTGTGCCAGATACATAGACGTATTCATGCGTTGTTACTAGTAAAGGAAAAGTGCATCATTCAGATTGCATGTCTGTACGTGTCTGCTAAGCTTACCACTATAGCTTTGGGTATGTATTGTTTATCAAGTGGTCCTTTTATGAATTGAACAATGAATTAGACAGAACTAAAGCCCCTAATAGGAGTGTAAGCAGTTGATGCTCATATAAAATCTTTTAATACTTTTGTCATTTCCTCTAACATATGGATTTACAAAATCCTGCGGGGACTTGGTATTTGTTGAAGATAGAAATTGGTATAAGCATTCAGTAACAAAACAAATTAATATGTGATTTATTTTATGAAATCCATTTTAAATATAATTAAAATATTTTTAAAAAACCACATCTGAGATTCCACCCCGAAACCCCTCTTACTCCCTGTGACATATACACATTTTATTTTCTGACTTTATTGTATTTTTGACATAAACTGTTTGCCCTTACTTTTTAGAATATTTGCTTTACAATTTTTTGATGCTGACAATTACTTGAATGTGAGTTAGCTTTTCCATTACAAATACATTTCAAGGCTTATAGTCTCTTAAACTCTGTGTTATGTGAGGCTGTTTTTTCTCCCCTTAAGCTGATGTATTTAATGGGAAAAAAAATCTTATTTGGAAGAATCAAGTTACATTTAAGTTTAATTTGTTCCAGTGGCAAACTATGCATGTGTGTTTCCAGTTGTTAGGAGCCATTTACTAACTTGGTGTCTTTTATTTTCTTCCTTATACAAAATACCTCTTGAAGTCTGAGCCTTTGTACCTCTTTTTACTTTTAAGAATTCCTCCTGTAGTTCCTCAACAGAACATTACTCTTTTTTTTTTTTTTTTTTTTAATTGAGACAGAGTCTCACTATGTTGCCCAGGCTGGAGGCTGGAGTGCAGTAGCATGACCTTGGCTCACTGCAACCTCTGCCTTCCAGGTTCAAGCAATTCTCCTGCCTCAGCCTCTCAAGTCGCTGAGATTACAGGCACGTGCCACCATGCCTGGATACTATTTTTATTTTTAGTAGAGACAGGGATTTGCCATGTTGGCCAGGCTGCTCTCAAATTCCTGACCTCAAGTGATCTGCCTGCCTAGCCCTCTCAAAGTGTTGGGATTACAGGCGTAAGCCACCGCGGCCAGTCAGAACAATCCTCCTGTTTTTAATGAATTGGGTTTACCATTGACAATGCTTCCTGATTTCGGTTGTTGACTTAAGCATGAATAGTAAGAGGCTCTGGTCACAACTGCATCAATGACATGCAGAAAGCAGGTCAGGTCACAAGATGCAGCCCTTTCCCAGACTCTCTTCGGAGAGTTGGATCTGATGGGTGAGTGCATTAGTCAGGGTTCTCTAGAGGGACAGAACTAATAGATGTATATATAAAGGGGAGTTTCTTAATGAGTATTGACTCACGATCACAAGGTGAGGTCCCACAATAGGCCGTCTGCAAGCTGAGGAGCAAGGAAGCCAGTTCAAGTCCCAAAATTGAAGAACTTTGAGTCTGATGTTCAAGGGCAGAAAGCATCCAGCACGGGAGAACAATGTAGGCCAGAAGTCTCAACCAGTCTAGTCTTTCCACATTCTTCTACTGCTTTTATTCTGGCCATGCTGGCAGCTGATTAGATGGTACCCACCTGGATTGAGGGTGGGTCTGCCTTTCCCAGCCCACTGACTCAAATGTTAATTTGACATTTGACAACACCCTCACAGACTCACCCAGGAACAATACTTTGCATCCTTCCATCCAATCAAGTTGACACTCCATATTAACCATCACAGTGAGATTGTTCTTCCAGTGGTTCACTAGGTAGTTTTCCTCCATCCTAAAGACTGGTTTGGTCTCAATGGGAACAACCATTTCTAGGGCAGTTAATCTTGCTATTGAAATGTTTGCTTTCTTTGGTCTTACAGTAGAATGGCCTTTCGAGGGTACAAGATGCCACTCCTCCTTGTCCTCTCCACTGTGCTCAGCAATCACACCCTCCTGCCTTTGATTTTGTGGCAGTTTCCTGGGACTTAAGTCTTTGCTCACTGTATGAAGAAACAGGGAAGTACAGTTTTCCCTCCTGCACTTCCCTTTTTATATTGCTTCCTCCATTTCCTAAGGTTAGGGGAGAATCCAGTTTATTCCTTTCATTTGATCAAATGTAATTATAACTACTGGCTATAAGCTCAGAGCTATTAGCGATTTGTGTTCATTCTCACCAGCGGAAGGTTGCTGGGGGCAGAGGGTGGGCCAAAGGCAAGCAAAATGGAATCATGTTCCCTTTGAAGGGGCAGTGAGCTGGTGAGTTATCCAAGATCCAAGACGATTGCCAGACAATCTCCACCATTTCATAGGTAAAGAAAGCAGACCATTTGGAATCTTTTGACCATATTTTATGGCTGAGTATCCTCTGTTATCATCCCTGTCATTCACATACATGTGTGGGAGAACAACATCTATTCTCACCATTTTTCAAAATTTTGAAGCAGCTTGGGGTTGTCATTAGCCCTTTAAGGTAACCATTCACCAGAGCCTCTCACCTCACAGATGTGTATCTCAGTTGTTTCTGCAAAGACGCTCGGATTCAAAACAGAAATTTGAGGCGTGTCCTATTCATTCTTATGTTTCATCCAATAACACTGAAGCCATGGCTAGCTGGAGGCACCATATCCTCCTAGTTCAGCTTCTAGAAGATAATTCATCTACACCAGTTCTACAAGCATGCTTTATTAATAAAGCGAATATTTCTCCAGCACAGAATCTTAGAGCTGGTGCAGGTTTGCCATTGTGTCCTGGTGTATGTGCTATCAATGTAGGCTGTGTTCTGATGTCTTTTTTGATTTCACAGGAACTGACAATGGCGAAGCCCTTCCCGAATCCATCCCATCAGCTCCTGGGACACTGCCTCATTTCATAGAGGAGCCAGATGATGCTTATATTATCAAGAGCAACCCTATTGCACTCAGGTGCAAAGCGAGGCCAGCCATGCAGATATTCTTCAAATGCAACGGCGAGTGGGTCCATCAGAACGAGCACGTCTCTGAAGAGACTCTGGACGAGAGCTCAGGTAGGAGCGTGCAGCAGTCAGAAGCAGCTGTGGTGACTCTTTAGGTTCTCCTGTGGTTATATCTCTGGGAAAGACTGGAAATCACCCCCCATTGCCTTGTGTGAATGAGGTCATAGTTACATCACTCCCAGCATATAAGATGCAATCCTTTTCTTCAAATGACCCTACAGCTGCCTTGGTAGTCCCTTCCGATATGATGCAGAGGCATTTTTTTCTTGCTGTAGATAACTTTAAACACCAAATTTTGTATGAAAATTAATATTATCACTGGAAATAAACCAGGGAGTCACTGTTTTTGTTTGCAGAATTCTGAATATTTTTGAGGACAAATATTAAATCTTGCATCAAACCCCTTGTTAAGCAGCATGATTTGAGTTTCTTTAATCTTTCCTAGATTTTATTCTTTGCACTTTATTCTCCACATTTGGTGGTTTCTGAGTCCTTTTTTTTTTTTTTTTTTGACTATGGTGTAATGGCAGATCCCAAATTAGATTACCATATCCTAGCAGGATCTCCAGTATGAAAGAATTGTGGGACCATCTTTACATTATTAGTAAATTATTGGCAAATTTGGCTGATAAGTGGTGATGATGGAAATTATGATTATACTAGCTAATGCATATTGACCACTCACTATATATCAGGCTTTAAGCATTTGACAGACATTATGTATCTTGCTCAGTTTTTTCAACAGTCCCCTGCAGTAGATAATGCTATTATTACCTTCTCGTAGACAAGGAAACTAAGGCTCAAAGAGATTAAGTAAAGTGCTTGCCCTGGATGTCAAAGTGAGATAATTTGACTCAAAGCCTTCAAAATGTATATCCTTTTATATTTTAATGTTGACAGAAACAATCTATGCTTTTGAACTTTGCTTTCTCAGACAAGATCCAATCTGGTCACACGTTAGATTGTTGATTTTTTTAGATGGTCAACTGCTTGACTTGGTCAACTCACTAGATATCCGATTTTTGAATAAGTCAAAAAACATCAGTATAACTCTGAAGTTTCAAATCAGCCTAATTTATTAACTATATAGCAACGATATTCTATATAACAAGGTAGGCCTTTCAGAGTATTCAGAGATAGGTAAGAAAATAGCCCATAGGGGTGAACTTTACACATAATGACAGAGATAAGACAAATATGCCCATGAATGCTATGCAGATGAAGTTAGGATAAATATCTGAAAAGAAGAATATGATTATACAGAAGATTTGTTTCTTAAATCACATCTAACTAGGACTATCAGTAAAGGTATTGTAGACTTGATAGCGGTTGAAAGGAACATTGATGAATATGTAAGTCAGATGGGCATAATTGATGCTACACCATATGGAGGAGAGAGGAGTTTTAGTGGCCTGAAGGTCACAAACATTAGTAAATGAAGAAAGCTTGGTATACGTTCAGCAAAACGTTTGGTTTTGTTGAAATATAAAATTTATGTACAAGAATAGCAGCCAGTGGCTAGAAAACTCAGTTTAATCAATGGCATGAAAGGCCTCAAATAAGAGTGTGGAGCCCTTTACTTAGTTTTATGGGTATTTTGGTTCTGGTGATCGATCATATTGATGTACGGGTATGCAGTGGCTGGAGCTCTGCTTTAAAAAATGAATCTGGAAGAAATGTTGGTAAGCAGAAACCAGAACAAGGGAGCTAAGAGACATGGATAATTCAGGTGAGAGAAGGTAAGAACTGGTTCAAGAGTCGGGAGGCTACAGAAATAACAACCAGAATATAAGTAATTGCATTAACAAGGATAAAAATGTGAGATCATAGTTTTGATAAGCTAAATTTGAGGTGCTTATGGTATATAATGAAGAGATGTAGATTTGGAACTTGATATAATTAGTAGGTAGAAGAGTAGATTTGAGAATCATTAGGAAAGAACGAAGCCATGTGGGTGGAAGAGTTGTTAGAGAGGAAGGGTCAACTAGGTCTACTTGAAAAGGAAGTAGACCTAGAGATATACCTCTTCAGAAGACAGGGATAGGAGTATCAGCCTCCAGCAAAGAAGTAACCAGGGGAGCCGGGTGCGGTGGCTCACGCCTGTAATCCCAGCACTTTGGGAGGCCGAGGTGGGTGGATCACAAGGTCAGGGGTTTGAGCCCAGCCTGGCCAATATGGTGAAACCCTGTCTCTAATAAAAATACAAAAATTAGCCAGGGTTGGTGACGGGTGCCTGTAGTCCCAGCTACCCAGGAGGCTGAGGCAGGAGAATTGCTTGAACCCAGGAGGTGGAGGTTGCAGTGAGCCAAGATCATGCCACTGCACTCCAGCTGGGTGACAGAGCAAGACTCCGTCTAAAAAAAAAAAGAAAAAAAGGAAAAGGAAAAGAAAAAAGAAGTTACCAGGGGATGCTGTGTTCCAAAGCAAAAGGAAAAAGTTGTCTCAAAAAGATATGTAGGTAAAACTCTATCAATAAAGAGAAGGGCGAAGGACTAAACATCTTATTTACATGTAAAGAAAGACTGCTAATCATTACACAGTTCTGAACTACTGTAGGATTGCAGTATAAATTCAAAACTCCAAAAAGGAGAGAAACACCTAAAACTCTATAATAATTCCCTATTCATTTCAAATTGGAATTAGTAGGAGGAAGAGAAAAAAACAAAAGTGCCCCTTTTAGAGATGTTCTTCAGACCAAAGCATGCGTAGAATCCTAGAATCTAAATGTAAGAACTGGGAGAGAGAGAGAGCTTAGTGATAATCTAACAGCCCTATTTTATACATTAAAATGTTAAGATTTAAGAGATACAATGAGTTTGTGGCATAGCTGTTTCAAGGACCCAGATCTCCCGATTTCTCCTTCAGATGAATTTCTTCAACACCATGAGTCACCTTTGCCTATAGATTTCTATACTTTTCTCCCAAATCAAAATATTGACAAGTTTTCTTGCTGACATAAGGATGGATTGAAGTACATGGCTCATCATTTTCCATTATGAATCTATTTAGGGTTTCAGTCACCCATGTGTATCATCCTATACATATAACATTTTAGAATTTATTTATTCCTGACCATTTCTTCCATCTTCGTAAAAGCCAATCCTTTAATCTGGGCATGTTTCTGGCACTGTTAGACAAAAGTTTATAGCAAGCAATGGTAGACATTTCCAGGAATGTTGATATAGTTTTGATTTTGAAGGAAGGATTTGGCATTTCGATGGGGAAAGTAGAGAACAAATTGAATCTTGGTTTCAGGAACGTCTCTGATCTTGTGCTCCCAAGGCTGGGACCCAGGAGAGACCTAGATGGAGAGGCCTGGTGCTGGGAGAGATTGAGTCAGAGACAACAGCAGTCTCACTTACGTTGACATTAAAAATTCAAAGGAAGACAGTGGAATTTGGGAGAGGGCAACCAAGGGAATGACATCTACCATATAAGCAAAAGGCTACAAAACAATGGCAGAATATGACAGGCTTGTGTCTTTTGCTCAATTAGTACAACTAAAAAGGACTCAAATACCAGTGGCTCACTGGGGCTGTATGTTTTTTATCATCAGATGTCTCTGTCCTAGATTTTGCCCACCAATGACCTCAAAATAGCCGAATCCCATTGGGTAAACTCTTCCAAATGAAAGATAGAAAGAATATTGTAAAATGATCAGCCATTTCTGTTACCACTGCTAGAAAAATCTTATATCCCTTCTCATATAAAGACCTCTTGAAGTATTGCAAGCCAATTCAACAGTGCACCCTCTTCTAATTTCACTACATTCTGTTTTGTTATTGCTTCCCCCTTTTAATTCCCCTAGCATTGCTAGGCAACTCCATGTCATGTGGATAGCGTTTTTTATTACATTCTCTACCTCCATGTAGAAATCTCCTCCTCTCTACTTCCTTAAAAAAAAAAAAGAAAGCCAATAAAAGACATATTTCAAAGAAACTGAGCAAAACAAAAAATTCATAAATGACCAAATCTGAGTATATTATATACCGATTTTTAAAAATATGCTGTTGAGAAAGGATTTAAATTTTAGCAGTTACTTTTTTGTAAAGAACTTAATAGCACAACTTTTTCTTCCAAGTCATTTTGATTGAATCAATGTGAAAGAAATGTCTCTCCCTAAACAGTTTTCTTCTGTGTAGTTAATGAAAATCACTATCTGCCGCACACTGCAATTATGTTTCCTAAGCTCTGTATTAATAGTAGAATTGTGGAAACAAGAACAAGATGAGTGGAGATATTATACCCCAAAACAATACCTAAATGCAATTTAGGGTGGAAACAAAATGGCCTCAGGTATTGAAAAATAGATGCATTACCTCCCTTGGGTTCTCCAAGGCAGAGCTGGGAAACAGGACTTGACTACCTTTACAGACTTAATGGCTTTTGACTGGATTCGTAAAATAATTCCTGCCAGTCTAATAGGAGTGAATGACACTGAGAAGCCAAGGACGGTGGGACCACATTTGACCAGAGAGACTGAGAAAACTGTCCCTGGTTTTTTAAGTCCTGTCGAAAGTAACTCCTTATGTCTCTTTGGACAACATATTCTCCATTTCTGAAATTCTAGAGAAATTTGATAATTCTTTTTACTTATAGGCATTCTGTCCTCACAGAACTAATGGGAAATGCATAGGACCTGGGAGTGTTTGGAGTAGACACAGAATCTTTCGTGTTCCTAAATTGGAAGCAATAAGTCCTTTCAGTTGTTAAAGGCTGCAAACTGCCTTTGGTCTTTCTGGTAATTTGGCCCTGTCATCTAACAGTTCAAATAAGAAAAGAGATTGTGTGTTTTCATGCAGTTTAGCTTGGAAAACCCAGAGCTAGAGTTCTTTCCTGCAAAAAGTACAATTTATTTGACATGAGTTACTGTGTTTGCACAGACAAGGCTATACCTCTTAGTAATGTACACTTGCAGTTCTCTGCACTAGCCAAGGGATCCTCTTTCATTTGTTCTGCCTCATTTCATTTGGAAATATGGGAACTCGTCTTCCTTGTGTTGTTCTTCTGTTAACATCTGGAAGCTCAGAGTTGAGAAGTAATCTCAACCCAGGAATCATACCCCTGTGAAAAGAATGGTGTATGCAGTAACGTAGAAATTAGGAGCTTTACTCTAACAGGCAGACACACATATGTCATACACACAATAGTAAACAACCACAAACCAAACATATCTTGGCAATCAAGATTATGTGGCCTGTGGGGAGCTGGAGTTATCAATAAGCTAAACCACTTCTTTATTGTTCAATAAAAATAGGAATTCTCTTAACAACACGCCGTGGCTCTTATCTTATTCCACCTCAGAGATATCGAATTCTAATGAGTGAAATAATGTGTATTCCAATGTGTTATGAGAAAGTCTCAACTCTAGTAAACTAATATTTTTCTTTTTAAAGAATTTCATTTCAGGGACCTCATTGTGTGTGATTTCCTTTTTAAACAACTGGAGTCACTCTCTGGGGATAAAAGGTTAATGGATTGTGTCAAGAAAAGGGAGAAGAATAGAAATAAAAATGTATTAAATCTTAAAAGTTTATATCTTAGAATGTTGCTCTGCTGGTAATGGGGATTTGAATATAGTATCTTCCAGAAAACCATTAATTTGAAAGTATCTTCAATGATTCACAAATCACTAAAGTACATTTGGGAAGCATATATTTTAGGCCACATAGCACAGAAATAATCTCTAAAGTGTTTTATTGACAGTTTGTGGGTTTCAAACTCACTTTTATGGAAGCCTTCTCCCTCCCCACCTTAGATTTCATCTTGTTCATCACTCTACTTCTCAGAGAAGACTGACATATTCTTAAAAGGTTTTCAGGAAAATGTTATGAATTCCCTACATAAACTGGTAGAGTATGAAGGCCTTGTTTCCTATAGCCAATTTAGCTTTTCCTACAAAAGGGAAATAAGAAGATTATTTACTCTCATCCATCCTTAGCAGTGACAGAAATCAGCTAATCACTTTATATAATTTAATAATGTCTGATATCGACCATACATCTGTCTCAAAGCCTAAATCCTTGACCAGTCTCTTTAGTTCACACATTAAGAAGTGTGTACATTGATTTAAAATACAAATTATAGGCAGGGCACGGTTGCTCATGCCTGTAATCCCAGCACTTTGGGAGGCCAAGGCAGGCAGATCACAAGGTCAAGAGATCAAGACCAGCCTGGCCAACATGGTGAAACCCTGTCTCTACTAAAAATACAAAAATTAGCTGGCCGTGGTGGCGCACACCTGTAGTCCCAGCTACTCGGGAGGCTGAGGCAGGAGAATCACTTGAACCCGAAAGGTAGAGGTTGCAGTGAGCTGAGATCGCACCACTGTACTCCAGCCTGCCAACAGAGCAAGACTCCACCTCAAAAAAATACAAAAAAAAAAAGAATAATTATAAAGATCTATAAAAAAACAGCACACACACACACACACACACACACACACACACACACACACACACACACAGAAAAAGAAACCTGAGGTTAGCCTAATGGTTAAGAACATGGGTTTTGGTGTAGAGGAAGCAATGTTTGAAATCAGGCTCTCCATTTACATACTTTTTCAGGTGGATGTGGAATTGAGCTTCCTTTCTCCTTGGTTCCTCCGTGTGTAAAATGGCAGTGATAATTGCATCCACAATCACATAGCACCTAATACATGTGACATGCTTAGCCCAGGGGCTAGTGTACAGCAATTGCTCAGTCAAGACTATCCCTCAAAATGATGAATATAAAATAGCTATTTTATTCTTCTTTTTGAATGAGACAAGTGTATGGTGAATATGATTCAAAAAACAAATATATAATCATAGAATTTTGCATTCCGAGAACATAACAGGGCTAATATTGGCAGGTAAATATTTGCCCTTTCTAGAGTATCATTGCCTTACTTGCATGCGATTCAGTCATTCAGGTCGCATTGTGTGTCTATGTTACCCTCAGAGTCCATGGCAGTGTTACAGAAAAGGGGTCCTGATCCAGACCCCAAGAGAGGGTTCTTGGATCTTGCTCAAGAAAGAATTCAGGGAAAGTCCACAGTGCAAAGTAAAAGCAAGTTTATTAAGAAAGTAAAGTGCTGAAAGTACAGCTACTCCATAGACAGAATAGGATGTTCCTGAAAGTAAGAGGAGGAACACATCCACTGTAGGTACAATGCTTGTATATGTGGGGAGATGTGCTCTGCTACAAGGGTTTGTGATAAAGGATTAATTTTCTTAATTACTATATTTTGCAAGAGTTGATATTATCTTTAAAGCAAAATTAGGAATGCCTTTGTTCTCCAGATATCAGGATATCTGGAGACTCCCAAGTCTGGGTTTGTTTAGTAAACATTATTAATTTGTTCCCCTAACCACCAACATCTAGAGACTAGGAATGCATATCTTTGTGGGAACACAGCCCTGCAAGTTCCAGCCTCATTTTCCTAGCCCTCACTCAAAATGGAGTTGCTCTGGTTTGAACACCTTTGATAGTAGCACTGTAGGTGATACAAGTGGTACAATATATGTCCTGACCTCAGGCCATAAGCTACTAGCAGGAGATGATTTCAGTGACTGCAGGAATGGAAAGTCATTGATTGAAGCAACAGGATTGGAAATCATGACCATGTTGCCCACCATGTTGTGAGTGTGATACGGGAGTAAGTCATTCATGGGATGCGTTTTCTAAACAACCTTTCCATGTCCACTTCCGCCTCTTCACTTTCTCTTCTTGCTATTGTCAGACAACACTATGAAGTTAATTTGCTTTCCTTTACCAGACACCTCTGAGCTGATTAATTCTAATCTCTTGTGTGGAAGAAACTGGAGAGCTTGGGTGTATTCTTTGTTTCTGTACTTAAGACTGAACTCGCGGTGCTTCTGAGGAATACGTGGAGTGCTTATTATCCTGGGAAAACAAAAGACTATTCATTAGGCATGGCGCACATGCACATTCAAAGGATAACTATTTTATTTTTGGTCAAGATACATTTTTAACTTGTTGCTAGGATAAAGTGATAAAAGACATTTAGCCCTAATTAATTATCTGCCAGTAAAATGAAACATTGTTCTGCCTTTTCATTTCTGTATTTAATTTACTACTTTCAGTACTATGTTGGCCTGAAGACATCTAAGCTCTCTCAAGATACGGAGGTACGGTTCCATGACATTTCTTCCCTATCTGTCAGTTTTGAAACTTCAAATGCGTGTGAGATACATGTGTCCTTAAAAGAGTCCCCGGAGCTGTGGTCTAGAAGGCAGGCTGTATATTTAATAAGGACACATCTTTCAAGTCATAGGTAGAATGGCACCCAGCCTCTTGTGTGATCTCGTAGCAGCTTGTGCTTCTGGTGTCATGGCTGTTGTCACATTGGGCATTGTTGGAGCATGTTAAAATGTCTCCCCCTCCAGGGCTGGGCACAGTGGCTCACGCATGTAATCCCAGCACTTTGGGAGGCCGAGGCGGGTGGATCACCTGAGATCAGAAGTTCAAGACCAGCCTGGTCAACAAGGTGAAACCCCGTCTCTACCAAATATACAAAAAGTAGCTGGATGTGGTGGTGGGCACCTATAATCCCTTGTGAGGCTGAGGCAGGAGAATCGCTTGAACCTGGGAGGTGGAGGTTGCAGTGAGCCAAGATCGTGCCACTGCACTCCAGCCTGGGCGACAAGAGTGAAACTTCGTCTCAAAAAAAAAAAAAAAAAAAAGTCTCCCCTTCCAACCCAGAAGCTCCTTGAGGGTAGGTATCTTGATGTTTTGCTTGTCGATGTATCCTCAGCACCTAACAGAGTGACAGACACATACAGGGTGCTCAATAATTGTCTTTCCAGCAAAACATGTCATAAAACTTATGACATCTTTGATTTATTGCTTATGGTAGGGGACCTGTGGCAAAATAATAATACTACAAAATAGAAATAATAGTAACACAATGTTAAGATAAAAGACCAAAATGCCTGTGATGGTATTAATAAAAATAAAGGGCCATGCAAATACTATATAACTAATAATGATAATAAAAATGTGTTATTCAAAATATGAGGGAGTATCTCATTGTTGAAGTATAGTTTTCGATGCTCTGATCTTGAAGCAGTAAGAGACAAATGGAAAACATTCCCTTATATAAGTGGAAGACTCACTTTTTCCATCTGAGTAAGAGAGGATACCTCAGCCAAATCCAGGCATCACAGGGGCTGAGAAATCTTGGGAGTTCATGGTTCTTTCAAGAAAACTCTTGAATATAAGAGAATATTGCTTTTCAGGCCGGGCGCAGTGGCTCACGCCTGTAATCCAAGCACTTTGGGAGGCCGAGGTGGGCGGGTCACTTGAGGCCTGGAGTTTCAGACCAGCCTGGCCAACAAGGCAAAACCTCATCTCTACTAAAAACACAAAAATTAGGTGGTCGTGATGGCGCATTCCTGTAATCCCAGCTACTTGGGAGGCTGAGGCACAAGTATTGCTTGAACTGAAAGGTGGAGGTTGCAGTGAGCCGAGATCGCAGCACTGTACTCCAGCTTGGGCAACAGAACAAGACTCTGTCTCCAGGGGAAAAAAAAAAAGTCTGTTGCTTTTCAAGAGAATTTGATTGCTTTGTTTCTCTCCCAGAGAACTGACCAAGGCCCAGCATTACTCATGAAGTTGTACTGGAGTAATTCTTTGGGACTTTGTCTACAAAAAATGGAATACTCATTTTCTCAGCCCCAATCATGAAGCGCTATAATGTGAACAAGGAGGTACAAAGAAAGTGAAACATTGAACTGAAAAGGTCCCGGAAAACAGGCACCAAGACTGGGACGAGATAAACCATTCTACCAAAACCTAGTTAGCTGGTCATTTACTGCTTCTGTATGGTTGGGGATATGAGAAACATCTTAGAGGGGAGGGATTCTCACTTCCTTCTTGAATCTATTGGTTCCGGTTGGTAAGCCAAGCATCCTACTACAGAGAACTTCCAAATGATTGAAGCAGTAAGGCTGAGTGGAGAGGCAAGCATTTGAGAACTGTGTCAAATTCCTCCCCAAGTGCCCATTACCAGGTGTGTTTGAGAACTGGCTGGAAACAGTAACCACAGCAGGATGCTGCTGATGGCTTTGTCAGTGCAATAATGAGTGGTGGATAAAAAGCTCAGGGCCAGGTGTTGGTAGGCACCGGGCTGGGGTTGGCATGGTACTGAATGTTAACTACTATTCCAGAATTCTCTATTTTGTCCAGAACAAGTTAGGATCCTAGACTATGACCATCACCCTTTTATTTAAAGTTGACCAGAAATAAAGCATTTTATTTATTTTCCCTTCTCCATTTCTTCCCTCCTCTTACATTTCTCTTCCTTGCACAGTGAAGCATATACCTTCAATTAGTTTGAAAATCCTCTAACTTTTAGTCTCCCAACAGGATTAGACCTGCTAAGAGTAACTAGTGTTTTCTATCTGATAAATAAGGGGATTATAGCAATAACTGCTGTCAGCATTTTTCTCATTTAAACAAATAAAGCTGACAAATGATGAAGTTCTGTGCTGCTCCATTATGTTTAGTACATGCAGAGCAATTAGTCATCTGCTGCCAACGTTAGTCTATCTACAACTAAACCATCCAACGGCCTAGAAAGCTTATTAGCATATCAGTACCATAGTCATATTTGTATATTCTCTAAGACTCTACTCCATAACAAAGGCTGATGGTTATAATTTGCACAATAATTTAAAGGGTTGGACTTTTCTATGCTTATTAGAGTCATGCCAGTTATCAGGTACAATTCTACTCTTATTTATGATATGCCATTTTTTATTTGCCTGGAACTTCTGCTCCCCTGTAGCATTTTCTATGAACAAGTTAGCTGCCATCTCTGGAGATACTGAAGTAAATAGCCGTTTCTGCAGGAACACTGTTAGATGAAATTCAGTGGAGGAAGAGCAATTTTCTTAAAGCCGCATTCCTTGGATATTTCTCATTTGTGAATATATCACGTATATGTATGCATATATGTGTATACACTCATGTACTATTACATATGTGTATAAGGGTATGTATGTATACATGCATACTGCCTATGTAAATGTGTATTTGTATGTATATCATTTGATCAGTGAGGATTTGAGAAAGAATGTATTTAAAAAATTGTTTGTCTTATTCAACAGTTATTTATTGTTATGGTGGGGGAAAATATAATACAAAGAATTCGTGATTTGCCAAGGCTTCTTTTAGAGGGGATGGTTTGATAAAACTGAAGACCTCATGTTAGAAGAAGGCCTAATCTAGAGAGATAATATACCTTTTGTGGGATGGTAATGTCACTTGTGGCCTTTTAAAGAAGCCTGCCACTCTGATGCCACTGGTTGGGAAAATACTGTGTTTGGGAGCAGTTGTTTTATATGCACTTTGCTCTGCTGATCACATGGGGAGCCTCTGCTGGTAACTGGGCCATCCTAATGTTGAAATCTTGACTTCAGCATTTTCCTCCCAACTGTGGTTAGCCTGAATGAGGGGTTACAAAACCTACTGACAAGAGTGGGGTAAGACAAGATATAATCTTCATAGTAGGGTGCCCTGGTCCCTTGTTTATGCTTTCCAAAGCACAATGTGCAGTTCTCTTTGTCTATGTGACCACCCTTTCTAGTTGGGGCCTTGCTCACCCTGTAGGGACTGCTCTGCCCAGGGCTGGCTAATTTTTAGAGAGATCAAACAACTTGCCTGTGAGTTTGCCTTTCATATGCAAACCAAGCAATCCAGAGGCCACACCCCTAACCACCATTTCTATGGAGCTCTTATACTCCAGATCACTGTTCCCCTGCCCTAACCCCAGGACTAGGTACCAGACAACTCGGGTACCAACAACGCCACAGAGCCCACTGACATTATGCAAGCTAGCCAATCCCAGCATATTGTTTCTTCCCATGCAAACCACAATGGAAAGGCCCTTGGCCACATGTTCCCCTACCAGTTCTGCCTCCTGAAAGACCCCCATGCTTCCCCATCTGGCTCTATGTGGCTTGCTGTGACTCCTGTCTCTCAGGACCTGTGAGTGTCAACTTCTTCCTTCATAAAAGTCACTTCCATATCTAAATCTCTTAAAATACTTTATTGAAAAAAAATCCTGGGTATTCTTAAAATACTATGGTGCCAAGATTAAATCATAGCAAGTTTTGTGTTTTGGATTTGGACATTCACTACTTTATAAACATGATAACCCTGAACCATTTTGAGATAGTGATTGTCTTCATTTCCAAGCTGAAAAAAATCATAGCTTAGATATTCTTATAAGATGAGGAAAGTGAAAAACATGAAAGTGCTTCCCATTAGCTTGAACCTATTCCTTTTTTTTAATTGATACATAATTTACATATTTTGGGGCACTTGTGATATTTTGATACATTCATAAAATGGCTAATAATCAAATAAGGATAATAGAAATATCCAGCACCTCAAACACTTATGTTTATGCTGGGAATATTCAAATTCCTCTTTTCTAGCTATTTTGAAATATGCAATAGATTATCGTTAACTAGTCACTGTACTGAACTGTCAAACACTGGATTTTAGTCCTTCTACTTAACTGTATTTTATTACCCATTCTTCAACCTGTCTTCTCTCCTCATCCCCCTTCTTGGCCTCTGGTAACCACCAGTCTACTCTCTATTTTCATGAGATCCACTTTTTCAGTTCCCACATATGAGTAAGAATGTGTGATATTTGTCTCTGCACTTGGCTTATTGCACTTAACATATGACCTCCAGTTTCATTCATGTTGCTACAAATGACAAGATTTTATTCCTTTGTATGGTTGAATAATATTTCATGATATATACCGCATTTTCTTCATCAATTCCTTTACTGATGGATACTTAGGATGATTCACGGGGTCGCAGATATCTCTTTGATATATTGATTTCCTTTTTAGGAGGATATATATGCCTAGTAGTGGGACTGTTGAATCATATGGAAGATATATTTTTAGTTTTTCAAGGAACCTTTATACTGTCTTCTATAGTGACTATATTAATTTACATCCCCAAAAATGGTGTATGAGGGTTCTCTGTCTCCACATTCTCTCTAGCACCTATCTTTTTTTGTCTTTTTGACACAAAACATTTTAACTGGGGTGAGATGTGGTTTTGATTTGCATTTCCCTGATGATTAGTGATGTTTGGCTATTTTAAAATATATATTTTTGGCCTTTTGATAAATGTCTTTTCAGGTCTTGATCTTTTGCCCATTTTTAAATCTTTTGTTCTGTTTTTTGCTATTGAGTGGTTTGAACTCCTCATATGTTCGGTTATTAATCCCTTGTCAGATAGATAGTTTGCAAATATTTTCTCATTTTCAGTGGGTTGTCTTTTAGTTATTTCCTTTGCTGTTCAGAAGCTTTTTAGCTTGATGTAATCCTATTTGTCTATTTTTACATTGGTTACCAGTGTTTTTAAGGACTTATTAAATAAATTTTTGCCTCAACCAGTGTCCTGGAGAGTTTCTTCAATGTTTTCTTTGAGTGATTTCATAGTTTCATATATTAGATTTGTTTTTATTTTGATCTGACTTTTGTATATGGTGACAGATAAGGGTCTAATTTCATTTTTCTGTATATGGATATCCAGTTTTCCCGGAACCATTTATTGAAGATACTATCCTTTCGTCAGAGTTCTTGGTGCCATTCAGAGTTTTTTATGGGTCCGTACAAATTTTAGGATAGCTTTTTCTATGTTTGAGAAAGAAGTCATTGGTATTTTAATAGGGAGTGTCTTGAATCTGTACATTGCTTTGTGTAGTATTGACATTTTAATAACATTAATTCTTGCAATCCATGAACATGGAATATCTTTACTTTTGTGTATGTCCTCTTCGATTTCTTTCACCAGAGTTTTATCATTTTCTTTGTGGAGATCTTCTATGTCTTTGGTTAAGTTCATTCCCAGGTATTTTTTGTGGGGGGTGGGGGGGTGGGGAGAGCTATTATAAATGAAATTGCTTTCTTGATTTCTTTTTCAGATTATTCATCACTAACATATTTAATTGCTACTGATATTTGTACATTGATTTTGTATTCTGCAACTCTATAGAATTTGGTTGTCAGTTCCAATGTTTCTTGGTGGACTCTACATTTTTCTAAATATAAGATCAAGTCATCTACAAACAAGGCTAATTTGACTTTTTCCTCTCCAAATGGATGCCTTTTATTTGTTTCTCTTGCCTGATTGCTCTGGCTAGGACTTCCAGTACTATGTTGAATGAAAATATAAAAGTGGACATCCTTGTTGTGTTTCAGATTAAGGGGAAAGGCTTTCAGTGTTTCTTTGTTCAGTAGGTTGTTAGCTGTAGGTTTGTCATATATGGCCTTTAATGTTTGAGGTATGTTCTTTCTATGTATAATTTTTCGAGGTTTTTATTATGAAGGGATGTTGAAATTTGTCAAATGCTTTTTCAGCATCTATTTAAATGATCATTTTTTCTTATTTTTGGTTCTGTTAATATGATGTGTCATGTTTATTGATTTGCATATGTTGAAGTGTCCTCACCTCTCTGAGATCAATCCTCCTTGATTATGGTTAATGATCCTTTAATGTGTTACTGAATTTGGTTTGCTAGTATTTCATTGAGGATCTGTGTTCATCAACTATATTGACATGTAGTTTTGTTGTTATTATTGTGTCTTTGTCTGATTTTGGTATCAGGGTAATGCTGCTCTCAAGTAATGAGTTTGGAAGTATTCTCTCCTCTTCAATTTTTTTTTTAATTTTTTGAGACTTGTTTTGTGGCCTACCCTATGGTCCATTCTGGAGAATATGTTATGTGCTGAAGAGATGAAAGTGTCTTCTTGTAGCAGCTGGGTAAAATGCTTAAACACATTTCTTACCTTAAAGGTTATTGAATGCTTCTTTGGTGAGACTCCACTTCTCAAAGTGTGGGTGTATTCTGCTTTAATAGGTCTCCCTGTTCTGCAATATAGGAGCTCTGGAATATTGAAGTCGCTTTACCTCCTCCTACCTGTATGCATTGATGGATGTTCTCTCTCCCACCTTTTACTCTTTAAAGGAGCTCATCGACCGTTTGCCCAGAGAGGAAAACATAAAGCAAGCCCTGTTCTCCAGAGCCTAGTGCCTCCATTTTACCTGCTCCACTTTACTTTCTAATATGCATGCTCCACTCCAGCTTGCTTTCTGTCCTAACAAACAAATAAATTAATGGCATTAGAGGTACGAGTGGTTTTTGGTTACACGGATGAATTGTATACTAGTGAAGTCTGGGCTTTTAATGTACCTGTCACCTAAATAGTGTACATTGTACCCCATAAGTAGTTTTATATCCCTCATCCTATCCAATCCTCCCCACTTCTGAGAATCCAGTGTCCATTATACCATCCTGTATGCCCCTGCATACCCATGGCTTGGCTCCCAATTATATGTGAAAACATGCAGTATTTGGTTTCCCATTCCTGAGCTACTTCATTTAGGAAAATGGTCTCCAGTTCCATCCAAGTTACTGCAAAATACATGATTTCATTGTTTTTTTGTGGCTGAGTGGCGCTCCATGATATGATACATTTTCTTTGTCCATTTATTTGTTGACGGGCCCTTAGCTTGATTCCCTATCTTTGCAATTATGAATTGTAGTACAATAAACATACAAATTCAGGTATCTTCTTGATATAATGACTTCGTTTTCTTTGGGTAGATACCCAGTAGTGGGATTACTGGATCAAGTGGTAGATCTACTTTAGTCTTTTGAGAAATCTCCATACTGTTTTCAACAGAGGTTTTACTGATTTACGCTTACAATAGTGTGTAACTATTCCCTTTTCACCACATCCATGCCAACATCTATTATTTTTTGACTTTTTAATAATGGTCATTTTGATTGGGGTAAGGTGGTAGCTTATGGTGGTTTTAATTTGCATTTCCTTATAATTAGTAATGTTGAGCATTTTTTTCTATCTTTGTTGGATACTTACATATCTTCTTTTGAAAACAATCTGTGTTGTTCGTCTACTTTTTGGTGGGATTATTTGTCTTTTCTTGCTGACTTGCTTGAGTCCCTTGTAGATTCTGGATATTATTTCTTTGTGAGATGTATAGTTTGCAAATATTTTCTCCTATTCTGTAGGTTGGCTATTTACTCTGTTATTTCTTTTGCTGTGGAAAAGCTTTTAAGTTTAAGTCTCATTTATTTTTGTTTTTATTGCATTTGCTTTTGGTTCTTAGTCATAAATTCTTTGCCTAGGCCAATGTCTACAATAATTTTTCTAGGTTTTCTTCTAAAATTTTTACAGCTTATGGTCCTACATTCAAGTCTTTAATCCAATTTGAGTTAATTGTTGTATATGGTGAGAGGGATCCAGTTTCATTCTTCTGCATTTGGTGATCCAGTTTACCCAGCACCATTTATTGAATTAGGGTGTCCTTTCCCCAGTATATGTTTTTGTCTGCTTCTAAGAAACTTTTTAAAAACCTTCCTTTATTTCCACTTTCTGTGACATTCTTCCCTCTTGCCTTTGCCTGCCAACTCTGCCTTCTCCTGGCCTTTGTCTGCCCATTCATATTTCTTCTTTCATTAAAGTGTAAACAAAGAAAAAACAAAGCAGCAGGAACAACATCATCATCATCTGTAAGGCTTCTTTTCTCCTATTTGATTTAGGAGTTGGCTTTCTGGACTCATAGTCTCTGACAGGGAAAACACAGTGCTTTTGTGCTTTCACAAACAGGGGAAATGTGAGTTACCAACTGTCATCAAGATGATTTTCTGTTACGTGGGTTCCTCCTACAAATTTAGAAAGTATACCTCAAACTGCACATGGTGACTTATGTGGCCATGACCATCTCTCATCACACATCATAAATAACACGTTATTAATTGAGTGGAAGGGAACGTTTCCCCAGCCTGACTAATCCTACACCTCCATTCTTGTTTTTTAAATCCTGAAACCAAGATATAATCATGATCCACCTCCTCCATCGAGAGTTCTGGACTCATTTTGATTATAGTGATGCTTCTATCCCCTGAATTTCTTTTGGACTTAAAGGAAAAAGCATAGTTAGGTACTTAATTTAAAAAAATAGTTCCATGTATTAACCTTATTGCCACAATCAAGTGTAAGTACTAAAATAAAGGAACAGAATTGAATTGTTAAGAGGCACCTGAGCATAGTGCTGGTTTTGGTGTGCGAACACCAGGCTCACACACCAGACCCTTCATTTACAAACGCTGACTGTGGACAAATGACGTAGCCTCCTGAGTCATAGTTCTTTCCTCTGCAAAGTAGGGACACAATAGCATGCACTGCCACAGAGTACCGTGGAAATGTAAAGAGCGCATAGGTTCGAGACTTATCATGACATGAGGCAATTAGATGGAATTCAATAAGCATTGCCTCTTTTTCTCCCAACCGGCCTATCCTAGAGCAAAGCACAACCTCAGAGAATGTGTGCTGGATGAAGAGGACGTGCTGGCTGTGAAGGCTGCTTCCCTGTTTGTGATGAGTTAACTGGTGAGGCAAGTGAGGTGCCCCTTCCATCCTTGGTACAGGACGACTGCTCATCCCAAAGAAAGAAAGGTTGATAGTCCTTGGTCAAAGGTGGAGAAGAAGCTCATGCTCTCCAGTTAGAAGCACCAGACAATTTGTTTAATTTTAGAAGGAGGATGTAAAGTAACAAAAAAAAAAAAAACCATTAAAAGGTTGTGGTCTTAATAGCTGCATCTCAGTTCACTGCTGTGCCCTTAGCCACTCTTTCTATAAAAACCCCCCTTTCTTCACCTCCTCATACCATTGCTATGGGGGCCTCCCTGGGTTCTCTTCTCAGGGCTTTAAGACTAACTTGGTTTATGTGTACTGCTATGATGTATCAATGAAAAAATACAGAAAAGCAAAAAATGTTTTAAGTGATGGATATCCCAGTTACTCTGATTTGATCAGTACATATTGTATACATGTATCAAAATATCACATGTGGCTGGGCACGGTGGCTTACACCTATAATCCCAGCATTTGGGGACGCCAAGATGGGAGGATTACTTGAGGCCAGAAATTCCAGACCAGCCTGGTCAACATAGTGAGATCCCCATCGCTTAAAAAAAAAATACTTATTTCAACTTGTCTCCTCTTTGTGCTCATTCCTTCTTTTGGTCCCATTGGCTTTGTTGTCCTGAGCCTTTGAATGCCGATGCCTTCGTCCTTCCTCAGATTTTCAGCCTGGTCACCCCATCTGCAAATGTTCACTGACTCCTCTTTCTTCTAAGCCAGACTGTTACAATGACTCACCCCAGCTGCCAAACCCAGACGTAGGGGCACTTAGAACAACTTGGAACTGTGTCCCTGGCATTGATTTGTGGAGGCCTCTTTGGCTTGGAGAATCCCAGCAATCAACATTGTGTAAAATCTATGAGGAATGTAGTACCAAAGAAAGACAAACAGCACTAAGTCAAGGTGCTGTGAGAACTATTCTATTGCATGGGAGCCGGAATTGGTTGATAATACTTTACACGTGTGCTTTCCAGCCTACTCAGCTGTTGAAATTTAATTAGCAGTAATATATTATTGTCAAAGTAATTAAAACCTTGCCTTGATTAAAAACAGGATTGTTTAATTAAAAAGAAAAGGTTTGGCTAACCTTAACTTTCTGTTTGAGAAATATAACAGCCTCAGCTGATTTGTCTCTTATCTCTCCCACCATCAGGTTTGAAGGTCCGCGAAGTGTTCATCAATGTTACTAGGCAACAGGTGGAGGACTTCCATGGGCCCGAGGACTATTGGTGCCAGTGTGTGGCGTGGAGCCACCTGGGTACCTCCAAGAGCAGGAAGGCCTCTGTGCGCATAGCCTGTAAGTACATTCTGGGTGACCTTGTCTTGTAGGACCACAAATGAGAGTTAAATAGAGCTGAAGAGAGGTTTTACAGATGTCAGATGCTTCTACAGAATGTAAATGAGAGGTCTTAAATTTACTCTTCTAAAATGTTATTTTAAAATGTTTGATAATTTCTGGCCAGGCGTGGCACAGTGGCTCACGCCTGTGATCCCAGCACTTTGGGAGGCCAAGGTGGGAGGATCACTTGAGATTAGGAGTTTGAGATGAGCCTGGCCAACATGGCAAAACCCCATCTCTACTAATAATACAAAAATTAGCTAGGTGTGGTGGTGTGCGTCTGTCGTCCCAGCTACTTGAGAGGCTGAGGCAAGAGAATCGCTTGAACCCAGGAGGTGGAGGTTGCAGGGAACTGAGATCGTGCCACTGCACTCCCACCTGGGTGACAGAACGAGAGAGACTCCATCTCAAAACATAAATAAATAAGTTTGATAATTTCCTCCAGAGTACATTCAGCAAATTAGTTTGGCTAGGAGATTCTGCCTAGACAGTCGGAGTGCAGGTGTCTCAACAATGCCAGGGAAAACCTGTTCCTGAGAGAATGAAATTCATGCAAATGGATTCTGCTGTTCACCGTCAATGACAAAGTTCAAGGGGCACTTATGGGAAAAGTTGAGCAATGACTGTTTACTTTCCAGCAAATCTGCAAGAATACTACATTAAAGACATTAAGGGATTTTTATAACCTACTGTTCAATCTCTTCTCTCTGAATCTTAAAACATGGAAATGGGTTTTAAAACTGCATTAGTTTGACCCAAGTAGGACTAAAAAAAAAAAAAAAAAAATACACACTTGGAAAAAAGTATGAAAGAAAGAAAATTGCTTTTCAGAAGGGTCCAATATTTCTTTATCATATTTCAGCATCAGTGTTTTTATAATTTTAAAAAAGTTTCATAAATACACAAACTTTTTTTCTCCTCCTTGCAAATGTCTTCAGCCCTCCCACTTCCATTATTCCACCTCCATGGATCCCCATAAAACCTCTTTTGTGTGCCTGGGATGGTAAAATCACCTCCAGAAAGAAATTGGGAGATAGGGGAAGAGATGGTTATTGTTGTTTTATTCAAATACTGCCTTTTGAGAGTGTCATGAAGAATACAGGATGAGAGACTGCAGCAGATGTTGATGGTTTAGAGATTAATAATAGGAGTGAATTGCTATTTGCAGAGACATTTATGTTCCCAGGGGGAATGAAATCTTCCTCTCAAAACACACATGTCACCTTCATTCTACTGGCAATTTGGGGAGGCCCTCTCCTGGGTATTGCCTGAGTTCTGATAGGCCAGGGAGAAGAGGTCACCTCACAAGCCAGGCTCTTGGTGTGAGAGCCAAGGGAAATATTTTCCTATAGTTATTTAGTTAATTAATTTTAGCCAACAATTATTTTATGACTTTAAAGTAGCAGGCCAGCTGAGAGAGAGAATATGTTTGCATTTAATCTCATCTTAAGTTCATGTCTGTGCTCCCAGCATGGTCTCAATCAGGCCAGCCAGGGCATCTG
Organism: Homo sapiens; assembly: GCF_000001405.40. Taxonomy (NCBI): domain Eukaryota; kingdom Metazoa; phylum Chordata; class Mammalia; order Primates; family Hominidae; genus Homo; species Homo sapiens. The sequence continues at coordinate 35,569,786 of NC_000008.11, forward strand.
ACTTGAGTCAAGATAAAATAGGTAATTTCAAGGCTCTATCTGCAAAACAGCAGAGGGGATTTCAATATAGACCCCCTCAATTTTTTTCTGCTCACCCTCACTTTTTCCTTTCCTGTTCTTCACTTCTCTGAGGCCCACATGACCTATACTCTGAACTACTGTAAATAGCTTCTCCCTGATCTCTGCACATGCCTGTCCTCCCCATCTCTGTCCTTCTTGCTCACTTAATTCTTCATTGCGACTTGCCTGCTGGAAACTTCCAGGGGTTTTGTCCAGGGAAAAACCTTGTTTTTGCTTACAAAATGTTGCAAAGACTGGCTCAAATACACCTTTGTTAGTTTCCCGTTGCCATTCATGGTGTATAGTATTATCGGTCCTTCTAAACGCTTTGCTCTTCTGCATGTCACCCTCGCATGTCTGACGTGTGCCATCACACCTGCAGTTTCTACTTTCACACATGCGTCGCATGGGGAGGAACCCAGACTCCAGAGTCCTGTTGGTTTCCAACTTCAGTTCTACTACTTAGTTTTGTGATGGTAGAAAAATTATTTCATCTCTGTGTCTTAATGTTTTCATTGATAAAAGGGTGCCTGGTTCATAGAATTATTTTCATAGTTAAAGTTAAACTATATCTAAAACTGTGCCTGGCACATATGAGCATTTATCAATCATCGGCTATTATTTTATGATATATTTGATTCTCCACCACCATCTTTCATTTGCAGGTGTCTTAATCCTTATTTAAACAAATTGAATTAAAATTTTAGTAACCTAGTAATTTTTCTTTAGATTATGGATTCTATAAAAATTTATTCTGGATCAGCCCTCAGTCCCCAACTCTCCCAGGCATGAGAGAATAAACAATGTGAAAAATAGAAAACACTTAGCCCGGGCACGGTGGCTCACTCCTGTAATCCCAGCACTTTCGGAGGCCAAGGTGGGTGGATCACCTGAGGTCAGGAGTTCAAGACCAGCCTGACCAACATGGAGAAACCCCATCTCTACTGAAAAAAAAAGAAAAAATTAGCCAGGTATGGTGGCATATGCCTATAATCCCAGCTACTCGGGAGGCTGAGGTAGGAGAATCACTTGAACCCGGGAGGCAGAGTTTGCAGTGAGCTGAGATCACACCATTGTACTCCAGCCTGGGCAACAAGAGCCAAACTCCATCAAGAAAGAAAGAAAGAGAGAGAGAGAGAAAGAATGTAAAATATATATGGACTTAAAATATATATATACACATAGAGAGAGAGAAATGGGGTTTGCTATGTTGCCCAGGCTGCTTGAATTCCTGGCCTCAAGCAGTTTTTTCTCCTCAGCCTCCCAAAGTGCTGGGATTACAGGCATGAACGACTGAGCCTAGCCCCAGAGAACACTGTTCTATCACTTCCCACCTTTTTAGAATCATAAAATATTTTTGTGGTAATAAGCTCCCAAGTTGTTTTAGAGATTTAAAAACTATTTTGTCACTCTTCTGTATCTGTATCAAAGATGTAATAAAGATGTGATTTCTAAATAAAAATATGTCTGAATATTATTAAAGCCTAAATTATCCAATGTACTTAATATAATCTCTAATATTTGCAACACATACTTAGTTTCTTCTCATGTAGCAAGTGAGAGGTTTTTTAATTTATTTAAAATTATTTATGCAAGTCAAGACATGATTTGTCATTAAATATTGCATTTGACTTGGGGACCAGTGTACATTAAAATGCAAATTGAAATTTAACTAGTGTAATGGCATCAAAAGTCAGGGGGGTGGGGGAGTTGCCTTTAGGACCTTGCCTAGAATTCTTTTGATTTGCTTGCAGGGAAAAGAAAAAATCCACTTTAGAGAAAAATGTCTTTCATTCTATATGGGGATGAGAGAGATTTCTCGCTGCTATTTGTAAGCACTTTCCTGCAAGTGACACACTGTGTGTGAGGATCGTCTTTATTCCCAATACATGAAAAGCTAAATTGGATATAATTCACTATGTTTCTTCTTTTAAAGATTGGTTTTTGAAATACTAGAGACATCTTAATGTGCTAAATGAGGATTTTGATAGATGAATGTAGCTTATGAATCTGATGACAATCATCTTGAGGGGGCTTTGCAAAATTGGTATCCTTTTAATATTGTTCATTAAATTGTTGGAGTTCACCATCAGAGCTCCTTATGTTTCCTGCGTTTAAACAATTATCCAGCAAGAATTACCAATTTTAAAACTGCCATGGGCCGGGTACAGTGGCTCACGCCTGTAATCCCAACACTTTGGAAGGCCGAGGCAGGTGGAATGCTCGAGCCTAGGAGTTCGAGACCAGCCTGGCCAACATGTCGAAACCCCGTCTTTACAAAAAATTACAGAAATTAGGCAGGCACAGTGGCATGTGCCTGTGGTCCCAGCTACTTGGGAGGCTGAGGTGGGAGGATCGTTTGAGCCCGGGAGGTGGAGGTTGTAGTGAGCTGAGATTGTGCCATTGCACTCCAGCCTGAGCGAGACTGTCAAAAAAAAAAAAAAAAAAAAAAAAACCCACACAAAACAAGCAAAAAACTGAAAAAAACTGCATGGGCTTAACCTCTATGGCATCTGGGACAATTCAGCTGAGGGATCCATTGACACGTAGGGTCTTGACATGATCACCTTAGCCAATGTTTACAAAAACACCAGGAAGCTCATTGGAATAATACCACTTTCAGATCATTTGATTTTAAAGGGAAATAATATGAACAAAAAAATTTATATAATGCATGTATTCACTGAAATGGATTTCCATGGGGTATTAAGTTAAATATTCAGAGTCCTAGCTTTCACCCCAGGCTTTCAGATTGAGACTGGAGAAAGGACCTAGAAAGGCATGTTTGTATCAAGTTGTATCCAGGTGATTCTATGATCACCTTTGAGCTGTCTTGCCCAGAAGCAGTGTTTCTCAAACTTTAACATGCATGCAAATCAACCAGGATGCTATTAAAATGCTGGTGATTCAGTTAAAATAATTCAGTATGGCTGGTATGAGGCCTGCAATTTTATATTTCTTTTTTTTTTTTTTTTTGAGATGGAGTCTCTCTCTGTCGCCCAGGCTGGAGTGCAGTGGTGCGATCTGGGCTCACTGCAAGCTCCGCCTCCAGGGTTCACGCCATTCTCCTCCCTCAGCCTCCCACGCAGCTGGGACTACAGGCGCCCGCCACCACGCCCGGCTAATTTTTTATATTTTTAGTAGAGACGGGGTTTCACCGTGTTAGCCAGGATGGTCTCGATCTCCTGACCTCGTGATCCGCCTGCATCAGCCTCCCAAAGTGCTGGGATTACAGGCGTGAGCCACCGCGCCTAGCGCAATTTTATATTTCTGATGAACTCCCTGGATACCTACAGATGCTGCCAGTGGGTCTGTGGGACATACTTTTAGTAACAAGACCCTAGAATATGTTTCTGAAGCACTATTTGGAAAATGTTGATTTAACCATTCACCCAAATTCCTCATTTAACAGCTGGGAAAGTGATGTTTCAAAAGGCAAAAGGTTAGGTGAGCTGGATATGTTGGTGCGTGCCTGTAGTCATGGCTACTCAGGAGGCTGAGGCAGGAGGATCACTTGAGCCTAGGAGTTTTGGGGCTGTTGTCTGCTATGATCGCGCCTGTGAATAGCCACTGCACTCCAGCCTGGGGCACACAGCAAGAACCCATCTCTTAGGAAAGAAAAAGAAAAGAAAAAAAAGTTAGGTGATCAAAGGTCACCCAGCTGATACCAACATGGAACCAGGTCCTGAATCTTTCAAACTCTCACCCTGAGTGCTGTTGGCACTAAGGTATGTTGATCCTTTTCTGTTACGTGGGAGTTTAAAAACCATAATAGAAAAAAGTTCATGTACATTTGAGTGTTTCCTTGAAGAAAGCTGTAATAGCTTTCCTTTCTGATTCTGTTTAAGAGTAAATTGTATTCCTCCTCATGGTCCAGTTGTGTGTGTGTGTGTACACATGCATGCATGCACACACACATTTTGTTTTAGGAGCCAAAGTGCCTGTTATCTTAAACTATTGTTTTTTTCCTTAATAATTTCACACTGTGTCAGGAAGATGTTGGCTGCTGTCCAACTGCCTGGGGCTGGAAATTGCGGAGGCCTAGTTTCAAAAGTGATTTTATAAAGGTAAAAATAAATAAATAAAGCCAACCTACATTTACCCCACAAAATTGGCAGAAGTCTATCTCTAGGGAACAACTCCCACGGGCCTCCTCTCGTTTGTCTGGTTCAATAGAGCCAGAGATAGACGGGCACGCCATGGCATCTGTTACTTCTGCTGCTGGACGGTTGTCAAAACTAGGAATATTCAATTATTTGTAGTTGTTTATTTTCATGTGTGAACATTTGGCTGCCTAGCCCTTTATTTTCTTCCCTGTTTTTCTCCTTCTTCTTCATCTGCTTATAAAATATTGGGCCTATACCACTAACCCTTGGCCGGGCAAACTTTTCTTAACACTTGGGCCTTTTCTCCCATATGACTGTTGGGATTGGAGAAGAAAGGGAATGTTTGCCTGTTTTAGTCAAGCCTGTTATAGCAAGTTAGCCACTTGAAAGAAAACACAGCAGAAAACCACTATTTTGTTTGTTTGTTTTTTAATGTATAAAATGTGATACATCCTGAATATAATTTAAATATGCTGCTGATTTAAGACACCCCTAAAATAGCTATGCAATTGTGCCAAGAAGGAGTAAAGAAATTAAAAGAGAATTTCATTCAAAAGCTTTGAAACTCCCATAGTCAAAGAAGTATTATTTTCATTTGCTTTTTGAAGGGTAAAAATTTTTTGAAAATGATGGAAGAGAGACATCAAATGAAACCTCAATTATGGATCTTGGCTTCATGGCTTTGACAAATAATTTCTTACTAAAAACTGTTAATGGCCCTCTGCTACCCACAAATTTGAATATGTAAATAAATACATCTAGGCACATCTTCCTGGCTTACAGATGCAGCCTTCCTGTACATTTCCATTCTTATCTCCAATGATATCCCTGCAAGTGTTCTTTGTCCACCTTAGTGGCATGACCTAGATGCTTAGAGTCTAGGATGTGGGACTCATTTTCCCCTCCTTGACTTGCTTATCTATTTTTTTTTTATCCTTGGAACATATTCTGTGGCCCATCTCACACTCCAATCTCTCCCTAAATCCAAGGGCCATCTTGCATGCTGTTTCCTTCACAAAACCTAGTTTAGCAAATCCCCTATCACTTGTTGATCTCAGCAGCCTCACATACCAACTAAGTCATTGAAAGGAATGCTCTGTGGCACCCCCAGCTTCAAAATTTCATAAATTCTAAGTGTCTAACTGAGTTTTCAAAGCATCGATTTAGTACTTCTACCACACTACTTAAAATACCCCGAATGATAGTTATTTTGAAGGTATTTGTGGATTTATGTCCCTAGTTAGATCGTAAACTGCTTGAGGATTCAACCTGCATTACCCTTTTTCTTGACTCCTTAGCCTAGTACACAATCATGTATATTACCTTTGTTTTATAAATGTGTTTGGCTTGAAAAGCAACCCTGCCAGTGTAGGATATGGCTCTAGAAAAAGACCTTTGTTAGCTGTAGGTCATGATTGCACCATGGATCTAACATGGCATCTGGCTTCTTAGTGAATTCATAGCTTACATTGACAGATAAGGGCCAACTTTGTCCTTTCTTGTTTGTGCACTCCTAACAGTACTACAATGAAGCCATTCTAAAATGGGAATGGAAGTTAGGAAGCATGAGAATCACTAACTCTCTGTTGTTCAGTGTACAGCTCTGGAAGAGGCCTAAACTGCCCATAATACCTCCACTGCTCCCTTCCTATCTGTTCAGAATGTGGATATATTCCCATGGCATGGAACATAATATTAAGACCGATGCTCAACACTTGGTATAAATCATACAAAAGCTTGAAACTCTCCTTCCTCTCCCATGGAAAAACAAGTGTCCAAAGCCAAGAGACAATATTATTCTACTCTGTAAATGCTCAGTCCTTTTCCATGGACTGAAATTAATATATAGGAATACTATTGCAGGGTTTGAAAGTCTGGACCTCTAAATAAAGTTGTGCATCTAGCCAAGTAATCGCATCTAGCCCGGTAAAAAAAAAAATGAGTGTTGAAATACAGCTCCTCTCACATTCCGGAGTATGCATTCACTAGCCAAGATGCACACTCTAGAATGTGATTTCATCCACCTGAAGGAAGAGGAGGCTAGTTTTCCTGGGCACATAGGTACTGTTTTCTCACCAGGCCTTGTGCCTGTGGGTGTCCAGTTTACACAAAGGTACCACATAGACTTTTTGCAGCAGTCCTGTGTACATAATTTGCAGGACCCAATGCAAAATGAAAATATGGAGCCCTTTGTTCAAACGTTATTAAGAGTTTTGAGTGATCAACAGCAAGTGCATTAAATCAAGCATGGAACTCTGTGTGACTGCATGGGTCACACATCCATGAAGTTGGCTCTGGTGTCAGTAATGGTGATGGTTCAAGAAATCATTTCAAATATGCAGTTGTTACATAAAAAGCAAATAACTGGCCTGGAAAAGGTAGGTATGAATTCAAACTGTCTGATGTTGAATTGGGACAGGATTATTCTGTTTTGATTGAACGCCAGAGGCAGCATCACATGAGCTGACTTTTAAGGTGGCACATTTGGGGTTGAGCTAACAACTAGAAATGCCCATTGATGAGACAGTGTTTCTATGGCCACAGCTCCCTATAAACTGTACATAAATAGGCAAGGAATACATGTCTGGCAGTGATACTGGGGAAGGAATCCTGCATTCAATAAGTAGGTGAGATATGGACTAACAGAGTTGTTTGTTTGTTTGTTTGTTTGTTTGTTTTGAGACAGAGTCTCACTCTGTCACCCAGGCTGGAGTGCAGTGGCACAATCACGGCTCACTGCAAGCTCTACCTCCTGGGTTCATGCCATTCTCCTGCCTCAGCCTCCTGAGTAGCTGGGACTACAGGTGCCTGCCACCAGGCCCAGCTAACTTTTTTGTATTTTTAGTAGAGATGGGGTTTCACTATGTTATCCAGGATGGTCTCGATCTCCTGACCTCGTGATCCTCCCGCCTCGGCCTCCCAAAGTGCTAGGATTACAGGCATGAGCCACCGCGCCTGGCAACTAACAGAGTTTTAAAACATTTGACGTAATTTCAGACTTTCAGAAAAGTTGCAATATATACAAAGAATTCCCTTAAGCCCTTTACTGAGAATCTTCAGATGTTAACATTTTACTATGTTAGCGTGATCTCTTTCTGTGTTTATCTATATGTTTATTTATATAGAGAAAATTAAATTTTTTTCAGAAGTGTTTTAGATTAAGGTGCAGATATGATACCCCCTTGTTTGTAAATACTTCATGGTGTGTGTTTTAAAATCAAGGACATTTTCTGACATAACTAGTATCATTATCAATAATTTGACAAAATACTATTATCTATTCTAGGGGCATTATCTTAGTTTATCAGTTATGCAATAATGTCCTTTAATAACAAATTCCTAGATCATGTGTTACATTCAGTTGTGAGGTCAGTTTAGCCTTCTTTAATCTGGATAAGTTCCTGATCTTCCTTTGTCTTTGATGATGTTGTGTTTTTGGAGAGTGAAGGTCCATTGTTCTATTTACTGCCCCTCTATTTGAACATGGGAAAAGGAAGCAGCACCCCTGAGGGGGCTCCCACTCACCAAATCTGGGACAACTTGAGCATCAAAATAAATGATAGCAAAGATTATAGCTCATGAAATACGAATCCATGAATCTACACTGATGTTTTAAAAGATGAATGAATGAATGAACATATAAGTAAATGGCACAAGGAAGAGCTCTTTCTTATTGTAAAGACATCTGTGAAATATGAATTGATTCACACAAACATCAGCATGGAGGCTAAAACTAATGGGTGAAAGTTTCAGGAAAACTGGATATTTATATAATCTGGATGTATCACTTCACAAGATACTTATTAATTACAAAGGGGTAACTAGATAATAGCATTGCAAAGGAAAATCCTGTAGTACACCACTTTGATCAAGTAATCAATGTTAATGTCACCGAAAATGGGTCAAATCAACAGCATGTGATTTGATGTGATATCCTGATGTGATAGGCCCAGGAGACTACATCACTTCAATGATATCCTTAGAAAAATGTGACCTGGCGCAGTAGCTCATGCCTGTAATCCTAACACTTTGGGAGGCTGGGGCGGATGGATCACTTGAGGTCAGGAGTTGGAGACCAGCCTGGCCAACATGGTGAAACCTCATCTCTACTAAACATATAAAAATTAGCTAGGTGTGGTGGTGCCTGCCTGTAATCCCAGCTGCTCAGGAGGCTGAGATAGGAGAATCGCTTGAACCCAGGAGGCTCAGGTTGCAGTGAGCAGAAATCATGTCATTGCACTCCAGCCTGCGGGACAAGAGCAAAACTCTGTCTCAAAAAAAAAAAAAAAAAAGAAAGAAAAAAGAAAAACTCTGTCTCAAAAAAAAAAAAGAAAGAGAAAAGAAAAATTTTTAATCTTCCTATGGTTAAAAATGTTTAACCATAGGAAGGCATTACACATACCTGTGTCGAGGAACTTTTTAAGTAATGGCTCATTTAACTGTGTTTCTCAAAATGCTGTCTACATGTGGGATACTGCTTGGTGCTCCAGGAATATAGGAAGCCACCAGATAGACATGGCACATGTTTCTGAAGCATCAATCATATTCCCCTTTAGATCTGCGAAAATAAAACATGGATACAGTATGGAGTGAAATGCAAATGCTTGCATAAATTTTGAAGATATAATTTGAAACTTCAAAGTTACTTTGTGCCTGCCACATCTTTTTAGTTTCCATCCGTAGATGGCATGGGGTTAATCAATTTTTCTCCTTTTTTAGTAGAAGCATTTTAATAGACAGTGTGAGCAACACTGAACTGTAAGAGACTCTGGTTCTAGGAACAGAGAATAACTCGTATGTAATTGATATAAGTTGTGCTACTTTTGCTTAATTAACACATGCACAGTGAAGAACACCAAGACGGGAACCACTAAGGCAGAAGTGTATTCCACCACATCTTACTGTGGATGGTGAAAAAGACAGTTTCCCCAAATAGTATTCCTTCATACTATTTATTGCCAACGATTATTTTACCAAGAAGAATTTGCAGAAATATAGCTACCACCTTTGAAGGAAATCACAGCTTAATTCAGTCTGCCATTCTTATGGTGAAATTCACCTTAAAAGTTCCTGGAAGATGGCCATTTCCATAAAAACCTCAGTAGAAGTTTATCAGGGGAGAGGATATAGATTTTATTTCAATTCAACTCTCATTTTCTCCACTGAAGGAAACTTCCAACAGATAATACAAACAGCTGATAAGCAAAACAAACAAAATAATATTACCTTAGTTAATCTTTGGGGATTCTTTGAGCCTAGGAATGTCATCTTAGATTATTTCACATCCTTCCACCAGCTAAGTAAGGATGAGAAGATGCATTCCAGAAACTTGCCAAGTGGTGAAAGAATACTAACTAAGGTGTAACAGTATCAGGCATCCATGGGTAATTATCTAGCATGTTCTAGGCAGCACGATAATTAATAAAATATTGTCCATTTCTTTGAAGAGTTTATAATAAGGGAAATACAAACAAGTGTTTTCATGGAATCTGGTTTGTGGTAGGCACAATATATTTTAGGAGCCACCAAGAGTGACAATTTACTGATCCCTGAGGCCTAAGATACACTTCCTGAGTCAATGTCTGAGCTAAATCCTTAGGAAGAAGGAGGAGTAACAATTTAGAGTGAGCATTCCAAGTAAAGGAAAGTGTTTGAGTCCATCCATCCAGGATGGAACATCATGTGACCTATGTGGGAAAGCAAGCAACACAGTACTTGTAGTGAATGAATCTCAAGATGGCAGAAGATGGTGCTACCAAAGAGAAGTGAACAGGACAAATTATGGAGGGTGTTCAAATTCTCTGCTAAGTGTTTAGATTTGTCCAGAATGTAGTTTGGGGCCATTGAAATGTCATAGGCAAGGCAGTGATGCTATCATACTTTCCAAACTCTCAACCCTCCCATTCACTGCTGTCAAAGATTTAAGGGGAGCAAGAGTCAACTCAAGGAAGCTTTGCACCAATCTTTGAGAGTGTTGATATGGCCTGAACTTCTGCAGGCATAGCATAGGTTGAAGAGGAAGGTACAAATGTGAGGATTCAGGAACGTAAAATTAGCTAGAGTTTATGGCTGCTTAGATATGGAACTAAGGGGAAGTAAGAGAGGAGTTTGGGGACTCCTCCAAGTTTTGGGCTCGCTAGGTTTCTGGCTCAAATTATTCCATTAAGTAGGTTATGAATAGGGTAAAATAAACCAGTTTGAAGAATGAGATACTGGTTTTAGTTTTTGATCATGTCATGTGTGAACTACCTGTGGAATATTCAATGGACTGCTTTCATCATGCTGTTGTATTTATGAGCCTGAATTTCAAGGATATGAGAGCAGAATCAAAAATACAGAATTGAGAGTCACTGGCAAGTAGGTGGTAGTTAGGTGAGTAGACATCTGTCAGGAAGATAGAAGGAGCAGGCTGTTATGAGAACTAGCTACATTTTTTTCTGTACTACACAATCTCTACCTTAGTCCTCAGCTCTCAAATTGCTGATGAGGAAAAAAAACAAAAACAAAAACAAAAAAACAACCAGCAGAACATGAGTGAAAATCTGTAAATGGTCAAGGGGTGAACACAGGAGAAGAATCCCATGAATAAGACTGAAAGAAAAAAAAAAGTAGAACAGGCACTAGGAGACCCATGAGGGAGAAGGGAAAGATTTATGAAGGAAGAAATGGTCAGTGGTGTCAATGTGATCTGACAATTGGAGTAAGAAGTGAGAAGTTTTGTTACATTTGACGTGAAGGGCTCCATCGACTTGAACAAAACAATGTAATGAGCCAGGGTGATAGGAGATTAGTGTGGATGTAGGAATCTATAGGAGAGGAGAAAGCAGAGATGATGTAGTCAACTCCTTCCCAAAGTTTGACTAAAGAGAGCACAGTTGGAACAATAGCTAGAGTTAATGATTTGAGGAATAGATGGGAATTTAATATCAGCATGAAGATGAAATGGCTTGTATTTTTAAAAAGTGTAGAGAGGGAATAGGAGTTACAGAGTGAGGAAGTAGAGGTCAGAAGAGCTGGGTTCAAGTTCTGGGACCAACTATTCAGTTTTGTGCACTTTCAGAGTGACTCCTGATACCGGCCACACATGAGAATCACATGGGGAACTTTTAAAAATTAAGATTCCAGGGTCTCACTCAGGACCTTTAGAATCCTCATCTCTGGAAGGAGGGCTTGGTTTTACTGTCTTCTGGTTTTCCTTCTTCTCATTGACCACAGTTGAATCTTCTGTCCAGATTCCTTCTCTTCCCACCTGTAAATATTGTAGTATTCTAGATCTCCATCTTGAGGCCTCTTCCCTCCATAATCCAGCCTCTCTTTCGGTGGAGTCTTTCGCTCCAGGGCTTTGTTTGCTGTCTATATTCTGATCATGCTCAGCCTTAATGTGGCACCTTGTCTCCCAAATTCTTCATCTACTGCCTACCTGACACATCCACTTGGATATCCAGTAGGTGTCTCAAACTGGCTATGTCCCAAAAAGTACTTTTTTGGTTTTCACTCCATCAATACTGCTGCAGGGTGATGGTGGAGGAAGTGGGGATAGTTAATGGGTATAAAAATGTAGTTAAAGAATGAATAAGATTTAGTATTTGATAGCATAACAATGTGAACTATGGTGAACACTATTGTATATTTTAAAATAACTAAAAGAATGGAATTGGAATGTTCTTAACACAAAGAAATAATAAATGCTTGAGATGATGGGTATCCCAGTAAGCTGATGGGATTATTACACATTGTAAGCATGTATCAAAACATCACATGTACTCCATAAACATATGTACCTCTTATGTACCCATAATAATTAAAAACAAAAAAATTAAAAGAAAAAAAAAATCATTGCTGTAAATTTGTGTTTATTTCCCAGTGTTTCCTGATTCAGTAAAGGGACCACAGGGGCTCCTGACAAGACCCAGGGGTATCCTGGACTTTTCTTTCCTTCATTCACATCCTGTTCACCTAAAAGTCCAGCCACCTCTGCCTCCAAACTAGATCCTGAATTTGTCCTCTTCTCTCCACCTGATACAAACATTATTTATCTCCTATGATAATCTCTTTGCTGCTTCTGCTCTTGCTGCCTTGAAATGCATTCTCTACACAGCAACAAGAATGATTACTCTTGAAGAAAAATGCAAACCAGATCATGCTATTCCTATGGTTGAACACCATGACTTCCCAAACTTTGAACTTTTGGCCCCATAGGCATGAGCCCCCATGTCTTTCTTCCCTTCCCTGACTATACAGTGCTTCCAGTCACCAGTCATTGTGGCTCTTGCAGCCACAGTGATTTCTTTCTCAGATCCCCATGATAGCTCCTATTTCACCGCCATTGTTCATTCACTTTTCCTGGAAAGCATCTTCCTGATGCAGTGGTTGCATCTTTCTTGTCAGTTCTTCATAGTTTCATCTGCATTCTGCTGGGTCGTTTTATTTTTTAAAAAATATAGATTTGGCTACCCAAAAGGTGAAAAACTTTGAGCGAAAGTGGTTCCTTAGATCTTCCTGGTTCTGGCAAGATTGGCTTAAGGAAAGCAAAATGCAGCCTTCTTCCTTCCACTCAGTTGTTCTGTGAGGCCATGCTGGAGGTAGGAGGTGTTAGATATTTAGTGGCATATCCAGTGTTTACATGCTCATGACACTGGCCTCATCTTGTCCCGATTGACCTTCCTGGCCTCATGGAGATGTGGGATGAGGGAAGAACCAAAAAACTAATAATGTGATTAAATTGTTTTTTCTTGCTGCTGGGTTGGCTTTTCTTTTTGACTCTTTTCTAGCCCTTTGTTTTCCTTTCATCCCTCTCCAGGAGTGGTAGTGAATTACAATGAGGTGGTGAGTATTGAAAGCTTAAGGTTATTTTTAGGTCATTTCTTCTTAAACTTGTTGCTAGTTCACATCCCTCTAATTTCCTGTAGAAGACTCAGAGGTCACTCAGGAAAGTCAGAGATGATTCTCCACATCCAGGTGGTTTTTAAAACTTTGTCCCTTCAACCATGGGGTTCATTTTGCATTCCAGTGCTCAGCTGGATGCTGAGCTGCAGATAAGCTCTATTACTGCTTGTAGGAGTTGTAGAAATTAAGCTGTCTCAGAAAAGGGATACTTGACAACAGGATGAACAGCACAGGCTGGGTGCAGTGGCTCATGACTATAATCTCACCACTTTGGGAGGCTAAGGCAGGAAGATTACTTGAGGTCAGGAGTTAGAGACCAGCCTGGGCAACATAGTGAGACCCCATCTCTACAAAAACATTTAAAAATTAGCCAGGCTTGATGGCATGTGCCTGTAGTTCTAGCTTCTTGGGAGGCCGAGGCAGTAGTATTGCTTGAGCTCAGGAGTTTTAAGCTGTAGTTAGCTATGATCGCACCACTGCACTCCAACTTGGGTGACAGAGAGAGACCCAATCTCTAAAGTGTGTGTGTGTGTGCATGTGTGTGTGCCTGAGTGTGTGTATATGTATATATATGACCAGCATAGTCTTTCCATATCCTGCTTGGGAACTGAGCAGCCTAAGTGCAGTCAGTGCTTCCAGGCTCTGATCTTTTGTTTTTGTTTTCCATCAAAAACACTTTGATTTGGTGGCTATTTCTGCATTCACCTAGGACTCGATTTTCTCATTAGCACAGCAAGTAGAACAACAGTACTCTCAAATGTACAGAATGTGGAACTTGCAGATATTTTGTCCCTATAGCTTTTGGTGGAACATGATGTAAAGATACAAAATGTGAGTTATCAGTGTATTTTCCCTTGGTTTAATGCCTTGAAAACAAGGCAGCAGAGAATTTCTATATTTTTAGTTAATGGCTTTTCCTGTTGAAGATTGTTAATATCTCCTATTTACGTTAAACTTCAGCTGTCCTTTATGTATTGACACAACCAAATCAATGCAGTCAATATGCAGAAATTGCCTTCTATGGAACTTGGAGACAAAGCAAACAGCAATCCTTCTTTCTACAGGCATGGTTTCCTTATGGGGGGTTCCTACCCATTATTTTCTTGTCAAAGGAAATGGTGCTGAGTGGCTTCGTAGGCAGGGTTGATCATTCTGGTGCCACATGTGCCCACTGTTGTATCCTTGGGGCCAAGAATCTACCCCCAGGCAACATAGACACATGAATTGACTCAGTATGATAGATACACTTGAGAAGAATTTAAGTGATTATTGTCTTGTAGATTTTTGCTCTTCTGAGTATAACCTCATCCTGAAAGAGAATCAGCAGTTGGTAGTGACAATTGAAGGTAGAAGGCACAAAAAAAGAAGCAGGTGGCAGTGGCCCTGAGACACCAGCACCCATGAGTGAATACAATCGACGGAAAAGTTAAGACCATTAGGGCAATAGCGAGAGGGGATTGGTTAGGAAGGGCAGGAGTGACATGGCCATGTGTGTGCTAAGAGGATCATGAAATAACTCAGAGGAAAGAATTATACTGGGCCTGTTTTTTGTTTGTTTGTTTTGTTTTGTTTTGTTTTGTTTGTTTTGTTTTATAGAGACAGAATCTCACTCCATCTTTCAGACTGGAGTGAAGTGGCATGATTATAGCTCACTGTGGCTTCCAACTCCTGGGCCCACACGATTCTCCTGTCTCAGCCTCCCAAGTAGCTGGGACTACAGGCATGCGCCCCCAAGCCTATTTTGTTGTTGTTGTTGTTGTTTTCCTGGTTTTGTTTGTTTGTTTGTTTGTTTTTGAGAGATGAGGGTCTCACTGTGTGGCCCAAGCTGGTATCAAACTCCTGGCCTGAAGAGATCCTCCCACTTTGGCCTCCCCAAATCCTGGAATTACAAGCAAAAGACACCATGCGTGACCCTAACTGGATCTCTTTATCTCCTCGTTTGGCTATGTTATAGCCTTTGTAAGACACAGTTGTATTGTGTTTCTTATTCTTCAAGCCTGGTCTGTCTTGGTTTCCAGTCAGTCCTAAACTCATCGTTAAGATTTTTATCTTCCTAATTTTCAATAAATTCTCAATTTCTTTTTGGAATATGAATGATTTTTGTTTTTATAAACAAAAGAGGCTGAACACGATAGATCTTATTGTGTTGGGAGTAGCTCAATAGAGAATACTTTAAATTAGTTCTTAAAGCATTTTGGAAAACTACAACTGTCTCTACTCAGCATAATATGTCCCTACTGCAGGCACAACTATATCTATCACCTTGGCAACCCCACTGTTACCTGACAAGCTACACTACTTGTGAACACAGGATAATGATACACAGTGCTAGTTATAAAATGCTTTATTGATAACAGCAATTTACCAGCAGAGGGATTACAGAGCACAAGGGATCTCACAAAGGCCCAAAGTTATTTTATGGTCCTAGAAACAGCCTTGAGGAGCGTCAGCATGACAGGACCTTTTGCATCAGCCAAACACCCTGCTGTCCCAGTAAGCAGAGAATGCTCAGTGCCTGGCATCAAGAGAAGAGAGTGCATGGAGAGTTGTAGGGTGATTCAGTGGCGTCCGTCCAAAGGTGGCCTTTCTTCGTTATTGCTGTAAGATTTACTGAACAGGAGTTATGGTTGCAATATTCAGGAATTTCAGGAAGATGTCATATATATAATATATTATTGCAACCATAATATGTGTGTGTGTGTGTGTGTGTGTGTGTATATATGTACATATATATTCATTCTAGAAATATGGCAATAAACAGAACCAATGAAAAGTTTTGTGCTATGTGCAGATTCCTATGACTAAAATACAATTAAAAAAGAACATTTTAGAATTTGTAATTCACTAAACTTTGAAGGATATGATCTTTGTTGCTTCCTTCTTTGATGGACATTGTAGCAGTGAAACTTGGTACAATAAAATGAATATAATATATAATAATAAGGGGAATATATATATTATATTCACATATATATGTATATGTTCCAGATGTATAGGAATCTACACGTGGCATTGTCCTTTAATGCCAGTTATCACTCAGGGAGACACAGCTGAAATAAGAACTGGAAGATCTAACACAAAGACATGAAATGAAAGGTGGGAACAGCCTAATATCAATAATATGGGTCTGCCAGTCAAGAAATGTGCAGAGTCAGCCAGGCATGGTGGCTCACATCTGTAATCCCCGCACTTTGGGAGGCCGAGGCGGGTGGATCACCTGAGGTCAGGAGTTCGAGACCACCCTGGCCAACATGGAGAAACCCCCGTTTCTACTAAAAATACAAAAATTATCCAGGCATGGTGGCACATGCCTGTAATCCCAGCTACTCCAGAGGCTGAGACAAGACAATCACTTGAACCCGGGAAACAGCGGTTACAGTGAGCCAAGATTGCACCACTGCACTCCAGCCTAGGTGACAAAGTGAGACTCAAGAAAAGAAAAGAAATGTGCATAATACATAGATCTAAGCAAGGTAGAGGGTTTAAGCCACGCTTGCGGGAGGAGCGCAGATAATGTGCCAAATACAAAAGACTATCACAATGAGGAAAAAATTCACCTAACAGAAAGCCTTTTATGTGCCTTCCCTCGGGAACTGAAGCCAGTAACTGACTTCTTAGGTCATAACAACTCAGGGCTGGAGGATTGAGGTGGAACCACATGGAAGCACCAGGCCTTGACTTCCGGTTTGCTGGCATGCACCCATCCTGCATGTGAACCAGCCCTTTTATTACAATAAATACTCTGTATTTGGGTAAGTTACAATTTTCTTTTATGTCTGACAAATGGGGTTTGTTGTTCCTTCAGAGAAATATGGGTGGCAAAGATTCAAAGCCTATTTGAATACCAATGTAGCTGGACAACTAATGGGACATCATTCCATCCTCCTGGAATCTTAACAAATGGCTTTGACTATGACTATTAAAAAAATGACTATGATTTTTCACTGGCTGATTTGGTTTGAATGAGTAAATTATTTTTATTTCATTGCATTAACTGCCAGAACATTGAATGAGCCGATAACTCCCTGGTGTTGCTGAGCTGCAAAGAACTATTATTTGGAATTGAATTTTTATTGATTTTCTTGTGCTACAATGACTTTTCTAACATAGTAGCATGAAAGGAAAATGACAAAAAAGGCCAAATAGGGCATGGGGTGAGGAAGGGGAGGCTGCTGCTTCCCAAGGTCTAGCCCCAGATATACTACTTATTGGCAGGTACTGCTGACTCTGGATGATCCTGTTGCTGGTTATATGATTTACAGGTTAGCCAAGTACCCGGCTTTGTCACCTCTCCCTCCTCTTCACTTCTGCTGTCTTTGATTCCAGGCATTGTGGGTCTTGTTGGCATTCTGCTGTGGAACTGAACAGGGTGATGTGGTGAAGAAGGAACAGAACTAGACAGAGTGCTGCTCCAAATTGATCTGTGCTGATGATTGTACCATTCAAACACACACACACACACACACAATGTGTGTGTAAAGATGACAATGAATGAAAGTGTTATTTTAGCATCATTGCAGAGTCTATTGCACATATCTGTTCATGGTTTTGCTTTTCCTAGTCATCTTAACTGCCAGAGACTTCGTTGCATATTAGTTCATAGTCATCATTCAGATGAGTTGAAGTGGGAAATTACATTTGCTCATTCATTCATTCAACAAATATGTATTAAGTCACTATCTTCCAGCTGCCAGAAATATGGCAATAAACAGAACCAGTGAAAAGTTTTGCCCTCATGTGCAGATTCCCATGACTAAAATAAAATTAGAGAAGGGTATTTCAGAATTTGCAATTCTGAAAAGTTTGAAGGATATGATCTTCCTTGCTTCCTTCTTTGATAGACATCGTAGGAGTGAAACTTGGTACAATAAAATGAAACAAGATGTACTTCTCTTCTGGCTTCTGATACAGTTTGGTCTAGTACAGAGATGCTTGACAACTCAGAAGAAAGGGATCTTTTTTTGGACGTGATTTTTGGTGGCTATGAAAGTAATCCATATTCATTACAGAAATTTTGGAAAATGCAGAAACAGATAAAGGAGATAATTAATATACCAAATTTCATCCAGTGGAAAATCTTCAAAATGTTTAGTAATTTCTTTTTAGGGTTTTTCCTATAACTATAATAATATATATATATATATATATATATATATACTAATCCCACACCAGTTGCTATTTTCAGATGGTAAGGTTTTGTATTTTTAAACCACATTTAAAAATCTATCTTTATGCATATGTATGCAATTTGGTTCAGTTCCCTTATACAGAACAATGTGACAATGACTGCTTTTCTTCTTCCCATAGACCATGTGCACATGATTATGAGTGAGATCAGAGGGTGGAAATCTATTTATGCTCCACCCTCTCAATATACATGAATAGAAGACAAGTCTAATAAAAGAGTGTCCTCATGTGATATGAAAACTTAGGAAAGAGAGGTAGCTAGGCAAGCATTTTGCAGAGACTTGCAAGAAAAAAGTGAGAGAGCATATGTATATATGTTTAAAAGGAAAGAGATATGGTGGTTATGCTTTAAGCCAGTACAAGTCTGATTGAGACTATAAATGGCACCTGGTGTGTGTTTTTAGGCCTGTGAGATTCTCTGCCTCAGTTTAGATATTACTCTCTGAGAAACTTTTTTGCAATCACTAGATTTATGTGGGCCCCACTGCTACATTTACAGGGTAGTTCCCACTTCTCCATCTCATCACTCAAATGTATACCTCTTAATTGTTTGTTTAATAGCTAGTCACCCTGCTAGAGCATATGCTCTGGGAAGGCCAGGGCAGTCTGTGTCATGTTCAGTCAGGTACCCCATTGCCTGGCACAGTGTCCAGTGGGAGTCAACAGCGGGAGTGAGTGAAGAAGGCTATTGCACTTCTACACAACTCATGAAGGCAAATTAAGGATTACCTACCAGCTGGGTGCAGTGGCTCATGACTGTAATCCCAGCACTTTGGGAGGCCAAGGCAGGTGGCTCACATGAGGTCAGGAGTTCAAGACCAGCATGGCCAATAAGGCAAAACCCCGTCTCTACTAAAAATACAAAAAATTTAGCCAGACGTGGTGGCACACGCTTGTAATCCCAGCTACTCAGGAGGTTGAGGCAGGAGAATTGCTTGAATCTGGGAGGCAGAGGTTGCAGTGAGCTGAGATTGGGCCATTGCACTCCAGCCTGGGCGACAAGAGCAAGACTTCATCTCAAAAAAAAAAAAGGATTACCTGCCAAAACAGGTGTTTAATGCAGGTGTACTTACTTTGGAATTAGATGTATTTAATAATAATACAATTACTACATTTGGGAGAGAGTGATTTTTATTACTAACATGCATATGGTAGAGATCATGTACTCCACTCTATTTTATTTAGCACTTAATCTGAATATTTACCTGTAATCTTAAATATTTTGAGCTTATGATTTTTAATGGTTGCATAATGTTCCATTGTATGAATGCACCAAAAAATTAACCACCCCTATATTATTAAGTTATTAGCAAGTGTTCATCATTATAAATGATTATTTGAGCAATACCACTATGCATCCATTTTTCTGTGGAGCTCTCATCTTTTTTTTTTTTTTTTAGAAAACTTTAGAAGTAGAATTACTGAACCATATGAATGAATTCTTTTTAATAATAACTGTACTGAGATATAATCCACATACCATGCAGTTTACCTATTTAAAGTGTACAATTTGGTAGTTTTTAGTATACTCACAGAGTTGTATAACCATCATCAGGGTCAATTATAGAATATTTCCATCACAACATAAAAAACCCACCAAAACTACTTCTCTTTGCTGTCCTTCCCCATACTCCTTGCTCAGCTGCAGCCCTAGGTAACCACTCATCTATTTTCTGTCTCTATGGATTTACCTCTTCTGTATATTTCATATAAACGAATCATACAATAAGTGGACTTTTGTGAATGGCTTCTTTCACCTAGCATAGCATTTTTAAGATTCATCTATGTTGTAACGTGCATCAATATTCTTTCCTTTTTATTGCTAAACAGAATGCCATACTGTTCATCTATGAACTTTTGAAGTAACACATTACAGCTCGCTCTTCATGTATGCCCATTTTCACTTGTAGCAGTGTTTAATATTACTGTTTCTTATATGCTTGCTAACCTTGGGCATTATTACTTAAACAAAACTAAGCCTCTTGCAAGAGGAAGGACATATATTGATGGTTCCAAAATTTGACATTTCTTGAATAATTAGTGATTTGGTCCTTTTAGATATTTTTATTAGCCACTTGTATCTCTTCTTGTATAAATTTTGTTTCACGTCCCTTCGCCATTTTATTTGAGGGTATTGTTTTTATTTTGTTTCATAAGAGCTCTTTATATATTAAGGCTGTTAACCCTCTGCCCTTGATGTTGCTTATAATGTTTTAGATAAAAAAAAAATTTAATTTTGACAAAACACTACCTACCAATCAATCCCTTAAGGGATCTTTAATTTCAAGTCTGGAAAAGCCTTCCTTTTCCTAAGATCCAATGAATATTTTATTTTATTACTGCTGTAGTTTTATGTAAAAATATTTCTTATTAATATAGGATTTATTTTGGTATAAAGACATTAATCTAGTTTTATTTTTTTTCTCCAAAAGGGCAACTAGTCATCTTAATACCTTTTCCCACTTAATTTATGTGTCACTTTAATCATATCCTGCATTATTCTTTTTATTTAAGTGTCTCTGAAAAATGCACTGGTTTATAGTTAATTTGCCTGATTTATGACAAAGCTACCCCATTTTAATCATCAAGGCTTTAGGATCTAGTAATATACATGACCTCTATGAAGCAACCAGTGCTCTTAAACGGACTTTACATATACCAGGATTTAGTCTTAACAAAATGTATGTGTATTATTATCCTCATGTCACTGATGAGGAAGCTGAAGCAGAAACATTGAGGATACTTACTGAGTCAAGGTACGAGTAAGTGGTGGTCCCAAAATTCAAACAAAAACACAAGCTGCGGTCCCCACCTTCCTCACCGGTGACCACTCCTGCCTGGTGGGGTCCTGAGATCTATGATCCAGCAATTTTAAGTTCATACCATTGGTTATGCATATTTATGATATATTATGCATCTTTCTTCCCTGATCCCTTAGATAGTTATGTGAATATTTTTACTTATATTATAAAAAGTATTTAAGTTTAAAACTTTTAAGTGTTTTTATTGCCCATTGCCAGGTTTTTAAAACCGACAACTTCCAAATACTGAAATTATTGCATTGAGTTGTTTTTCATTGGTTAGTTTATTTTACAAGGTAATGTTTTCAGGAAGAGTATGTGGCTGCTTACAATCTCATGGTCCTATCATGTCTGACACTACATTGTTGTTAGGTTACTCATGAATACTAACTTGTTTGCAAATAAAAAATTAGCTCCTATGCTTTTTACAAAAAAAAAGCAAAAAATAAAAAAGAATTTGATTAAGTATACTCTGATACATAAAAAATATAGGAAATAAATTCCATATTCTTGTTCCATTATTCTTTTTGCTTGTTTTCTGCAAAAATACTTGTAAATTTACTTTTGCATTTTATTAATATTGTTAAAATTAACAGTTTCAACTAAGATCTATCTAGGGTTGTTTCTTTTTAAAGCTAGTTTGCCTCATATCCAATGAGTCATTTTGCAAACTCAAGTCCTTTTTTAGCTTAGAGAACTATTATTATTATTATTAAATTGATTTTTGTTTCTTTTCTTCAGCTTGTTGTGTCCTTTTAAAATTCCTATTATATGTAATGTATTCCTCTTTCTCCACTTTGTCATTCATTTCATCCTCCCTCTGACAATCTCATTGTCACTTTATCACTTTCCCCTTACCTCATTTACTCACCAGGTATTTATTAAGAACCTGCCCTGTATCAGATATTACAATAGGCACTGGGAATAGAGGAGTGAAAGTCTAGGACATAGAACCTGCTTTCATAGAACCGATGATAGAACAAGGAAAACAGATGTAGAACAAGTCACCATAAGCACACTAGTAGAGGACATTTCTTACTCTGTTACCAACACAGCAATCTTCGATGTCTATACCAACTGGTCTATCTATAAATTGAGCAGAAGGGTATGGAGCTCCTTTGCCAAGCCCAGGCTCCCTGCAATGTTCCTGCGGTTTCCCCTTTGCCTACTTAATCTTCCAATTTCATTATATTAATATTTTCTGTTAAACCAATTGGTGTACTTGCTGTTTTTCTGATGCATCCTGACTGATGCTGCCTGTCTTGTGGTTCAGTTTTCTGCAATATTCAATATGCTATTTACTGTCTCCATATTTATTTATATATTTCTAAATCAGCAGTTAGTTTCTTTCCTCATAGTGGCGGTTTCTTGATCTCAGATGTTATCCTATTTATAACTCTCTACTCTAGATTCTCAGTTGCTATTTCCTTTTGACTTTAAAGAACTAAAATTAGAAATTATCTAAAAATATGCCTCTTGCTTCATGTCTTTTTAGAGGAAGAAATCTATTTTCGGTTCTATGGTTTGTTTCCTTCTCTTGTAGTATAATTCTTGTTATATGGCTAAGGATGTTTTCCCTACTATTAGAAATTGGATCAGTTCCTGTCCGTTTCTTTCAAGGCTTGGAGCTCATATAGGTGATTAAAGTGTTCAGATTGCCTATTCAGAAACAAATTAGACTGGGTGCCCTATGGTGAGAATCATAGCTATACCTCTGTGTCTAAAGAGTTTATTTCCATCATGTCTACTATATTTAGTAGCTAACTTGAATTTGTTGGTAAGTTTACCCTCCTTAGGATTCAAAAGTTTGCCCTCCTTAGTAGTCAGTGTCCTGGCACCAGTATCAGGTACAAGCCAGAACTAGGACTCCATGATACTTGTGTTTCTCACTTGGTATAATGATGTCTGATCATTACAGCTCCCTAACAGGTCGGCGGCCTGTTACCACTGTTGGATCCAGATATATATAGTGCCCTAGTTGTTCCCTGTCCCCCAGTCATTGCCTTTAATCTTTGTTCTTTTTATGTACACCTTTGGGAGGGAAATGTGTGTCTTGCTAGGACTCTTCCAGTCATTTCAAATGTCATTTGGAAAGAGCAGCAGGTTGGATTGGCCTTTTCTTCTACCCAATCTTGCCTATGTGAGATCTATTAGAAGTTCCTTGAAGTTTCTAGTTTATGAGTAATACCGTTTCCTAGGTCCCACTGTCAGTAGTTTTTATACACACACACACACACACACACACACACACACACACACACAAATATGTAAATTATACAAACGTGTATAAATAGATATGTATGTATTTACTTACCTATTTTGCTGAGAGGCTGGAATGGGGAGAAAAAAAATGACATTTCTCCAGTTGTCTTTTCACCTGATAACTTAGTTAATGTAGTGGTGTGTAGATAGCCATAAACTAAGTATTTTTTTACATTTTCTATTTCTATTGATCAAAGAAAGGACACAAAAGTAGAATGTAAATAGAAATTTGCACTATATGTTTTCTATACTTTATCTGGCTGAATACAGATTAATTGGTGTCAAAATTGGGATGACCATTTAGCAGCACTGAACAAAACTTCCTTCAGAAAACAAAGCAATGAAGGAAAAGGAAAACAAAAATAACAAACAAACCAAACAAAAGCCGGACACAGTGGCTCATGCCTGTAATCCAAGCATTTCGGGAGGCCAAGGCAGGAGGATCGGAGGAGGAGTTGGAGACCAGACTGGGCAACAAAGCAAGAAGTGACAATCTGCCCATTTCTACAGAAAATTTTTTAAAAAGTAGCCATGTGTGATGTCACACACCTGTAGCCCTAGCTACTTGGGAAGCTGAGGTGGGAGGATAGCTTGAGCCTGGAAAGGTCAAGGTTACGGTGAGCTATGTTCACACCATTGCATTCCAGCCTGGGCGGGAGCAAGGCCTTATCTCCAAAACAAAACAAACAAACAAAAAAAACAGCTCCTTCATCAGCAAACTGACATCTTATATGTTAAAGTCACTCTTGCTCTATGATAGACTAATTTTGATATAGTTCTGATAAATAACCAAGTCATATGGAGGAAGGATTTTTGACCCAAAGATCCCTTGTGAGACAGCAGAGGAGAATTGTGTGGGAAGCGTGAGATTTTTCATTCTGGGTTTATTCACAGAACCTTCACAGTTTTGTTATCAGGTATGTGACCTTCATCATACTTGGAGTCAGAAGTCCTGAATCAAACGGGCTGTGGCAATTTACGGTTCCCGGATAGAGGGAAGCTGGCTTTAAAACTCAGGGGACAGCAGAGAAATGAGAGAATGGATCTTGTCACCCACCTGCAGTTCAAGTTGTTTTAAGATCTTTGCCTTATATATACTCATGAAGACCTCCGAATATGTAGCACTGCTACTAACAAAAGACATTGGTTGCCTCTGGGAGGGAAAGCATTAAGAGTAAAATTCGGAGGAAAGTGAATACATGGCTTGCCGTGCTTGTTATTCATTGAGTGTTTTTGACTTGCTAAAGGCAAGTTTAATGTATTTATACAATTTATAAAGATGTAACTGATTCTGGAGCTCTCCTCTTTACAGAGAACATATTTCATGTTATTGTAAGCACTGAAGAAAATTAAATCAATAAATTCACAGCCTGTAATTTGAGATACTCAATTTGAAGAAAAATGCATTGTCAGGGAGGGAGGGCAAAATCTTTTACATTGAGGAAGACTTGTAAACAACCTGTCTTTGCCCTACTATCCTGTGCTTTCAAGTGGCAGCAAGAATTACCCTCGTTCTGCAAGATTATCAAAGAGTTGTCATGACACCTCGAGAGAAGTAAAGGCCAACTCCCCACCTTTTTTTAATGAAGCGTGTGCTCAAGTGGAAAGCAATGCAAATGAAACTCTTCTGCACTGTCCATCTATGTCCTTTTCCCTGAGAAGGCTTTGCTGGTTAACACTCAGCCTGGGTGTCAGGAAGCTTAGTGCATTGTTCCCCATCACTGGCATCGATGCTCTCTGTGACCACTGGCAAGCGAATTAACCTCTGCAAGTGTCATCCTTCCATGTGTAAAAGGTTAATAGTACAGCTTGTTTGCAAAGTGCCTGGAGCCTTCCATGAAGGGCACTACCCAAATACCCAGCATTGCTGTTTGACTGGAGGGCGTTGTGTTTTGTAATTATATGTTTGGTTGGATAGGTTATAGATTTTGTTGTGGTTGAATGTTGCCCCTTCTCCCTGGTTACAAATAAAAAGACTAATAGGTAATCTCACTCTATTAGCATCTTCTAGAGCCCCCTAGAGGGTTAAGGGAATGGCAGAGGTTACAGATTAATAATGCACTCTTCAGTTAATAGAAAAAAATCATGTGCATCTCAACTGCATAATAGCTGTGGATGGCAATTTATTAGTCCAAGTGTTTCATCAGATGCTCAGCAGATAATGCTGGCAAAGACTCATGAAACAATGGGGTGTTCTGTGTTTTTTTTTCCTACTCTCCTAGTTATTTATTTCATCCTTCACATCAATATAGGACATCAGAAACTGTTTTGTCCAGGTTATTTCACATGCATTTATGAATATTTGGAAAAACGATTCTCTTATTCTAGAATTCCTGGAACAAGTGACTTATTTTTGTGTGTGTGTGTCTAGGTTGTGATATTAAGCTCACTTTTTTTGTACTTGGACCAAATTTGAATAACACTAGACTTGAAACAAAGTGTCACCTATCTCATGCTTCTTTGCAGATTTACGGAAAAACTTTGAACAAGACCCACAAGGAAGGGAAGTTCCCATTGAAGGCATGATTGTACTGCACTGCCGCCCACCAGAGGGAGTCCCTGCTGCCGAGGTAAGACAGGATCCTGGGACCAGTCACCGGGAGGAACCAGGCCTGTTCCCAAGAGGGAGGGCGGAGTCCTGTGTGGCTGGAAGGGAAGTAAAGGAGCCCATGTCTGGGATTCTTGTTGCCTGGGCTCAGTTGCTAAACACGGTGAAGAAATTGTCTAGGAAATAAGCTAGAAAGGAACTTGTCTCCCATCTACTTCTGTGTTTGCACAAGGCCCTTGGTAGGCAGCCTGGGTAGGATTTGACCTGTCTTCTTGGTTCTGGGGACCTTGAATCATGCAGGTGTCATTCTTTCTGTCCTCAGTCAAGATCTTCTGATATGCATATTGGCTTATGGAACAAATCTGAGCTGTAACAGGCAAACACACATGAAAAAGCCCATAGGAAAGGTCAGAAGACCCAGTCCCAGTGTCACTGGTGTTTGTTCATCCTTCACTTTTTTGTGGAACAAGCATTCATTTATTGAGTGTTTGTTATGTTTTCTGCACTGTGCAGGCATTAGGGATATAAAAAATGATGAAGCCACAGGCCTCTGATCTGTTATCCTTCCTTCACAGCGAGGTGTCTAGAATCCAGAGTCACAATGTTTTTTGCTTCTTGAATGTTTTCTAGAACTTCTACCTTACTATTCGAATATAATTGTCCCTGGTAATGCACTCTGGTCATAGGAAAGTCTTTCTAAATCTTTTATTCACAATGAAAAGATGACCCCTGATAGACTAGTAATATAGCTATTATTGGAGGAAAAATACTAAGAAGTATAAGGCATGCTTAATATAATGAAAAGTTTATAAATTTAGGCCCGTGAAGCCCGAAAATTTGAGAGAGGTCTCAGTTAATTTATAAAGTTTATTTTGCCAAGGTTGAGGATGCGTGCCCATGACACAGCCTCGGGAGGTCCTGACGACATGTGCCCAATGTGGTCAGAGCACAGTTTGGTTTTATACATTTTAGGGAGACATGAGACATCAATCAACATATGTAAGACAAACATTGGTTCAGGTCCAGGAAAAGCTGGACAACTGGAAGCAAAGGTGGGATAACTCCCCTGGAAGCAGGGAGGGGGCTTCCAGGTCACAGGTAGATAAGGGACAAATGGTTATATTCTTTTGAGTTTCTGATTAGCCTCTCCAAAGGATGCGATCAGATATGCATTTATCTCAGTGAGCAGAGGGGTGACTTTGAATTGAATGGGAGGCAGGTTGGCCCTAAGCGGTTCCCAGCTTGACTTTTCCCTTTAGCTTAGTGATTTGGGGGCCCCAAGGTTTATTTTCCTTTCACAGGCCTGAGTTCAGCAGCACATGGTCCAGGTTTGACTCTTCTATGGGAAGCTAGGAAACAGTGTTTAGAGCTATTGTTTATTCATGGAGAAGCAGATATACAAAGAAAAAGAAAAAACCAGGAGGCTTTGCTTCATATTTTAGTAAAATTGGGATTTTGTAATTGGCAGGACAAAAAAGGAGATAAAATAAAGGGGAATGAAAAAACACACATACTTGCATATTTAGAAAGCATGCTGGGTGGACACTATTCAAAGCTCAAATGGCTCACAGAAATGAAGTAAACGGACTTGAAAATTAAAGTGAACACTCCATGCATGATGTAAAATGATTAGAAAGGAAAATGCTTATTTAAAAATTTTTTATTGAATGTCAAACAAAAAAGATATTGATCTCCTTTTGCTGCCCTATTGTTTCCTACAAACAGCATGCCCTCCTTTCCTGAACAGGGTGTTAAGTGTCAGGCAAGGGACTGTATCCCTCTCATTTAGGACATCGCATGTGTTCCTAGGAGCCTAACAGAGGTATCAGCAGTTCTCTACATTCAGTGCCCATCTTTCAAAAATCCCAGTTTACAAATGTTTTATGCATAAAAATGTCTAGGCTCTGTAGTGCCAGCTGTGTGAGTGTCCCCTGGTACACCCATGTTTCCTTCTGGTTCTGTGCCGGGTCACTACCATTGACTTTGGCAGCAGCAGAGAGGGGTGCTAATGTTTTGATTAGCCATCAGCCTGTAGGAACTTCGCATACTCTAGGTCTCTATTGATCTACTTTTTTTTCAGATGGAAGATAACTTAGATATTTACTGGCATAACCTTTGCATTTTAGAAGCAGGAAAACTGATGCTTGTATTAGTGACCAACCAAAGGTCTTGCAGCCATTTAAGGGCTCTGTTCAAAATCCTGCAAAGCTACTCCAAAGCACTCCAGGTAAATGTCTATGTTCTTATAGTGCTTTACAAGATTCAACATAATCTGGCCTGGTGTGACCTTATATATTTTATTTGACTGTGCACTTGACTGCGCTACAGTCACCCTGGCCCCTTCAATCTCTCTCAGATGCACCAGCCATGCTCCTACCCCAGGGCCTTTGAATGTGCTGGCCTCTCTGCTGGAGGGCTCTTCCCCAGTTCTCACACTGCTTTGTCCCATCTTTCTTAAAGGCTTACTCAGATATCACTTGCTCAGTAAGGCCTGCTCTGTACACTCTGCAAATGTTGCAAATATTTGCTTCCCCCACTCCACCTTTTCCCTGCTTTATCCCAGCAATTTATCCTACTAGGTATATACTTTCTTTTTACCTGTTATCACAAGCATACTGTATTTACTTTGCTTATTTCTCTCTACCCCACTGAAACTTAAATTCAGTGAGGGAAATTTGTGCTTACTC
Organism: Homo sapiens; assembly: GCF_000001405.40. Classification (NCBI taxonomy): domain Eukaryota; kingdom Metazoa; phylum Chordata; class Mammalia; order Primates; family Hominidae; genus Homo; species Homo sapiens. Next base: position 35,598,323 of record NC_000008.11, read on the forward strand.
TTCTTCATTGCTGTATCCTCAGAACATGAAGCAGTGCTGCTCAAGGCTATTTTCAGAAAGGTGAAAGATTTTTCACAAGTGTTGGCAAGGATGTGGAGAAAAGGAAACCACTGCACACTGTTGGTGGGAATGGAAATTGGTATAGCCATTATGGAAAACAGTATGGACGTTCCTCAGAATGTTAAAAGTAGAGCTACCACTTGATCCAGCAATTCCACTACTAGGTATATATACAAAGCAAATGAAATCAATATGTAGAAGAGATACCTGCACCCCCATGTTCATTGCAGCACTGTTCACAATAGCTCCATGGGTAAGATAGGGCATCAACCTAACTGTCCATCAATGGACAAATGAATTTTAAAAATGTGTTATGCACACACAATGGAATACTATTCAGCCTTTAAGAAGGAAATGTTGTCATTTGTGACAACATGGGTGAACCAAGCAGGCAGTATGTCAAGTGCAATAAGCCAGATACAGTAAGAAAAATACCACGGGATCTCACCTCTATGCAGAACCTAAAAAAGCTGAAGTTGGCCGGGTGCAATGGCTCATGCCTGTAATCCCAGCACTTTGGGAGGCCAAGGCGGGTGGATCGCCTGAGGTCAGGAGTTTGAGACCAGCCTGCCTAACATGATGAAACCCCATTTCTACTAAAAACACAAAAATTAGCCGGGTGTGGTGGCGCACATCTGTAGTCCCAGCTACTTGGGAGGCTGAGGCAGGAGAATTGTTTGAACCCGGGAGGTAGAGGTTGCAGTGAGCCAGGATCATGCCACTGCACTCCAGCCTAGGTGAGTGAGCAAGACTCTGTCTCAAAAAAAAAAAAAAAAAAAAAAAAAAAGCTGAAGTCACAGAACTAGAGTAGAATGGTGGTCACCACATGTTGCGGAGATGGGGAGAGGTTGAGGAGACATTGGTCAAAGGGTACAATATTTTGGTTAGAGAGGACTATGTTTATTGGTCTGTGGTACAATATGGTGACTATAGTTAATAACAATGTATTGTATTCTTTAAAAATGCTAAGAGTAGATTTTAAGTGTTTGCATCCCAAAAAGAACAATAAGTTTGTGATGTAATACATACATTATTTAGCCTTATTTAGCCATTCGACAGTACACACATATTTCAAAACATGTTATACATGAAAAATATATACAATTTGTTAGCTTAAAAAATAAATTTAAAAAACATGCTTCTCACATCCAGGTGTTCAATAAATACTTATTGAATATGAAGGGAAATTAGTCTGCTAATTATATTGATGAATATTTAAGGTTATCCCAGGGTTAGCCCTACACAAAATGTAAAATGCATTAGACAACATTTTGGCTTTGTTTTGTTTTGTCTTTCTCTCATGATTGGGTACTAACAGGTGAAGAAAACATTCCTACCTGCTTTTTTTCCATATATGCAAATATAAATTTATTAACTCAATCACTAGTCCTACAACTAAAGAAATAAAAATATATTTTCTTTTTTTATTATTATTATACTTTAAGTTTTAGGGTACATGTGCACAACGTGCAGGTTAGTTACATAAGTATACATGCGCCATGTTGGTGTGCTGCACCCATTAACTCGTCATTTAGCATTAGGTATATCTCCTAATACTATCCCTCCCTCCTCCCCCAACCCCACAACAGTCCCTGGTGTGTGATGTTCCCCTTCCTGTGTCCATGTGTTCTCATTGTTCAATTCCCACCTATGAGTGAGAACATGAGGTGTTTGGTTTTTTGTCCTTGGGATAGTTTGCTGAGAATGATGGTTTCCAGCTTCATCCATGTCCCTACAAAGGACATGAACTCATCATTTTTTATGGCTGCATAGTATTCCATGGTGTATATGAGCCACATTTTCTTAATCTAGTTTATCATTGTTGGACATTTGGGTTGGTTCCAAGTCTTTGCTATTGTGAATAGTGCCACAATAAACATACGTGCACATGTGTCTTTATAGCAGAATGATTTATAATCCTTTGGGTATATACCCAGTAATGGGATGGCTGGTTGAAATGGTATTTCTAGTTCTAGATCCCTGAGGAATTGCTGCACTGACTTCCACAGTGGTTGAATTAGTTTACAGTCTCACCAACAGTGTAAAACTGTTCCTATTTCTCCACATCCTCTCCAGCACCTGTTGTTTCCTGACTTTTTAATGATTGCCATTCTAACTGGCGTGAGATTCTAATTGTGGTTTTGATTTGCATTTCTCTGATGGCCAGTGATGATGAGCATTTTTTCGTGTGTCTTTTGGCTGCATAAATGTCTTCTTTTGAGAAGTGTCTGTTCATATCCTTCGCCCACTTTTTGATGGGGTTGTTTGTTTTTTTCTTGTAAATTTCTTTGAGTTCATTGTAGATTCTGGATATTAGCCCTTTGTCAGATGAGTAGGTTGCAAAAATTGTCTCCCATTCTGTAGGTTGCCTGTTCACTCTGATGGTGGTTTCTTTTGCTGTGCAGAAGCTCTTTAGTTTAATTAGATCCCATTTGTCAATTTTGTCTTTTGTTGCCATTGCTTTTGGTGTTTTAGACATGAAGACCTTGCCCATGCCTATGTCCTGAATGGTATTGCCTAGGTTTTCTTCTAGGGTTTTTATGGTTTTAGGTCTAACATTTAAGTCTTTAATCCATCTTGAATTAATTTTTGTATAAGGTGTAAGGAAGGGATCGAGTTTCAGCTTTCTACATATGGCTAGCCAGTTTTCCCAGCACCATTTATTAAATAGGGAATCCTATCCCTATTGCTTGTTTTTGTCAGGTTTGTCAAAGATCAGATAGTTGTAGATATGCGGCATTATGTCTGAGGGCTCCGTTCTGTTCCATTGTTCTATATCTCGGTTTTGGTACCAGTACCATGCTGTTTTGGTTACTGTAGCCTTGTAGTATAGTTTAAAGTCAGGTAGCATGATGCCTCCAACTTTGTTCTTTTGGCTTAGGATTGACTTGGCAATGTGGGCTCTTTTTTGGTTCCATATGAACTTTAAAGTAGTTTTTTCCAATTCTGTGAAGAAAGTCATTCCAATTCTGTGAAGAAAGGCAGTGAATCTATAAATTACCTTGGGCAGTATGGCCATTTTCATGATATTGATTCTTCTACCCATGAGCATGGAATGTTCTTCCATTTGTTTGTATCCTCTTTGATTTCATTGAGCAGTGGTTTGTAGTTCTCCATGAAGAGGTCCTTCACATCCCTTGTAAGTTGGATTCCTAGGTATTTTATTCTCTTTGAAGCAGTTGTGAATGGGAGTTCACTCATGATTTGGCTCTCTGTTTGTCTGTTATTGGTGTATAAGAATGCTTGTGATTTTTGCGCATTGATTTTGTATCCTGAGACTTTGCTGAAGTTGCTTATCAGCTTAAGGAGATTTTGGGCTGAGACGATGGGATTTTCTAAATATACAGTCATGTCATCTGCAAACAGGGACAATTTGACTTCCTCTTTTCCTAATTGAATGCCCTTTATTTCCTTCTCCTGCCTGATTGCCCTGGCCAGAACTTCCAACACTATGTTGAATAGGAGTGGTGAGAGGGCATCCCTGTCTTGTGCCAGATTTCAAAGGGAATGCTTCCAGTTTTTGTCCATTCAGTGTGATATTGGCTGTGGGTTCCTCATAGATAGCTCTTATTATTTTGAGATACGTCCCATCAATACCTAATTTATTGAGAGTTTTTAGCATGAAGGGTTATTGAATTTTGTCAAAGGCTTTTTCTGCATCTATTGAGATCATCATGTGGTTTTTGTCTTTGGTTCTGTTTATATGCTGGATTATGTTTATTGATTTTCGTATGTTGAACCAGTCTGGCATCCCAGGGATTAAGCCCACTTGATCATGGTGGATGAGCTTTTTGATGTGTTGCTGAGTTTGGTTTGCCCGTATTTTATTGAGAATTTTTGCATCAGTGTTCATCAAGGATATTGGTCTAAAATTCTCTTTTTTTGTTGTGTCTCTGCCAGGCTTTGGTATCAGGATGATGCTGGCCTCATAAAATGAGTTAGTGAGGATTCCCTCTTTTTTCTATTGATTGGAATAGTTTCAGAAGGAATGGGACCAGCTCCTCCTTGTACCTCTGGTAGAATTCGGCCATAAATCCATCTGGTCCTGGACTTTTTTTGGTTGGTAAGCTATTAATTATTGCCTCAATTTCAGAGCCTGTTATTGGTCTATTCAGAGATTCAACTTCTTCCTGGTTTAGCCTTGGGAGAGCGTATGTGTCGAGGAATTTATCCATTTCTTCTAGATTTTCTAGTTTATTTGCATAGAGGTGTTTATAGTATTCTCTGATGGCAGTTTGTATTTCTGTGGGATTGGTGGTGATATCCCCTTTGTCATTTTTTATTGCGTCTATTTGATTCTTCTCTTTTTTCTTCTTTATTAGTCTTGCTAGCAGTCTATCTATTTTTTTGTAATTGTACTTTAAGTTTTAGGGTACATGTGCACAATGTGCAGGTTAGTTACATATGTATACATGTGACATGCTGGTGCGCTGCACCCACTAACTCATCATCTAGCATTAGGTATATCTCCCAGTGCTATCCCTTCCCCCCTCCCCCCACCCCACAACAGTCCCCAGAGTGGGACGTTCCCCTTCCTGTGTCCATTTGTGCTCATTGTTCAGTTCCCATCTATGAGTGAGAATATGGGGTGTTTGGTTTTTTCAGAAAACCAGCTGCTGGATTCATTGATTTTTTTGAAGGGTTTTTTGTGTCTCTATTTCCTTCAGTTCTGCTCTGATCTTAGTTATTTCTTGCCTTCTGTTAGCTTTTGAATGTGTTTGCTCTTGCTTCTCTAGTTCTTTTAATTGTGATGTTAGCGTGTCAATTTTAGATCTTTCCTGCTTTCTCTTGTGGGCATTTAGTGCTATAAATTTCCCTCTACACACTGCTTTGAATGTGTCCCCAAGATTCTGGTATGTTATGTCTTTGTTCTCGGTTTCAAAGAACATCTTTATTTCTGTCTTCATTTCATTATGTACCCAGTAGTCATTCAGGAGCAGGTTGTTCAGTTTCCATGTAGTTGAGCAGTTTTGAGTGAGTTTCTTAATCCTGAGTTCTAGTTTGATTGCACTGTTATCTGAGAGACAGTTTGCTATAATTTCTGTTCTTTTACATTTGCTGAGGAGTGCTTTACTTCCAACTATGTGGTCAATTTTGGAATAGGTGTGGTGTGGTGCTGAAAAGAATGTATATTCTGTTGATTTGGGGTGGAGAGTTCTGTAGATGTCTATTAGGTCCACTTGGTGCAGAGCTGAGTTCAATTCCTGGGTATCCTTGTTGACTTTCTGTCTCGTTGATCTGTCTAATGTTGACAGTGGGGTGTTAAAGTCTCCCATTATTATTGTGTGGGAGTCTAAGTCTGTTTCTAGGCCACTAAGGACTTGCTTTATGAATCTGGGTGCTCCTGTATTGGGTGCATATATATTTAGGATAGTTAGTTCTTCTTGTTGAATTGATCCCTTTACTATTATGTAATGGCCTTCTTTGTCTCTTTTGATCTTTGTTGGTTTAAAGTCTGTTTTATCAGAGACTAGGATTGCAACCCCTGCCTTTTTTTGTTTTCCATTTGCTTGGTAGATCTTCCTCCATCCCTTTATTTTGAGCCTATGTGTGTCTCTGCATGTGAGATGGGTTTCCTGAATACAGCACACTGATGGGTCTTGACTCTTTATCCAGATTGCCAGTCTGTGCCTTTTAATTGGAGCATTTAACCCATTTACATTTAAGCTTAGTATTGTTATGTGTGAATTTGATCCTGTCATTATGATGTTAGCTGGTTATTTTGCTTGTTAGTTGATGCAGTTTCTTCGTAGCCTTGAGGGTCTTTACAATTTGGCATGTTTTTGCAGTGGCTGGTACCGGTTGTTCCTTTCCATGTTTAGTGCTTCATTCAGGAGCTCTTTTAGGGCAGGTCTGGTGGTGACAAAATCTCTCAGCATTTGCTTGTCTGTAAAGGATTTTATTTCTCCTTCACTTATGAAGCTTAGTTTGGCTGGATATGAAATTCTGGGTTGAAAATTCTTTTCTTTAAGAATGTGGAATATTGGCCCCCACCCTCTTCTGGCTTGTAGAGTTTCTGCGGAGAGATCAGCTGTTAGTCTGATGGGCTTCCCTTTGAGGGTAACCCGACCTTTCTCTCTGGCTGCCCTTAACATTTTTTCCTTCATTTCAACTTTGGTGAATCTGACAATTGTGTGTCTTGGAGTTGCTCTCCTCGAGGAGTATCTTTGTGGCATTCTCTGTATTTCCTGAATTTGAATGTTGGCCTGCCTTGCTAGATTGGGGATGTTCTCCTGGATAATATCCTGCAGAGTGTTTTCCAGCTTGGTTCCATTCTCCCCGTCACTTTCAGGTATACCAATTAGACGTAGATTTGGTCTTTTCACATAGTCCCATATTTCTTGGAGGCTTTGTTCGTTTCTTTTTATTCTTTTTTCTCTAAACTTCTCTTCATGATTCATTTCATTCATTTTGTCTTCCATCACTGATACCTTTTCTTCCAGTTGATCGCATCAGTTACTGAGGCTTGTGCATTCGTCACGTAGTTCTCGTGCCATGGTTTTCAGCTCCATCAGGTCCTTTAAGGACTTCTCTGCATTGGTTATTCTAGTTTTCCATTTGTCTAATTTTTTTTCAAAGTTTTTAACTTCTTCACCATTGGTTCAAACTTCCTCCTTTAGCTCAGAGTAGTTTGATCTTCTGAGGCCTTCCTCTCTCAACTCGTTAAAGTCATTCTCCGTCCAGCTTTGTTCCGTTGCTGGTGAGGAGCTGCGTTCCTTTGGAGGAGGAGAGAAGCTCTGCTTTTTAGAGTTTCCGGTTTTTCTGTTCTGTTTTTTCCCCATCTTTGTGGTTTTATCTACCTTTGTTCTTTGATGATGGTGATGTACAGATGGGTTTTTGGTGTGGATGTCCTTTCTGTTTGTTAGTTTTCCTTCTAACAGTCAGGACTCTCAGCTGCAGGTCTGTTGGGGTTTACTGGAGGTCCACTCCAGACTCTGTTTGCCTGGGTATCAGCAGCGGTGGCTGCAGAACAGCAGATGTTGGTGAACCGCAAATGCTGCTGCCTGATCGTTCCTCTGGAAGTTTTGTCTCAGAGGAGTACCTGGCCGTATGAGGTGTCAGTCCACCCCTACTGGGGGTTGCCTCTCAGTTAGGCTACTTGGCGGTCAGGGACCCACTTGAGGAGGCAGTCTACCTGTTCTCAGATCTCAAGCTGTGTGCTGGGAGAACCACTACTCTCTTCAAAGCTGTCAGACAGGGACATTTAAGTCTGCAGAGGTTATTGCTGTCTTTTGTTTGTCTGTGCCCTGCCCCCAGAGGTGGAGCCTACAGAGGCAGGCAGGCCTCCTTGAGCTGTGGTGGGCTCTACCCATATATGCAAATATAAATTTATTAACTCAATCACTAGTTCTACAACTAAAGAAATAAAAATTTATTTTCACTTCAAGTTTGATTAACTTTTAATAGTAAAGAGCACCTCAATACAATATTTAGACATTTGGCTGATTGTTAAACATTAACTAAAATGGAGCTTTTCCTGAGACAGTGTTGCCACGCTTTTAAATTAATAGACATTAGGTGAAACTATTTTGAATTTATATAAAAGTTGAAGTACTACATAAAGTTCTCCTGTACCTTCCCCCTCAGTTTCCTTTTTTTTTATTTATTTTTTATTTTTTTTTTGAGACAGAGTCTCACTCTGCCGCCCAGGCTGGAGTGCAACGGTGTGATCTCGGCTCACTGCAACCTCTGCCTCCTGGGTTCAAATGATTCTCCTGGCTCAGCCTCCTCTGTAGCTGGGATTACAGGCACCCACCACCATGCCTGGCTAATTTTTGTATTTTTAGTAGAGATGGGGTTTCACCACATTGGCCAGGCTCATCTCTAACTCCTGACCTCATGATCCACCCAGCTCATCCTCTCAAAGTGCCAGGATTACAGACATGAGCCACCGCACCTGACCCAGTTTCCTTTTTTTGTAATTACAACTTACATGAATGTGGTACATCCCGTACAATGACCGAACCAATATTGATACATTCTTATTAAGGAGAGTCTGGAGTTTGCATTAAGGTTCACTCTGTGCTGTTGTCTATGGCTTTCTTTAAATTTCATTTCAAGTTCAAGAGTACATGTGCAGGTTTATTATATGGGTAAATTGCATGTCACAAGAGTTTGGTGTACAGATTATTTCATCACTCAGGTGATAAACATAGTACCCCACAGGTAGCTTCTTGATCCTCTTCCTCCTCCCACCCTCTCCCCTCGAGTAGACCCCAATGTCTATCATTCCTTTCTTTGTGTCCATGTGTTCTCAGTGTTTAGCTCCCACTTACCACCCCCACTGCTTGTTGAAGACATAAATTTAAAAAAGAAAGAACAAAAGAGAGAAGAATAAAGGATGTGCAGTCTGGTAAGATAGCAGCCAAAAGCAAAAATACATTTTGTTTCATAAATGCACACATGAGTGTGCATACCCAGCCACCCACACTGAAGCATCTTTTGAGAGAATGCAGGGGACTTATGAATTATAGGAACTCTGTGGCTGTTCAGGACTGAGATTGGTAGAGGATTCCTATGAGAGGACAGGCTGGCTTCTAGGAGGTGAGCAGCATGCCCATCTGTTCAGTTATTTAGAGGCTGAACTCTGGTGAATGCTTGGAAGCAGCTCTTTACACATCCCTACCTGTTTCTTGCCCCAGCACCCTACACTTGAAGGCAAATGAGCTCTGTAGACTGGCTCAGCCCCTTTCTTCATTTGCTTCTGAGGGTGCTTTTCAGCTGTAACCACAAGGAGGAGAGCAAGATATGAAAAACTTTCAGTGGCAGCGCAGTCCAATGTCAGTGAAAAAAATATTTGGGAGAGCTGTGGAACGAGGGAACAAAATATAGATGTATCAGAAAGCACGTTTTCTTTTCTGGTATCTACCTTTTCTGACACATTTCCAAATTGTAGTTACTCACTTCCTATATTAGTTTCCCAGGCTGCTGTAATAAATTACCACCACTGAGGAGGCTTGAAACAGCAGAAGTTTATTTTCCAACAGTTCTGGGGTAGAAGTCTGAAATCCAACAGCATTAATTCCTTCTGGGGCTCTGAAAGAGAAACTGTTCCATGCTTCTCTCCTAGATGCTGCTAGTTATTGGCAATCTTTGGTGTCCCTTGGCTTGTATACTGATATGATTGTGCTTTGTGTCGTCATCCAAATTTCATCTTGAATTGTAATCCCCCATAATCCCCATGTGTCAAGGCAGAGACCAGGTGGAGATCATTGAATCATGTGGACAGTTTCCCCCATGCTGGTCTCATGATAGTGAGTGAGTTCTCACGATATTTAATAGTTTTATAAGGGGCTTTTTTCCTCTTTGATGGGCACATTTTTGTAAAGGGCTTTTTTCCTCTTTGATGGGCACTTCTCCTTCCTGCTGTCTTGTGAAGAGGTACCTTGCTTCCCCTTCTTCCCTCCCCAGCCATGAGGAACTATGAGTCAAATAAACTTCTTTCCTTTATAAATTAACCCTAACCCTAACCCCTAACCCTAACCCTAACCCTAGCAGTATGAAAATGGATTAATACATAGATACGTCACTCAGTCTCTTCCTCCACCGATTGCAGCTTCACATGGTGTTCTCCTCTCTGTGTCTTTGAATTTCTTCTTATAAGGACACCAGCCATTAGACTATGGCTGACTGTAATCCTGCATGGCCTCATACTTTATATTCTGCATCATAAAGCATCTGCAAAGACCCAATTACCAAATAAGATCAGGTTCCCAGGTTCCAAATCAACATGAATGTCTGGGGACTGCTATTTAGCCCAGTACACTTCCGATTCTACCTCTGGCATCATATCACTTTTTTATTTTAAAAATGTATATGCTTTTTGGAATAAATTTCAGACACAGACTAGCTGAAATTAAACAGAAACTAATTCCAAGGAGCAGCTGGGGCTTTAGGGTAGTTTAAAACAGAAATTCTCGGCTGAGAAGGGGCAAAAGCCTTGTTTTATAAATGTTGTATTATAGATGAATATGGAAAGTATTTCAGCTACATTAAGGGTTAAATAGGCTATTGATGCCTTAGCAAACATTTATTTTTAAAAATCTGATCTGTATAAATGTATGGGGTGCAAGTATAATTTTGTTACGTGCATAGGTTGCATGTAAGCCCTGAAGACAGGGCTTTCAGTGTATCCATCACCCAAATGACAAGTAATTTCTCATCATCCATCCCCTCCTCTTCCTGGTTTCCACTATTATTCTACACTCTATGTCCCCCTCACCCTGCATCATCTCCACTATCTGTCATTTCAAACTCTATGTGCATGTTTAGCTCCAACTTACATGTGAGAACACATGGTATTTGTCTTTGTCTGAGTCATTCCATTAACATAATGTCTCTGGTTCCATTCATGTTGTTTCAAAAGACATGATTTCAATTTTTATAGCTGACTGGTATTTCATTGTGTATGTATACATTTTCTTTAAATTCATTGATGGACACTTAGATTTGTTTCATATGTTTGCTATTGTACATAGTAGTGCAATAAGTATGTGAGTACATGTATCTATTTAATTTTTTTTTTGGCGGGTAGATACTCAGTAGTGAGATTGCAGGATCTAATGGTAATTCTGTTTTTATTTCTTCAAGAAATATCCAAACTATTTTTCATAGAGGTTGTACTAATATACATTCCCACCAACACTGTATAAAAGTTGCCTTTTCTCCGCATCTTGTCAACATCCAGTTTTTTTTAAACTTTTTAATAATAGCCATTATGACTGGTATAACACTGTGGTATTTCATAGTGGCTTTAATTTACATTTGTTGATGATTAGTGATGTTAAACTTTTTTTCATGTTTCTTGGCCATTTGTATGTCTTCTTTTGAAACATGTATATTCATATCCTTTGCCCAACTCTTTAGTGGGGTTAGGTATGTATAACATCATCTTAATGTGGGACAGTATCCTAGTCTCAAACACTTGCATTATTTTGGAATTTCTTTTCTCCATGATTTGGATGCTACCGTTATCTGTGCACCAATATCTATAGCTCTTTTACTTTCAGCAGTAGCTTACACAGTAAGTCATTGCTATCAGCATCTATGTTTTTGCTGAAAACAAGGCAGAATGAGAGAAGAAAGCTAAGAAATTCTAAAGTTGGAGAAGGAACGTGAAAATGTTCATACCCTTCCACAGTCGTGGTGTCCTTTAGGGTGGAGATGTCTACCAATGCCTGTTACGTGGTCAGGTCACCGAGTATGTATCATTCTGCCTATTAATTTCATAGTGATATGAGTATACTATAGGTAATGACTCTCCAGTATGGCAGTAATTGGGAACTGTGTTTAGAAACTGGTCAGTCATGTAATCATTACTGTGAAATGCTAACAGTCAAAGTCATCTTCCTTGTGTAGGCCATGTTCCAGCCTCTCCATGCCACCACTTGGTTCCCTTTCTGCCCACCTCCTGTGGGGCTCATGGGGTCACCACTGGAAAGGGATGTAGCTGGTGGGGCCCCCAGTGTATCAGCTGGCTTTGTCTCTCAGTGGAATAGGTGGTTTCCTACTTGACACATTGAAAGTCACCTTGGGGGGCATGTCCAAATTCTGTTATCACAAGACATATACAATAGACTTCTCTCTGCAAGACAGAACTTTCTTGGCAACTAACTCATTTATCTGACCAGAAAAGTGTTATGAATAATAAAAATAGAAAGAGCTACCATTTTTGAAATGTTCTCGTGTACCTACCAGGTACTATGGTAGGTGGTTTATCTTCTGTTATCTCAATTAATTTGAAAAAAAAAAAGTGCTATGAGATGCTGAAAAGCTATATGAGCTTTCATGTCTATCCTACAGCAACTTTTCTAAGCTCTCAGGTCACTAGGAAGCACCAAGAGCCAACTTTAAAGCTCGATCTGTCCTTTCTCTAATCGTTTTTGGTTTTGTTTGTTTTTCATTGGACCAAGCCTTCTTGAAGGTTGGGAGCCACCAGGCCAATGATAGTCTCTCTGCCCACTGTGCTGCCATCATCCCACCCTTAGAATTAAAGGTGTTTGGATTAAATTATCTTCTAGTGAATATCCTAATCTCAAATTTGCTATATATTCTGTTCCTCTTTATTTGAAATATGTAATCTGATAATAAAACTAAGAACAGAGCACTGAGACTGTGGAATTTTTGGAGGCCGAGGGGGACAAGGAGCCTGGGACAGGACATCACTCTGTCCTTCGAAGGGCAAGGAGCACAGGTTTGATGCTATCCTAGGAGATCGGATGCCTAGAGTTACATAGAAGAGGCCATGTAGAAGAAAAAGGGACATACAAAAAGAGAAGTGAGAGAACCGAGTGCAATCTCTACCCTCATTATGATTTTCTCTACATTTGGCCAGAGCCCTGACAGATCACATTGTCAAAACAGGCCCCAAATTTACTCTGACAAATGCATACTTGTGTCTGTATGACAGTGTCATTTCACCTAGTATACATCAGTGGGGTATGGAAATGATAGAAATAGAACCAAAGATTGTCACGGTTGCACAATGGGAAAAGTATGAACTTTGAAGCCAACAGACTCTGGCTACTAACTTTGTAATGCAATTAATTAGCCACTCTGACCCTCAGTTTTCTCCTCTGGAAATGAGAAAAAATGTTTTCTTTGTAGGTTTGCTATGAGACAAAGAAGCAAAAAAAAAAAAAAAAAAAAAAGTGCAAAACATTTAGTAGTTTCTAATACTAAATAAATGGTAAAGATTATTTTGATTTCTGTTCTTCCTTCTTCCTTCATTTTTAAAGCTTTAAGAACCTTTGATTCTCCCAAAAAGATGTAAAGCCTCATTATGTTTGGGGAACCAGACTAAAACAGAAAATTCTTGTAATGTCTAACATGTTTTTAGCCCTTTGAAGAAGTAGTGAGCTGCTAAGACCAGCCTACTCCCGTGAGCTCTACCTCTCCCAAACATTGCCCTCTCTTCTTGTCCTTCAAGGTCAAGATAAAGCCACTTATCAAAAAGCTTCGTGGCCCCATCTCTTGTAATCTGTCACATAGAGGAATTAAATAATTATTAATGAAGGCTGGTGACCACCAATGTTTGTTCAACTTACCACCATTGAAGTATCTTATGAGTAATATTATTGTTATTAAAACACTTTATGAAAATGTTACCTGAACTGGAAGGTTCTCATTACACTTACTTAGACACTGGCTTAGATAACTTATAATAGGTCGCATGAATTTTTTACAAAATGGGTCACACACATTGTTTTACAAAATACCTGAAATGTGAATGAATGACAACACAAATGTTTCTAAACTTCATGAGCCCATCCTAATAGCTGGATGTATTAGAACATATTTGTCACTGCAGTTATTTTTAGCCTTAACTTTGGTGGCAGTTCTAACTAAAGATAGCAACTTTAATGTTTGACCCTTGTTGTTTAGCTAAAACCAATTTGCTCTTTTCAAAACAATTCATTATCCCACACTGCACTTTTTTATACTCCCTAATTAATGGAAAATCTATCTTTCATAAAAGTTAGAAATTATGTCCAATGAAAATCCGACATTTTAATGGTTTTCCACAGATTAAAATTGTTGAGTTCTCAATAAACCCTGATTTACTGATGTTGGCTGTAAAATGGTTATCGCTGTTAATACAGCCTGTAAATCTTAACAGGTTATATTTGCCTTGGACAATAAAAGTTGCCATAAAGGCTTAGTGTCTAAGGCTAATTCTGCTCACATCAAGGTAAACAGCCTACTCAAAATAATTCAGTGTCTTTGAGAATTCAGGCCTTAAAGCTAAGCAACAGACAGATTCTAGCCTTGAGGCACTGCATGCCAGGCACTATTCTTGTTTTTAATCTCACCAAAGAGTCAAGATAATGCTGGAATTAGAAAACTCGGGAAGGTCAAGGGTTTTTGTCAATGCAGTACAGATAAGGAGAAGGTTCTCTGCTTCTTGCTCAGCCCCAAATCAGCTTTGTCATTGGCTGATCACTAGGAGCAGAATGAAAGAATGTATTTTTTGTATGATAAAGTATGCTGAAGTCATGCAAGTGTTAGGAACCAAATTTGGGGGTGACAGGGTGGGGTGGGTAATTGGGGAAAGGAGATCATTTTCCTTGTTTGATTTCCAGATGCCTATCTGGAAATGAAGGCTTTTGAGAAGAGGAAATGAAGGTCTTAGCAGCTCACTACTTCTTCAAATGGCTAAAAACATGTTAGACATTATAAGAATTTTCTGTTTTAATCTGGTTCCCCAAACATAATGGGGTTTTACATCTTTTTGGGAGAATCAAAGGTTCTTAAAGCTTTAAAAATGAAAGAAGAAGGAACAATAGAAATCAAAATAATCTTTACCATTTATTTAGTATTAGAAACTGCTAAATGTTTTGCCTTTTTTTTTTTTTTTTTTTTTTTTTGCTTCTTTGTCTCAGGAATCCTACAAAGGTTTTGTAAAAAAAGGTTTTGAGAAGGCCTATTAATCTTGGGACACATGGATATCTGTCATGTTTTCCAATGTTTGGGGAATTTCTTTTTAAGTTTCACTTACCTAAGATAGAAGCCCAACAAATGCCTTTTCTAATCTTCTTTGCAGTTAGGTCCCTGCAGTCAGGTGGTCTCGTACAAGATGGGATGGGGAGTGAATGCTGTGGGTTTGTGGAAACCCTCTGCAGAGGATGGTGGCAGAGGTACCCCACTCTTCAGGGCAGGTAGAAGAACCAGCACCTCACCCACGTCTCATGGTTGTGAGCTCTGTATTTTGCTTAAGACAGAATCTCACTCTGTCTCCCAAGCTGGAGTGCAGTGGCACGATCACAGTTCACTGCAACCTCTGCCTCCCAGGCTTAAGCAGTTTTCCTGCTTCAGCCTCCTGAGTAGTTAGGACCACTACGCGCCATCATGCCCAGCTAATTTTTATACTTTTTGTAGAGGTGAGGTTTTGTCATGTTGCTCAGGCCAGTCTCAAACATTAGGGCTCAGGTGATCTGCCCACCCTGGCCTCCCCAAGTGCTGGGATTAGAGACCTGAGCTACCGCTCCTGGCCTCATGTTTTTTGCACTGCAGGAGTCGTTGTTGAGTGTACCTTTCCCCATGGTGTGTTTCAACATTATTTCTGGCCAATTAGCAGCCTCACCTGGCTCTTTGGCCCACTTGGAGGTTCTGAGCACTACTAATACTCTTTAATAAATTTATTTTTCACATAAATCGGCCAGAGCAGAGTTTGTTGTTTGCAGTGAAGAAACCTGGCCAGGCATGGTCACTCACGCCTGTAATCCCAGCACTTTGGGTGGGTGGGTCACTTGAGGCCAGGAGTACAAGACCAGCCTGGGAAACATGGCAAAACCCCATCTGTACTAAAAATACAAATATTAGCCAGGCATGGTGGTGCATGCTTGTAATTCCAGCTACTTGAGTGGCTGAGGCATGAGAATACCTTGAACCTGGGAGGCGGAGGTTGCAGTGAGCCAAGATGGTGCCACTGCACTCCAGTCTGGACAACAGAGCAAAACTGTCTCAAAAACAAACAAACAAAAACCCTGCACATTTTGGTACCTATGCCATCTCTTATTACTTTCAGAATGTCTTTGACAAATATTTGAAAGTATCCATTGGAACAAAGCAAGTCACTCTGAGCTAAAGACTGTGTGTGGGGTGTTAATCTTTCTTTGTCTGTAGAATAAAGAGGGAGGACCCCAAAGTTCCTTTTATATCTCTTATTTCTAATTATTTCTGATGTATTAACAGTAGAATCTGCACACTGTCTTTGACTTGCCTGCTGTTTTAATAATTCTGCCCAGACTGGTGCCAGACAGTTTTCAAGCGAGAAGCTCTTTACCCTTCTCCCCTGTGAGGGTGTTCTTAATGAAAGGTTCATTTGTTTCAAATGTGCTCATTGGCATAAAACCCAGGAGAGAGTCTTATGACATTGGACTGTTTAATACAGGAATCACTAGACTATTGTGTTTAACCTCAATCAAACAGACTATGAAATGAGGATTTTATTTTAAAAGTAAGACTCTTAATAATTCACTAGAGAAAGGTTAAGTGGGGGTGTCCATGTTCTGAAGCAGTGGGCCTCAGGTATAAATAATTAATCTAATTTGGTGCAGCCAAAGCAGAAAGAATGTCTAATAGTCCACATAAACTTTGCTTTGAGGAGACTGACAATGAGGACCTTTGCAGAAAGCCATATTTGGTTAGAATGTATATTATAATAGAAAACTAATACACTCTAAAAAAAAAAGTGAGTTTTACTAGTTAAACGCTAGTAATTAAGGACCAGTAAATGACTTCTCTGAAAACATTTCCATAAAAAAATTTGCTATGGTAAAAGAGATAAGAAAATGAGGTTAATATAAGTTATTTTAAAAGTGTGTGTCTACAGCCCAAATACCCTCATCATTAATACTGATCCTTAAATAAGTCCTATTAATTGACTGACTTTTGACACGTCTTTAGCTGGGAAGCTCTAGTTCCTTACTGAAAAAGAAAAGGAAAGAAGATATCTAAAGCTCCTAATTGGTGTTTATTTTCCTTTTCCCTCTTGTTCTGTACTTCTGAAGGGTCAGAAGCATGGACGTTAGAATTACACTTTTCAGCTGAGTGTGATGGCTCACACCTGTAATCCCAGTGCTTTGAAAGGCCAAAGCAAGAGAATCGCTTGAGGCCAGGAGTTCAAGACCAGCCTGGGCAACATAGTGAGGGGCCCCCCCCCCCCCGTCCCCCACCCCCCGATCTCCACAAAACTAAAAAAATAAAATTAGCTGGCATGGTGGCGCACACATGTAGTTCCAGCTACTCAGGAGGCTAAGGCAGGAGGACTGCTTGAGCCCAGGAGGTTGAGGCTGTAGCGAGGCATGACTAGTCCACTGCACTCCAGCGTGGGGCCAGAGATAACATTACAAAGCTTTCCTAGGTGCTTGTCTTTGCTTCCTCTTTTCTTTGTGCCTGTCAGCTCTACATTATCAGCCCTCTTTCTTTCTAAGAATGACTCTCTGACAATGTTATTTCCAGACCTTTCTCTGTGTCCTCATTATTTCTCCTTGCTTGGAATGTCCTTGCCCTCATCCATCTGTTTGTGGTTTACACAGCCTAGGAGGATCTGCTGTAACCCAGTCAGTCTCTGAGTTCTTCCCTGCCCTTCCCAGGTGACGCTGATCTCTCTTTTATTTTATTTTATTTAATTTTTGAGACAGAGTCTTGCTCTGTCACTCAGGCTGGAGTGCAGTGGCACGATCTTGGCTCTTTTCTATAAATCCTAATTTAACTGGCATGAACTGCTCAAGTAAGGACAGCATTTTTTTCCCTCCTAAAGGCTTTTATAGCATATTGCTTTTTAAAATTTTTCTCTTATATTTAATTTTTCATGCCTGTGTGTCATATTTTCTAATTCTCTTCAGGATAGGAAATGCACAGTATACTTTTCAGTATCCTCTCCCATCACCCTCAGTAGATAACATAAAGGCATCTAAAACTATGGTAGATATCTGGGGAGCATATGTGACTCAGAGGATGAATATTTGCACAACCACTGTGGGCTGCACATAGTAGTAAACTCTTAAAGTTGAATATCACTTTACAATTTACAAAGATTCTCATATACATGGACTCATCCGATCCTTAAAGCTACCATTTGTTGATAGATAAATATACCAATATCCCTAATATTGCTATCCTTGATAGACTCATTTAATATATACATCCATTGAGAAACTGCTATCTAGCTAACATTAGTACATGTGTACTCAATGCCAGCCACTGTTCACCGAATCTTCCCAACTTTTTGAAGCGCCTAGATGCCAGTTTTATAAATAACCAAACTGAGCCTCAGAGAGGTCAAGCGGCTTACTCAAGGGCATAGGTAGATACCGAGTGATCTGTGCCAATATTTGTATCAGACAGCCTGACTTCAGAGCCTGTTCTGTTAAACTTTACCTGATAAAGCGCTTTATGTGTCAGATATTGTGTGCTGAGCACCAGCAGAGTCGGATAGCATGCCTGTCTTTAGTTCACCATCTGATTTCATTGCATACAAAGCTAAGCAGAAGGGAAGAGAATGGCATTTATGAATGTGTGTGTGTGCACAAGAACATACAAGCCTCCTGCTTTTCCTCCATTTTGCTGGGCATGTCTGTGATTCCCGGTCTGAGCTCTACTGCTGCCCGATTGCAGTTAACTCTCCCGATTTGATGGCATTGGACTCTGCACTACTTTCAGCTTCTAGAGATGGTTTGGCAGGGTTGCTTAGTGCTGGTAACAACTTTGAGCAGGCCTTGATGGGATGGGAGAGACACTATTGACAAAACCTGTCTTTATTCTCCTCCATCTCCTCTCCAATTTGTTTCCTCTTGTAGGAGATTACATCCGTTATCCTGTACCAACATAGGGTTTTTCAAAAATATAAAATTTGCACGTTGTGCTTAAGGTTTCTCTGATTGACAGAAGCAGCAAATGGATCAGAGAGAAGGCGATTTGGAGGAAAGATCCGAAGGCCAGCAGTCAGTTGGTAGTAAGCATTTTTAAAGAAACCTCATATAAGAAAAGGAAATGTATGATTTTTAAATTAACATTAGCGGCAATAAACAGTCTTTATATCTTGAATTATGCAGAAGTAAAAGCAGTCTGGGATGCCGCCACATAAGGAGCTGCAGATCTGTAATTCAGCAGTAATGTTCCATGGGCATGAATCAAGAACTCATCCCAATCCTGCTGAGGCAGCATGGATTTTAGTGTTTCCATGAAGCGCACCACACACCACCCCGATTCACTTAGCAAATGTAGACTGCCTTTGTTTCTTAGGCTGAGCTTATTAAAACAGATAAACAACGGCCACAATCACCACAGCCACAGCTTCTGCTGGTGATCCTTTGCTGTGATCCCCACATCCTAATTGCTCTGTGTATCATCTGTTTAGGAAGAAATGCCACCTTCTTTCCTTTTTAGCCAATTTTGGTGACTAGAAGGTGCACTTGCCCCCACCCTGGAGAGTTTTCTGCGTAACTGCTAGTAAAATAGAGCATGACCATTTTTTCTTCACAGGTAGAGACCTGCAGAATGAGCACCTGCCTACGTGTACTTTTGAAATACACCCAGCTGATCTTACTGCAGTTGAGCTTCAGTTCTAGAATCTGTAACTGCTAAAAGAATCCTAGATGGCCTCTTTCATTGCATTGCACAGCTCTCAAGCCTCTCCACCCTGTAAAATCCTACGGAGCTGTGATCTTCCCTCAGAGCTACCTTAGATTCAGCACAGTCAGTACATGGAGTGAATGAGTGACTTATTGAAACTCCCAGAGCTTTGATTTGTGCAAATTGCAGTGGCTTCCACGGCACAGATTACAGGCACAC